>NW_025791756.1:0-314537 GCF_000001405.40 Homo sapiens
GATCACCTGAGGTCAGGAGTTCGAGACCAGCTTGGCTAACATGGTGAAACCCTGTCTTTACTAACAATACAAAAAGTAGCCAGGTACGGTGGCACACACCTGTAATCCCCACTACTCGGGAGGCTGAGGCAGGAGAATCACTTGAACCTGGGAGGCAGGGGTTGCAGTGAGCTGAGATTGCACCACTGCACTACAGCCTGGGTGACAGAGCAAGACTCCGTCTCGAGAAAAAAAAAATCAAAAAAACAAAAAACAAAAAACAAAAAAATTCAAGGCTGGGCATGATGGCTCACACCTGTTTTCCCAGCACTTTGGGAGGCTGAGGCAGGAGGATCACTTGAACCCATGAGTTCAAGACCAGCCTGGGCAACACATGGCAAAATTTCAACTTAAAAAAAATTTAATTAGCTGGGCAGGGCGGTGCACACCTGTAGTTCCCGCTACTCAGGAGGCTGAGGCGGGAGGATTGCTTGAGCCTGGGAGGCTGCAGTGAGCCATGATCACACTACTGCACTCCAGCCTGGGCAACAGAGCAAGACCCTGTCTAAAAAATAAAAAAATAATAAAAAAATTTAAAAAATTCCAATGTGTCTGCTTCCTAAGCCCACATGCTCCTTCGTCCCTATACTACACCATGATAGAAAGTCATTCCCAGAGACTTCCTCATGGATCTGAGCTTCTCCCCACCTGTCCCACGTTTGCCCTCTGGATCACCCTGACTCACCTGTTTTCTTTGCCCCATGACCTCCCTTGGAGGGTTGAAGGATGCTCCCAGCCCCACAGGTGTTCACATCTCCAAGTTCATTATTCCCAGGCCCTTCCACTCTTTTGGGTGATGTAATAAGCATTGGCCTCTCTAGCACCCACCCCTCCTTTGCAGCAGCCACCACGTTCCACTTGGGGATCCACGGGATTCCAGGGAAGACAACTCCCCAGCCTGGCTCCAGGGATAGAGCACAGGACTTAGGCTAGGCCCATCCGCACCGCCATGATCAGCCCAGAGGTAGCCATGTGAGCCAAGCTGATCCAACCAGAGAGAATCCCAGGACTCTGGGAAGGCTGAGACAAGGACAATTCTCTTATTCCATGTTTGATGTGAATGAAGAAGCCCCTGGAAGCCTTAGGATAAAGCCAACACCAAGGACAACAGAGTAGAAAAATGGAAAGATCTGGGTCCTCAGTGACATCATTGAGCCACTGGATCAAGCCTTGCCTGAAGCCTGCATTGGTTCTATACTTCTCAGTGACAAAAACTGTGGGAGGGGCTGGGCATGGTGGTTCATGCCTATAATCCCAGAACTTTGGGAGGCCGAGGCAGGTGGATCACTTGAGGCCAGGAGTTCAAGACCAGCCTAGCCAACATAGTGAAACCCCTTATCTACTAAAAATATAAAAATTAGCCGGGCATCGTGGCAGACACCTGTAATCCCAGCTACTCAGGTGGCTGAGGCAGGAGAATCACTTGAACCAGGGAGGTGGAGGTTGCAGTGAGCCAAGATTGCACCACTGCACTCCAGCTTGGGCTGAAAAATGGCCCCCAAAAGATATCCATGCCCTAGTCCTTGGAACCCGTGAATGTTACCTCATATGACAAAAAAGTGGGGGGCGGGGGCGCAGAGGGTTTTTGCAGATGTGATTTAAATTAAGGATTATGAGATGGGAAGATTATCTGGGTGGGCCTGAAATGCAATCACTTGTTTATCAGAGGGAGGCAGAGGGAAATTTGGTATAGACACACAGAGAAGGCAGTGTGACCACGGAGGCAGAGATCAGAGTGATACGGCTGCAAGTCAAGGAACACGGCAGCCACCAGCAGCGAGAAGAGGTGAGGAACCACTCTCCCCTCGAGCCCCGGGAGGGGGTACAGCCCCTGGGTGTGGGCCCAGTGCTGCTGATTTTGGACTCGGCCTCCAGAACTGTGAGAGAAGAAAATATTGTTTTAAGTCACTCAGTTTGAAGTAATTTTGTTATAGAAGCCACAGGAAACAAATAAAGAACTAATCAAATCTCTTTAATGTTTAAGCCTATTTGTATCTGATATTTTGTTACTTGCAGCCAAAAGCAGCCTAGCTGATACACAATCGTCCCCCTGCCCCCTGGTCACCCTTACAGCTCAGAGATGAACTCTAGAGAAATGCAAAGCCCCAGTTGGGAGCCAGCCGGAGACTCTCCTGGTCTTTAGCTGGGAAAATAGGACTGTGGGGGTGGGGGCAGCATCAGATGGATCACAGACTCCAAGCAAAGGCATGATAGGAGTTTATTTACAGACAAGACACAGCAACCAGCACCCACTCAGGCTCTGACCAGGGGAGGTGGTAGACAAGACCCCAGATATATATAAATATACATATAGGTCCCAGCACCATCAGCACCAGAACGTTCCCCAGCCAGGTCCCTGCCAGAAGGACCAAGAGTCAGGCAGGATTGAGGACATAGAAAGGAGAGGGCCCCAGTCTTTGCCAGGTATCAGTGATCACCTGTTATGGTCCCCATGTCAGAGGAAGAAACTATCCTTGGCCTTGAAGTGTGGACACTGAGGAGCATGAGGACGGAGAGACCCTCTGGAGGCGCCCCCATTCCTGTGTCCAGCCTGTGCCCTCAATGCCAAGGCCACAGAAGCGAAGTGCCAGCAGGAGCAGCTTGGGGAATGGAGACACTGCAGGCCCCTCCAGGACCATCCAGGAGCCAGGCATGGAGGTGGGGTCCTAGGCCATGGCTGCCCATCACACAGGAGCCTCCCCCAGTTTGCTGGTGGCACTTGTGACTCGCTTATTCTCCCGGAGGTTTCGGAGGCGGGCGCTGAGGCTGCTGATCTCTTCCACATAGGCCTGGGGCACCCACCCCTTCTCACCATCTGCCAGGCGGACCCCTTCCAGCCAGCCTAGGGACACATAGGCCAAGAACAACAGCATCAAAGGGGTACCAGGGCCAGGCCTGGAAGGGAACACCACAGCCCTGATGCAAGCTTTGTCTGCACCCTTGGGGCCAAGGTGACATCATCTCAGCATCTCTCAGCTCCAGGAAGGACCCTGTCTTGAGCTGTCTTGCAGATGAACTTCTGACCTGTTTTTCCTGATATCCTCTGAAAGGGTATTTCCCACTCTCCCCCATCACTCTCCATCCTATATCTTTACAAGCAGGAAGTTCCTCCTCTCATCTAACCTGATTCCCACATGCTGTGGCAGATCAACACTTGCAGAACCTTTCCCTGTGATATCTTAGTCATCTAGCCACCTCCTGCCCACCCAAGCCCCATCAGGGACACTTTCCCAGGAGGCCCCCTCACCGTCACTGGTCCAGGTCCTCACTGACAGGATGTCAGTCTTCTCCAAGGTCAGCTCATCTGGGTGCAGTGCCTTGTATGTCCTAACACACTGAACCTGGGGGCAATCTGACAGCCCAAGGGAGGCTCAGGGAGTCCCAAGGGCAGGATGGCAGGGGGAGGAGCATGGGTAGGGCAGGGAGGGGCAGTAGGAGGAAGTAAGGGGGTGGGAAGGTGGCCATTGAGGCTTCTATTCCTCTGCCACTGCCATGCCACAGGCCCACGTTCAAGCAGGCATACCCTCTGCCCACCCTGGCCTATCTCCTCTCCTACCCTAAACACAAGTGCAGGATTAATCCAGTCCCTCCCAGCTTCAGTTTCTGCCTCTATACCAAGGGCTGTCCCCTCCCCAGCTCAAGCCAACACCTTGCTTGTGACCTTCAGACCCCAACGTCCAACTGCCCCCAGATACCCCACAGAAAACAGTAACGGCCCTGCAATGTGCCCCTAACATCACTCTGGTGCTCCCTTTGGCCCATCCTTCCCAACTGGGATTCAAGCTGCATCGCTCCCGTTTAAAGCCCTCCAGGGCTTCCCAGTCCTCTTAGAATAAAATCCAAAGTCCTCCCTAGGCCCTACAAGGCCCTTCATGGTCTGGCATCGCCCCCTGCTATCCTCGTCTTCTCCCCTCCACTTTCCCTCCCTACTCTCCCCTCCACTTTCCCTCCCTACTTTCCCCTCCACTTTCCCTCCCTACTCGCTCACAAAGCTCCAGCCACACCAGCCTCCCTGCTGTTCCTCACTCTAAGCTCCCTCCTGCCCCAGGGCCTTTGTGCTGGCTCTTCCTTCTGCCAGATGCTCTTCCCCAGATCTTTTCGTGACAACCTCTCCTCATCCTTCAGGGGTCAGATGTTAATTGCCAGGGACCTCCCCTGACCACCTGGGAATAGAGAGCTTACCCCCACCCAGGTGGGACTCCTAGCTCAAGCCAGAGCATCTACCCCCTTCCTGGTCCTCAGCTCTTTTCATTAGACCAGGTGGGCTGGTAGCATCCAAAGCCACAGACTGAGGGGCCAGACCTCGCTTGAATCCCAGTTCTGCCGCTTACTGGCTGTGTGACCAATTTACTTCACCTTCTAAGCCTGAGTTTTCTCAGATATGAAAAATGTCTACCTAGTAGGGTTGCCATGAGGATTAAATTAGATTTAATGCAAATACAAGGCCCCTAGCCCTGGGCCTGGCCTATGGCAGGCGCTCAGTGGGCATGAGTGCCCTTTCTTTCCCTTTACTACCTAAAGCTCAGCCCTAACTCCTCTGCTCAAAAGCCTCCATTAAGGCTGGGTGCAGTGGCTCACACCTGTAATCCCAGCACTTTGGGAGGCTGAGGCAGGTGAATCACTTGAGGCCAGGAGTTCGAGACCAGCCATGGTCAACATGGCAAAACCCTGCCTCTACCAAAAATACAAAAATTAGCTGGGCATGGTGGCAGGCGCCTATAATCCCAGCTACTTGGGAGGCTGAGGCAGGAGAATTGTTTGAACCTGGGAGGTGGAGGTTGCAGTGAGCCAAGATTGTGCCATTGCACTCCAGCCTGGATGGCAGGGTGAGACTCTGTCTCAAAAAAAAAAAGCCAGGCGTGGTGGCAAGTGCCTGTAATCCCAGCTACTCGCAAGGCTAAGGCATAAGAATCACTTGAACCCAGGAGGTGGAGGTTGCAATGAGCAGAGATTGTGCCACTGCACTCCAGCCTGGGGTACAGAGTAAAACTGTGTCTCCAAAAAAATAAATAAATAAAGGCCTCCAATAAGCCAGGCACAATGGCTCATGCCTATAATCCCAGCACTTTGGGAGGCTGAAGGGAAAGGATTGCTTGAGTCCAGGAGTTTGAGGCCAGGCTGGGCAACATAGCAATACCCTATCTCTACAAAAAATAAAAATAGAGGTGTGGTATCCAGGTGTGGTAGTGCATATCTGTGGTCCCAACTACTCAAAAGGCTAAGGCAGGAGGATCACTTGAGCCCAGGAGGTTGAGACTACAGTGATCCATGATCATGCCACTGCACTCCAGCCTGGGCAATACAGCAAGACCCTGTCTCAAAAAAACCCCAAACAAACCTTCAATAGCTCCCTAGGGACACTATAGGAAGGCTCTCTATGATTAGGTCGCACCCTGGCTTACCAGCCTCACTTCACACCCAAAGGAAAAACCTTTATTCCAGCTGAGCAGATGCCTCACCTGCCACCACTACCCCCACCACCCCTCATACCCTGGCTCTGGCTGCTTCTTGTCTTGTTTGCAACTGACGCAAAGATGGAGACAGACCTGGGCTCTGGTCTCGGCTCTGCTACTTACTGGCTGGGTGAACTTACACAAGTCCATTTATCTCTGAACCTCTCTTCTAACTTGTAAAACAGGGGTGAAATGGGAGGCTACGAAGGCTTTATGATCTCCAGGATGCTGCCTGTGGACACAGAGTCCACCTGTGCTATGTAAGTTCTGCCCAGCCTTCAAGGTTCCTCAGAGCTACCCCTGACTGCCCCAGAAGTTGGTCTCTCTCCCCATAGCCCTGCCAGCAACACAGCACCCAGGATGGGAGGGGAGGAGAGCGGGCGAGGGTCCAGCCCAGGGATGTAAGCAGCAGGGATGAGCTACTACCTTCCCCCTCACTGATGACCTCCTTGTCCTCCTGGGGGCTGGAGGGGCACAAGGCTGAGATCCATCGCTGCTTCTCACTTCTAGGGAAGGGGGAGGCTAAGTTGTCACAATATGCAAAGTGCAGTTGCCCAGGGCAGGGTGCTGAAACCAAGGCTGGGGGAGCCAGACATGATGTCCAGGCCTAGGACCCAGGCCTACCCTAGGGACCCATGTCTGCCCCACCCCAGGGCCCACCCCACAACCCGGTTCCCAAGCCTGTGCCCCACCCAGCTCTGAGCATAACAGGCCCAGAACCCCCTGGATGCCAGCCCTACCCCCATCCTGCCTAATGCCACAGTCCTGAAGCCAGAGATAGCAGGGTGTGGAGGTTTACATCCAAGAGATGCCCAGAGGCTGAGGAGGAGGTGGCAGCCCCCTGACACCACCTGTGGGGCAGGCACCCCTACTCTGGCCTCCAGCCCTGCCCTCTGCCCCTGTGTCCTGCCCAAGTCAGGGAAGAGTTGAGCACTTGGGGAGGAACAAGGCCAGGATGTCCCAGGGGTGCCCGCCATGGGGACGGGGTGCCCATCATGGGGACGGGGTGCCTGTCATGGGGAGGGGGAGCCTCCTCTCTCCCATATCCAGGCCCACTCACTCCGTCCGGGCCCGCAGCAGGAACTGGTGCTTCATGTGCTGCCCGTGGAGGAGCTGGAGGAGGAACACGTGGCCGGGGATGCCCTGCAGCTTCAGGCTCAGGTCCCGCACCTGCAGCTCAGCCATCTTGGCATGGACGAAAACGGCAAACTTCCCTAGCCTGGAGGACCGGGGGAGGGGAGGTCAGCCTGGCCTGGGCCCTGGCTCTAGGCACCCACCCTCGGGATCAGGTGGGTTCTGACTGGAAGTGGGGAGAAGGGGTTGCCTGCCCTGCCAGCGTTCTCACAGGGTCCTGCTTCTGGATAGGGCACTGCTAGTCCCCACAAGGAACCAAGAGCTCCTTCCCCGCTGGCTTGCTGGTGGAGGCTGGAGGTGATGGAGACCAGTCCCTGAGCCCCAAGCACACTTTTGACCTTTCTCTCTCTCTTTTTTTTGTTTTTTTATTTGTTAGTTTTTTGGCTTTTTGTTTTGTTTTGTTTTAAGACAGAGTCTCGCTCTGTCTCCCAGGCTGGAGTGCAGTGGCATGATCTCGGCTCACCACAACCTCCGCCTTCCAGGTTCAAGCGATTCATGACCTCTCTCTGAACCTCTCTGCCAAGCGTCTGTTCCAAAGAGCCAACTGGACAGCTCCCCTGAGGAGTGTCTAACTCTCTTCCAGTATATAAGCCCCACGAAGGCTGAGCCTCGTCTCTTTGCCACTGTATCTCAGTGTCTGATGATACTGCCTGACCCACAATTTGGGCTCAGTAAGTACTTGTAGGCAGGATGGGTGGAGGGTGTTCCACAGACGTCAACTCATTCAACAAAACTCGGCATCAGAAAAAACTCAGCTTCTCCCACTCCAAGCCAGATCCCCTTTACTGTTCTCCATTCCAGTGAAAGACCCCACCAGTTTGCCCAAGAGGAAACTCAGACGTCATGCTCACCTCTTCCCTTTCCATCCCCCCTACACCCATCTGGTAGCTATGTCCTGTCTTTCCTCCTTATTGTCCCTTGAATCCACTTATCCTGAAGTACCCTGCCACTTCTGGAGCATCTACCCTCTCCTGAGCAACTGCAAGACCCTCTGGCCTCTCCCCTTCCAGTTCATCCTCCAAATTGGCCAGGAGCAAAATATCATCCCTCTGCTTAACTCTCCACGCTCCCTGCTGCCTCAGAAAAAGTCCAACCTCTCTATCATGACCTTCAACATCCCAACTTCCCTCTGCTGCCTTTCTCCTTTACAAATCCAGCCACATTAGGCTTCATGATTCCCAAACACACATTCCGCTCTTCTACCCTACCATGACTCTGCTGTACTCCTGCACTCAAACTACCTGTCTACCTGGAAAACTCCTACTCATCCTTCAAAACCCAGCTCAAATGTCCTGTCCTCTATGAAGCTTTATTGATTCTCACTCCACACCAGGAAATACCGCAGTACACCCTTATATCAAAACCCTGATGATATGGTTGTCAGAATGTATTTTCACTGTCTGAGAGCTTCTGTGAGCAGAAAACAAGTCTCATTCATATTTATGTCCCTAGCACTGGCCTGCTACAGAACAGAGATTCAGTGACTGTTTACTAAATGAACAAACAAATCAGGAATGAATTCTTCTTATAGCATAACATGTCCATCCTTTTTTGTTTTAAGAGATGGGGTCTCACTATGTTGCCCAGGCTAGTCTTGAACTCCTAGACTCAAGTGATCCTCCTACCTTGGCCTCCCAAAGTGCTGGGATTACAGGTGTGAGCCACCGTGCCCAGCCCACATGTCCATCCTTTATCCCATTCACCTTATCCAGGTAGTCTTCTACCTCACTCTTCCTAACAATCCCAGCTAATACTGAACAAGTGTTCACTGTGAGTCAGGCATGGTGCTGCCATCAGACAGAGCTGGCATCCTCCTGGCTCCCCCACCTACTAGCTCCATGATCTGAGAGTAACAGAGAAGCCTATTTCCCAGGGAGGTATTTGGAGGATTAAAGGGAATAATCCACGTAGCATGCCTTGCACAGAGTAGGTACTGAGTAAATGTTGGCTTCTGGCATAGCTGTGACTCAGGGCAGAGTTGGGACTCTAGGGCTATGCTCTTAGTCTCTGCTCTTACTGGCTGAAGCTCACAGCATCTCCAAGTCCTCGGCATACAGTCTAGCCCTTGATTCTCCCTTCTGGAACATGGACTTGTCTCACATCTCTGCCTTTGCTTCAGGAGCCTCCAAATCTCAGGGTGCCCTGGCAGCATACCCTGGCACAGGCAGGGACTCCCAGGCCCAGGGATGGACTGGTCATAAGCCCAGTGGTGGGGAGGAAGAGAGCCTGGCTCCACTTTACCTACCCACCCCTGACTGCCCCGACTCACTCCTTCCGCCGAGAGAGCAGCAAGCAGTCATTGAAGAGGTGGAGGTAGACTGCCTTGCTGGACAGCTTCAGCTTGGCAGGGGGTGCTGCAGGCAGTGGTGCCAGCTCTACCAACTCTCCATGCCGAACCAGCCAGCGGGCCTGAGAGATCAGCGGGAAAATCTAGAGGGATGGAGAAGGATGGGTCAGGCCCAGGGGCACCAGGCAGAGAGCACAAGATGGTAGATGGGAGGGTGTGGGCAGCGATTAACTGGCCTGAAGCCCCCAGGGCAAGGAAGAAACAAGAGCTGCCCCTTGGGGTCCCCATCCCGCTGGCTGCAGACACACACCTTGCCCTCAAAGTGGATCTTCTTGCTCAGGTGGATGAGTTCCTCTGTCCTCTTCATGGACTGTACACTAGCATTGCACTCCTGCACCAGCTGGGGGAGCCGTGGGGAGGTCACCTGCAGCCCCTCAGCTCCGGCTCCCAGAGCCCAGCCTCAGACTCTTGCCTGGGGACCGGAGACTCTGACAGCTGGGGGCTGTTTTAGAGACGTGCTGGGGGTCCAGGGGGGGCCTCAGGAGCCAAGCAGCCCCTGCCCTGCCCAGCTCACCTCCTTGAGCGCATTGAAGGCCTTGGTGGCCATGTCTTCGTCTTCAGAGCCCTGTGCTGTCCGCTTCAGGATGTTCTGGAAGGTGGGATCAGCACAATGAGGCAGTCCTCATACTCCCGAGACCCGGCCCGCCCACAGGTGTATCTCCCTCGCCCAGCCCTCACTGTGGCCTGTCCCCTCGAGGTACCTCCACCAACATCTTGAGGCGGGTGATCCTCTGGAAGGGCAGGATAAGGAAGGAGGTAAGGGGCAGACGCTGGCACACAGGAGACTCCTCCAGGCGAGCCAGGATGCCAGGGAACCTGGGGTTCTCCAGGCTGGAAAATGGGGAGGACTCTGGAATCACAGGTAGGCCTGAATTCCTGGGATCCACAACCCTGGCCATCCACGGGGTCCTCAGGGGGCTTCTCAGCACATCCTTACTGCCCTTTGGGGTTGCATCTCACCTTATCCTGGTCACAGAGACCTTTTCAGGGACCCCTCCCCTCCCAGAGTCACCTTACGTCACCCAGCCCTCAGTGCCTACACCTGCCTGAGACTCCCTCCACGCCCCCGCCCCTTTCAGAGCCCCCAGCCCTACAGCAGGCGCTGGTAGGTGCGCTCCTGGTAGGCCTGGTTGGTGACATAGGGCAGGTAGACTCTGCGGAAGGCCGGGCAGTGGTCCAGCACCACGTCGCACACGCTGAAGCGCAGCACATCTGCCTCCAGCCGCTGCTCCAGGTCCTGCAGGAACCTGAGGAGTCAGAGCCAGGATGGAGACCCCAGATCTGGGAGCTGGCCAACCACTGGCTCCGTCCCCACCCCGGGCCAGGCCAGACCACTTCTTCACCTCTCGCTGGTGCTCTTGACCTCGGGCAGTTTGGAAAACAGCCACTGCTTGTCCTGCGCCCCCAGACACTCGCTCAGCTCGGCAGAGCCTAAGAAGTGGCCCACAGCCACCGACAGGCTGTGGATGTAGGAGGCCTCGGAGGTGATCAGCTCAAACTTGGCCTGAGGGAGGGCACACACGGGGTCGAAAGGGCAGGACCAGTTCACCTCGGAGGCCCTGGCCTCACATCCCCAGACCCCAGGACGCCACACCTCGCGTCCTCGCCCCTTCTCTAGCCCCACTCCTAATCTGGCGCCGGGCGGGCCCGGCGACCCACGTCCCGCCGCGGGAAATTGTGCAAGCCTTTCCTGTCCTCGATCCCGCCCCTCTCCTAAGCCCCGCCCCGACGCGTTCTTCCCAGAGCCCCGCCCACCCCCCAGGTCCCGCCCCTGATCCTGGCCCCGCCTTGTTCCGCGCCCACCAGGCGTTTGCTCTTCCAATGGTTCCGCTCCTCATCCGGCCCTGTCCTATCCTAGGTTTCGTCCCGCTGGCTCCGCCCCCTACCCGCACCCAAGCCCGGCTCCCCTCGCCTCTCGCTCAGCGGCTTGCTGTCCTCGCTTCCAGACGGCCTCGTGTAGTCAGGTCCTAGAGCCAACCTTCCGCGCGGACAGTCGCGCCAGCAACCCCCTTTGTGTGTCCCCCTCCCTCTATGGCCCGGTTCCCGCTAAGTCCCCGGACCGCGTACTCCCCGGCCCGCCCCCGCCCCGCCGGGTCCCCGCGCGCGCCCACCTCCTGCAGCTTGCAGTCCCGCAGGCTCAGCGTGGCCAGGACGCCGCTGCCGCGTACGTCGGGGATATCCTGCCACAGCGAGAAGGTGGAGCCTCGCGCCGAGCGCTGCGCCCGGAAGGAGCTGCTGGGGGAGAGGTTGGCCCGCGGCGGCCCCGGCCCCTCCTCTGCGCCCTCGGCCTCGTCCCCCGGGCCCTCCTCCTCGCGCTGCTGCCGCCGCAGTTCGCGGGCGCTGGCCACGTCGCTGTATTCCTGATAGAGGACGGCTGGGGGAAAGACGGGCGGGGGAGAGCGTGGGGCGCCCGCCAGCCCCTGCCCGGCTTTTCCTCGGTTCCCTCAAGAGCCCGCGTCACTTAACCTTTGCCGCGGTTCGGATATCTGGACACAGTGAATTCATTCATTCATTCATTCATTCCATAAACAAATTGAGCACCTACTGAGTGCTAGATACCGACAGTTCCATTCTCCGTTTCTCACTCGATCCCTACCTCTCAACTCTCCAAACCCTCTTTTCCCCGTTTCCACACCGCAGCCCCTTCCTCCGTTACCTCCTCCCAGGGACCCCCCTCCCACGTACAGTTAAGGAGGAATCGAGACTGGCGCCGCTCGTTGGTGCTCCTGGACCCCAAAGGCGGCTCTTCCTGTGTGTCTAGCCTAGGAAAGAGAGAGCGTCACGGCCCTAGTTCGCCTGCACCCTGTCTCGGACCCAAGCCCAAACGGGAGGTGGTACCTGGGCTCGGACCAATCGCCCTCTCGTGAGTCACCAGGGGCTGGCCGCGACACCCGGTCCCCGCTCATCTCTACACTTCGAGCCTCCATTCCAGATGCTTTCCCTGGAGAGGGCGAGAACTGAGGGTGGGGGGTCCAGAGAGTGGGCCTGGGGCCTGGGCCCCGGCCCAGGCACCCTGACGGCCTCAGGCGGCCGGTGAGTGGGCATCGCCCACCCCCACCCCCACCCGGCATCTGGCTGCCCTCAGGGCCCATGGGAGGAGCTGGTACCTTCCCGGGCTGCTCCGGTGCCTGACCCAGAGATGAGTGCCCGGGCTGCTGAATTCCGCCCCAGGCGCAGAGAAGAGTGCAGCCGGGTCATCAGCTCCGATGCCGAGAAGCGCCTCCGCTCAGGACCTTCGAGGCTCACTCGGGTGGACCCAGACAACTCCACCCTGGGCTCCTCTGTGCTCAGGGCCTGCTCTTGCACTACCTGGCCAGGCTCTAGGAAGACAGCGTGGGCCTCGGGGCAGCCGGGGACCTCTTCACGCTGGTACACCCGCATCTTGCGCCCTAGGGTTGGGGGCAAGGAGTGAGAGCACGGGCTGGGGTCTCCCCCAACCTCCTCCCTGCTGCTGCCCCTGGCCCTGAGCACCTGGGGAGGTTCAGGCACCATGCCCAAGGGAAGGGCCTGTGTTTCTGCTAGCATCTGGTCCCCAGAGCCCTGGGGTCCACGAGAGGGGTAAGGAGAGCACAGGGCCTGGCTGCAGTAGACAGAGGGATCAGGCTGCCCAGAATGGTGACTCACTCACTGCATAACCTTGGACAAGTCACTTGCCTTCCCTGAGCCCCACTAGTTTCCTTATCACTAATCTACCACTTGTCCTGACTTTTGGGGGAACCTTGGGACATAAAGGTTAAGGAGCTGCCCAGCCCCTCCCCTATCCCCCTGCCATGGCACCCACACCCGCCTTCCCCAGGGTGACTCACAGGCAGACTTCTTCTCCGAGCCGTGGCTGGCCCGGCGCTGTGGCTGTGTGTGTCGGGGACTCCAGGGTCCCTCCAGAGCTGGGGGCTGGGCACCAGGACAGTGTGGCCAGCTGCCAGCCCTGCTGGGCCGCATCCCCCCGCTGGTGATCTCTGTATCTGAGCCTCCTGGGGATAATGGCCATAGCAACCCTTGGAGAGGGGCAGGGGTCCCCAGGGACCAGCGGCTGCCAGGAGCCCGAAGCTCCTCTGGGGCAACAGGGAAAAGGTCCAGACACACTGGGCTCGGGGGCTTCAGGGCGGGCAGCTCTGCAAAGGACAGACTCTCCTGCTGGCACACTGCTACAGGGTGGTGGGCAGTGCCAGGTGGCCCAGTCAGGTGGGGCTGGAGGGTAGCAGGTGGCCCACAGTCCATTCCTCTTTTGCTCTGCCACCCACCTGGCCCTGCAGAAGAGAAGATATCAGACCTAGACAGAGGACAGTGGGGCTGGCCAGTAAGCCACCACCCCTGGAGGCCTGGACAAACCCCTGTGTACACTTGTGTACACACATCTCCACAAACACACTCACATGTCTAATTATATAGAAATAGCTGATACTTGCTTGGCATTGCCTGAATGATAGGCCAAGTACTTTACACATACTATCTCATTTAATCCTCACAACAACGCTGTGAGTTGATGCTCTTATTATCCCCATTTTATAGGTGAGGAAACTGAGGCACAGAGAGGTTATTTGGTAAATGGTGGAGCCAGGATTCTAACCTGGCCGTTCTAGCTTTGAAATCGATGATTTTAACCACCTTGTACTTCTCTAAAACACACTGACATGTCACCAGACATGCAAATACATACATTGTCACACAAATCCATTTCCCAACATATACATCCACACTACATTTTCTCCCAAGTATAGAATGACATGTACACTTTCATAGATACAGACATTTCAAACTCAGGCTCACACAGTCACAGACACACACATTTTTACACAACCGCATACATTCACAGACAACTCCTCACAAACACGCTGACCCGTCCGATATTTACACAGGCACCCAAGATTTCTCACCCTCCTGTTCCCTTCACATGCACACAGACACACACCAGCCCACAGGTCCTTGCTCTGATGTTTCTCCCCCCATCTCCCCGACCCTTGCCCAGAGTTGCGGCCTTCAGTGCTGAGTGGTGCCCACACCCATGCCAAGTTGGCTGGGAGGGTCATGGACTGGCAGGCGGGCCACCACCCAGATCAGGCAGGGGCCTTCTCGAAGTTCAAAGAGGTGCCCCAGCACCCCCGGCTTGGAGTGAAAGAGGGGCTGTCCCCCACCCCAGCTTCCAGCCCCTGGGTGGGCCAGGCTGGATGGGTCCTTTCTGGGCAGGAAGTTATCCCTGGGGAGCCAGCCCTCCGATCGGGGCAGGCCTGATGATCTGAGAGGCCCAAGCCCCCACAGCTCTTGCCCTGTGGCCCTCTGCCAGCCTCCCTCCTGCAGCCCCTCACCTCTCTGGGCCCAGGCCCGCTGCTGATGCTGTTTGGCTGTTCCGGCAGGGGAAGCCCTCTCTCTGCCCAGCTGGCTGGGGGAGATCCCACCCAGACAAAGAGTTTGATTCATCAAACCCTGTGGTGAGGCAAGCAGGGAGGGAGGGAGGGAGCAGGCAGCGGGCTGGGCGGGGGCCTACCCTAGCCTGGCCTCGCTGTGGGCAGGCCGGGCAGCCAGGACCCCCCAGAGGCCCCCTCAGGCCAAAGGGGCAGTGCCCAGCCTGGCAGGACCAGGAGAGCCAGGAAATGAAGACTGAGAGAGACCCAGAGAAACAGAGACCACTTAGCCAGTAACTGAGAAACCAAGACCCCAAGACGTTCAAAAACAGAAAAACCACAGATGCTGAGACATTCAGGGACCCAGAGATGGAGACAGAGACACTGACAATTTCAGGCCAACCAGATCCTCAGAGACACAGATGAAGCCCAGAAAACCCAGGGAGACAGATGGACAAACATTTCATGCCCGTGGGCTGCCAGTCTAGTGGGAGAGCCAAAAATGAAAACAGTTACAATCCAGGTTGGCAAGAGCCAAGCCAGAGGAACCATCAGAGGAGGGTGCTCGGCTCAACTCAACCTGGGTATTCCAGGAAGACTTCCTGGAGGAGGTGATAGTTAACTGCTCCACGGCTGAAATACATAGTGCACTTAGAGGGAAAGCCTTGGCCTGAACAGTGACAGTGTCAGTCACTATTGGAGACAGGGAGGGAGAAGAGGACCCAGCGAGAGATGGCTGGGTCTATGGCAGGCCCCAGTCTCTCTGCACAGCTTCTCAACTGCTTCCCCCTGCTCCCTTCACCCTGCTGTCTGGGAGGGTGGGAAGAAGGGGACTGGCTGCTCCAAAGGGGTCCTCTCTACGGTGGCCACTCTGGCTTGTACCATCAGCCTCTGTCCCTCTAGCCTGAAAAGTACCCATCTGAGCGAGTCTCCCTAAGCCTCGGTCTCCTCATCCGGCAAATAGGATAGTATTTTTATTATCATCAGTCTTTCTCTAGACAGAAGGCAGCTCAGGCCTTCACACAGATGGGGAAGATGAAGGAGTGAGGCTGAGACACACATTATATCGCAGGAGTGTGCACAAGGAGGCCCCTGCCCACAGACGGGTCTCTTTCTCTGCAGGAATCAGAAGTCCTCGACACAGAAGTCCCACTTGCTTCTGGGGGCACACATGTGCAGGCATGTACACATGCCCCCTGCCCCTTTGTATGCTGGGAGATTCTAGCACTTGGGTTCTGGAAGCTCCTGGAGGGCAGGGAGGGACCCTCTCTCCCATGGCTCACAGGGATAAGTAGGCAAAACATTGAGGCTTTGCAGCAGGAGCACCCCCAGTTAAGGCTGCAGAGGAGAAGGCTAGGTGAATGTGGGGAGAGGGGACATAGAAGGCTTCCCGGGGAGATGAAGCTGGAGGCAGGTCCCTAGCAGGGAAGAAGTCAGGAGTGTGTCAGCCTCCACCTATGCTCAAGCCAAGGGGTAATAAGAATGACCCATCTAGCTGGGATGCCAGCCCTGTGGCCCTCCAGGGGTTTGGCCCACCCAACCTCAATGCTGGGGAGCTAAGAGGGACAAGCTGTGTTCATATTGTGTGTAGCTCATCTCTGTTAGAAAAAAACAAACAAAAACCTCAGAAAGAGAACTGGCCCCAGACAGCAGGGACATTACCTTCCCAAGGCACGATCACAGGATAGAGACTCTTGTGTCTACTAGGCAAGGGCCACTCTGGAGCCCAAAAAGAATAACCTCCGCCCAAGCTTTGAGGCCCAGTGTTGACACTGACCAGCTGTGTGGCCTTAGGCAATTCACAGCCCATCCCTTGGCCTCAGTATTCCCATCTGTAAAGTGGCTCCTAAGGGACCGCACCACCGCCCAATGCCCTCTCTAAGAAACATGTCTCATCATAAATGTCTCTGGGCCAAGAAGGATGGGCAGGGGCCGAGGAAAGTACCCTTGGTGGGTGCTGCTAATTACAGAAGACGATGGGCCCACTTAGCAAGGCTGCCAGAGAGTCCCTGGACACTACCATGATCAGAAAAAGTGTTTCTGGCCTCCTGTACCTAGCTTTTCCCTGCCCCCTCCCGGGTGCCCCTTGCCTTGCTGCCCAGGAGAGCTGGTACCCTGCCAGAGCCTCTCTGCCCTTTAAGGAATAAAGCCAGGTGGGAAGTCATGGCTGGAAAGTGGATCCAGGCCAAGTGGTTCACAGAGCCCCAGAAGGCCATAGTGGGTCAGAGCCAGGATCAGAGACCAGGCGGGCAGCACAAAGGGCTCACTCAGCGGGGAAAACTGGCGGGAAGAGAATGGGACTGCTGGCACCCAGGTGGGGCCCTACCTCAGCCAGGGAGCTCCGTCCAGCTGCCAGCACGGTCCAGGGCTCCGGGACACCCTGGGGGCTCTGGGGTTGCAGCCAAGTCCTCAGGGGGCGATGTCAGCATGTCAGCATGGCCCCAGAGCCGAGCAAGGCAAGCTCCTGGGTATTGTGTGGGGCAGGGAGGGGGAGGTGAAGGAGGAGGGAACCTTGCAGAGAGAGGCAGGCGGCTGTCTCAACGTGCCTGCTCCCCGCCCCCCTTCCCCAGAACCGGTTTGGCTAGTCTGGGGTACAAGAGGGGGGCTGGAACAATGGGAGTCCTATGCCCAAGTGAGGCTCTGAAGGACCCTACACCCAGGTCCTAAAGACGGGGGAGGCAGTGCTTCTGCTCCTAGGAGACAGGTCACCACTCTTCTGGAGCTTCCCAAACATGAGCATGCTCAGGGGACTTCTTGGAGCTGGGGAGCATCCTGGGAGCTTCACAGAGAGCCTCCCAAGCCCTGCACTCCTTAGGGACCCTGAGAACCCTGATGACCCTCTCTGATCCTATTACTACATCTATCAAATTGGAACACTCATCCCTATGATTGGGAGACAGAAATCAGTCCTGAAAGTTGATGATGTGACATGTGGCATCATCCTGGACAGCCTCTCCTCATCTAGTACAGCCACTGCTTGCAAATCCCCATCCTTTCCCACGGCCTGGAATGACCTGCCCCACCATCTCCAGTGGCCGCCTCCACCATGAAGCCTTCCCAGACTATACCAATTGAGCCCTCAATAAACCAAGCCAAATAGCCAAGTCAAACTGCCTCCAATAAGAAGGGCATGCTCTATGCCCGGCATGCAATCTTCCCAACCCTGTGGAATGGGAAGCTGCATTTTCCCCTAATTCTACCTGCCATCTGTTTGAGCTACCAGCAATTGCCAGGCACCTAATATTAATATGCAGATGTGTACACAGACTAATAGTCATGAAGCTAACTTATTGTTCACCTACTAGGTGCCAGGCACTGTCCTGAGCACTTCACATGTATTTACTCATTTAATCTCCACCATGACCCTGTCAGGTAGATACTGCTACCACTTATCAGGTGAGTACAGTTGTCCCTTGGTACCCAGAATCTGTGGGGAATTGGTTCTAGAACCCTCCCATACGAAAATCCATGGCTGCTCCAGTCCCTTATACAAAATGTCATAGTGTTTGCTATAACCTTTGTACATCCTCCAGTAAATTTTATTTTATTTTATTTTATTTATTTATTTATTTATTTATTTATTTATTTATTTATTTATTTTTAAGATGGAGTCTTGCTCTGTCACCCAGGCTGGAGCAAGTGGTGGGATCTCAGCTCACCGCAACCTTTGCCTCCCAGGTTCAAGCAATTCTTCTGCCTCAGCCTCCCCAGTAGCTGGGATTACAGGCGCATGCCACCACACCCTACTAATTTTTTTTGTTTCTAGTCAAGACAGGGTTTCACCATGTTGGCCAGGCTGGTTTTTGAACTCCTGACCTTAAGTGATCCACCCGCCTCAACCTCCCGAAGTGCTGGGATTATAGACGTGAGCCACCGCACCCAGTCTATTTTATGTATTTATTGTCAAAAAATAAAATAAAATGTCCTCAAGTGAGAGGGTCTCACTCTGTCATCCAGGCTGGAGTACAGTGGTGCAATTACAGGGCTCACTTGCAGTCTCGTCGACCTCCTGGGCTCAGGTGATTCTCCCACCTAAGCCTCCTGAGTAACTGGGACCACTGGTGTGCACCCCCACACCTGACTAATTTTTGTATTTTTTGTAGAGATGGGATCTCACCAGGTTGCCCAGCCTAGTCTCAAACTCCTGGGCTCAGGCGATCCACCAGCCTTGGCCTCCCAAAGTACTGGATTTATAGACATGAGCCACCACGCCCGGCACTCCAGTACAGTTTAAATCAATTCTAGATTACTTATAACACGTTAATACAGTGTAAGTGCTATGTAAATAGTTGTTATCCTGTAATGTTTTTTATTTGCATTATTTTTTATTGTCATTATTTTTGTTATTTTTTGTTTTTATTTTCATTTTCCATGCATTGTTGGTTGAACCCAAGGATGCAGAACCTGAGGATATGGGGGGCCAACTTAACAAGTTAAGTCATGAGCATTATCCCTTTGAAATCTCTCATCAGTTCTATGAAGTCCCTATTTTACAGATGACATTAAGGTTTGAGAGATTAAATAACTTGTCACACAGCTAATAAGGGGCAGGACTAGTATTGAAACCCAGGTCTGGCCGGGCGTGGTGGCTCACGCCTGTAATCCCAGCACTTTGGGAGGCCAAAGTAGGTGGATCCCCTGAGGTCAGGAGTTCTAGACCAGCCTGGCTAACATGGTGAAACCTGTCTCTACTAAAAACACAAAAATAGTCTGGGCACAGGGGCTCACACCTGTAATCCCAACACTTTGGGAGTCTGAGGCCAGCGGATCACGAGGTCAGGAGTTTGAGACCAGCCTGGCCAACATGGTGAAACTCTGTCTCTACTAAAAATACAAAAATTAGCCGAGCGTGGTGGCGCACACCTGTAATCCCAGCTACTCAGAAGGCTGAGGCAGGAGAATTGCTTGAACCACGGAGGTGGGGAGGCAGAGGTTGCAGTGAGTTGAGGTCACAACACTGCACTCCCGCCTGGGTGACAGAGCGAGACTCCATCTCAAAAAAAAAAAAAAAAAAAGAAAAGAAACCCAGGTCTGTCTGACCCCACCACCAACCTGAGTCCTTCACCACTGCCTGGTACTGCCTCACCAGGCTTTTAGGAGGGTCTCGTGGTGAAAAGTGTGTGAAAGTGTAATCCGGGGTGTCTCGGCTGACCTAACTAAACTCTTATTGGTCTTATTATTCTTACACTACAGGCTCGGAATACACAGCAGAGGTTTCATGGCCCATGCCCTAGTCCCCCAAAGTATTTATTTATTTATTTATTTATTTATTTATTTATTTATTTATGAGATGGAGTTTTGCTCTTGTTGCCCAGGCTGGAGTGCAATGGCGCAATCTCGGCTCACCGTAACCTCCGCCTCCCGGGTTCAAGCAATTCTCTTGCCTCAGCCTCCCGAGTAGCTGGGATTATAGGCATGCGCCACCACGCCCGGCTAGTTTTGTATTTTTAGTAGAGACGGGGTTTCTCCATGTTGGTTTGGCTGGTCTCGAACTCCTGACCTCAGGTGATCCACCCTCTTCGGCCTCCCAAAGTGCTGGGATTACAGGCGTGAGCCACCGCGCCCGGCCCCAAAGTATTTTCCTTAGCTGCCAACCGACAGCCATTAAGTTCAGAGTCATTAGGGTCCCTCTGCTCCCCCATGTTCACTTTGGCTCCCTAGAGCATTGCCACATAGTGAGGAGACACTGCACCGTGTGGGTGGGGACCAGGTGGCCGTGGAGAGGTGGCAGTCTGGGACGCAGAGACAGGTTTATTGTCAGCATTGCACAGAGGCCAGGAGGCAAGAACACGGAAGGGTAGCAGTGCAGGTCTGGAGGTCTCCAGGGAACTCCAATCCTCTCATCCAACTCCCGGACCGGCCTTGGGACACTGCCCAGATGCGTAACTGGAAGCCAGAGGACCCCAATAGGAGGAGCATCCTGGGGAACCTAGGGTCCTGGAAGGGCAGCCCTGCCTCACTCGCCCCTGCGTCCTGGACGCCCCTGCGTCCCTTGTGCGGACATAGAGCACAGCTTGGTCAGGCTGAGCAGGCTGGCACTCCAGAGCAGAGCCCCCAACCCCAGCTTGCAGATAAAGTAGAAAAGGGGGCTTGGCGGGGGCGGAGCTTAATGATGGGCGGGAACAGGCGGAAACTACAGGGAGTCCAGCCAATCCCTCCAATGGATGAGGCCAAATAAGGGGGCGGGGCTAGAGAGTGCTGAACTAGAGAGGGCTGAGCTGAAGCTTGAGGGCAGGCCAAGGGGCGTGGTCATTATGGTCATTATGTTGCGGGTGGGGCCGGGGTCCGCCTGCCTTGCTGACTGAAACAGCGTCTCCCGGTTGTCTGCCACCGCCTGCTTGGCCAGGTAGCGCTCGCGCAGTTATCTTGGTAGCCAGGGCTGGCACATCGGGCACGAGCCGGTCGTTGGGGCACAGGAAGAAGAACACTACATTCTGGGGAGAAGGGGGCCAAAAAGAGAGAATGATTGCCTTAGCGATCTTAACTCATGGAGCGCTTACCCTGAGCCAAACCCTAACCTGAAGGTTTTCCGGATATGAATTCATTTAATCCTCACAACAACTCTATGAGCTGGGGGTAATTTCTACTCCACAAGCGAAGAAACAGAAGCAGAAAGGGGTTGCCATTTGCCCAAAGACATAGAGGTATGATTCGAACCCCTTAACACTAGGAACCACGTCAGGGCAGGGCTTGTAAAAGAGCAAAGCTGGTGGGAGAGTGCTTCCTCTCGTTTCTCCTTTCTCTTGCCAAGAGATAATGTTATTATTATTTGTGATATTAATTCATTGAGCACCTACAACATGCCAGGCACAGTGCAAATGCTTGACACCGAACCTTCATAACGACCCTATGAAGTAGATCCTATTATATAATATATCCCAATTTCCAGCCGGTCGGCGGCAGAGCCTGAACTTGGAACCAAGTCTGTCCAAGACAGATGGCTGAGCCTACCTCGAAGGCGATAATGAAACCCAGATGCACATGCACAGCCAGCAGCTTCCAGTAGAAGAGGGCGAGGTTCACCCCCACGTCGCGAGAGGCCTTGTATCTGGGTTGCGGGGTCTGGAGAGGCTCTCGGATCTCGACTCCGAACCCCGCATTTCCTCCCCTCCTTCTCCCTAGAATCTGGCCCTGCCCGTTCAGCCAGTACCCTAGCCGGCTCCGCGCATTTGTCCGGGGCAGAATCAGCTCACTGCACCCCAGCCAGGCACCACCCCACCCGTCCAGTTTCGGCTCCCGGCTTCCCAGCTAGGCCCCGCCCCTCCCTCCTCAGCACCTGCCCCTCCCAGACAGGCCCCGCCCACCAAAGCTTAGCACCCGCCCTCTCCCAGGCCGGCCTCCCTCACCAAGGCTCAGCGCCGTGCTTCCCAGACAGCCCTGCCCCTCCCGCCTCAGCGTCCCGCCAACCAAGGCTCAGCGCCACGCCCTTCCCAGGAAGGCCTCGCCCACCAAAGCTCAGGGCCCCGCCCCTCCCGCCGCGCCCCTCCTCCCCAGCCTGAAGGGCAGAGTGTGTTTGCTCTGGGCCAGGTGGGCATGGGGCGCGGGTGCCCGCGTGAAATTCACAAATCCGTGCAGCTGGGTGTGGTGTTCGTACTGTTACGGGATATGCGGCAGAAGTCCGAGATGAAGGCGAGACGAAAGCCTGCAGAGCCAGAGGGCCTTCAGGGCCCAACCCCCTAACTCACCCCAACTCGGATCCAGACCCCCTCCCGTGGCAGGATGAGCCTTTGGCCCGGGATCCTAGCCTCCTCTCCCCTATTTCCCAAACTCTGACCCGGATTTCCTTCTCCAGCCCTGTATTTCCCTATTCCTGAACCCCCTTCCCCAGTCTCTGAGCTCCATCTCCCCCGCCCCCTGCCCCTGTATTCCCTTCATCTACCTCACTCCCATTCACGGTGACCTCAAGGTGTACCATGGCCTCCAGCAGGAGCAGTCAGATCCAGATGTCCAGCCGCGCCCAGCCATTGGTCGCTGGTACTTGCACAGGAACTTGTGGGCGTCCAGTCCAATCTCTACCCGGTTGTTGAGCAGAGTGAACAGGGGTGCCAGCAGGAAGGCTCCCACAAAGATGGTGATGAACCCAAACTGCAGCTCTGGCAGGCAGGGAGTGTCAGGCCCGGGGCCACCTCCCCTGTTGTGCCAGGCCCCCAGGGGCCCCACTCATGCCCAGGGCACACGCTGCTGAGCGACTGCTCCTCCATCCCTGGGTATTCATCAAACAGGCCCTGACACTTGATGAGCTCATAGTCCTTCCTTCTCCCAGTGCTGCAGCTCCTGCCCGATCTGGGTGTCCCTCTGCCCTGCCAGCTGCCACTTCTGCCACCAAGCCTTCCGTTTCCTGGAGGCAGGGCAACCAGATAATGGTCATAACAGGGCCTTGTGCTAGGAACTGCCACTTCTATCACCAGCACCCCTTAGAGGCAGGCACCATGATGATTTCCACTGTATTGATGAGGAAACACACCTGGAGAATTTGGCCCAGGCTCCCCAAATTGTAAGTGGTGGAGCCAGTGTTCAAATCCAATCTGTTAGACTCGAGTCCAGTGCTCTCAACTCTGCACTTCCCACATAGTCATTCTTGGTCTCTGAAATATCACTGCCCCCTGAAAAAAATAGTAATAGAAAGCCCTCCATTTGCAAAGCTGTTTCCTGTTGAACGCCTCATAATCCCCTCAACTCTCATGGAGAGGTATTATTGTCTCCATTGTACAGATGACGAAACTGAGGCCCAGAGAGACACAAAGCCACGCAGCTTACAAGAAGCAGGGCTAGGACTTGTGCCCGTATCTTCTGTCCCAGTAAAGGGTTTTTCTGCTCTGCTCTTATAAAAGCCCTCCAAATGGCCTGATTAGGCCCAGCCTTGTCCCCCGTTCTTCCCCCAACACTCACAGCCCAACAAATTCTTCCATGTGGTTGAGCAGCTGTTTGCCCACCATGATGATGATGAGCTGCTGGGTGACCTGAATGTGGCAGCCACCAGGACCGCACTGTTGTTGGCAGACACAGAGCACCTTACTCAGGGCTTTGGGGCTGCATAGGGGTTACCCCACCTCCCTGCTGGTGCAGAGAGTTGGCCACCTGCTCCTCCTACCCACTTTGGAGGCCCCAGAGGCAGATCCTACCCCTGCCAGACCTGAGGTTGTGATGACTACCCCCTAACCCCCCAGAATCAGCAACCCAGGGGTACATAATCACATCCTCACTCGGCATGCTGAGCAAATGTGCCATACTGACCGGGGTATCCCACAAACCTGAGGGCCCCCTGCATCTGTGGGTAATTTGCTCTCCCTCTCTGGAGCCAGGCTGCAGCTAAACTCCATGCTGAGGCTGACCCCCTCTCCCCACTGCTCCTGGTCCTCTGGCCACCCCCTGAATTGACAGCTAACCCTGCTGACAGAGCTGATGGGAGGCCTTGCCTACCCTACTAGGCCCCAGAAGTCTGCTGGGACCATGGCCTGAATCTATGTACTGCTCAACCCATGATCAGCCAATGTGGCATTTATGGCCCAGGAAGATGGGGTCATTGTGCTGGGGAGTGGGCTCTTTTGGTGACCATCCCTCCCATCCCATCAAATGACAATGGCAATTACACAATAACAGCACCTCCTGAGAGTCCAGCATTTTATGACTCCTAACCAGATCTCATTAAAGACTCAATGCTTCTAGGAAAAAGGACCAGCTCTGATTCATTTCTGTGTCCCTAGCATCCAACCAAGGGTGCACAGCAGGAAGGCCCCCAAAAGATGGTGATAAACTCAAACTGCAGCATTGGGAGGTGGCATTGTCAGGCCTGGGGCCACCCAGTGAGGGCTGTAGGACAGACTGAATGCAGGTGTTAGATTTTACAGCTGTGCAATGGTGTACCCATAAATTACAGTTGCTAAGACTTTCGCCCAGGGAAATCAAGAACCAGCTTCAAGGTCCATAGCAAGACCTGGCTAGGAACAAATCTGGAGCCCAAAGGGTGCTGCTGCTTTGCTGGGCTGCTTCCTTGGGAGGCGACAGCCCTAAGGCTGGGGTTTGGGGAGTGGTCCTTACCTGCCTTTGAAGAATGCCATGTAGAAGGGAGAAGAATAGAAATTGACAAACTGAAAATGAAAGTGAAGGCATTTTCATGGAGGCATCTCTGGACAAAGGGCAGAGCTGGTCAGAATTCTATTGGGCGCAAGGGGGCAGGCATAGCCCATCAGGTCAGCCCCTATGCTCCTGTCCTTAACCTACCAACCCCTAATGCCAGCCATGTGTCCCTGGCCACTCTCGCTTGAGGGTGACTGGAGACACCAGACTCCCAGTTCCCAGATGACACAAAGATAGCCTTGCAACACATTACCTGGTTTTAGAGGAAGAACAGGCCAGGCACGGTGGCTCACACCTGTAATCCCAGCACTTTGGGAGGCTGAGATGGGTGGATCACTTGAGGTCAGGAGTTTGAGACCAGCCTGACCAACATGGTGAAACCCCATTTCTACTAAAAATACAAAAATTAGGCGGGTGTGGTGGGCCATTACCGGGAGCCCATCCATTGGTGGGATGAAAAAAACCTGAAGATGCCCACATTAGGCCTGGAGCCTGGAACAGTGCTCTCACCCTCCATTGCCCCAAAGGACATTCGCTTGGGTCATGAGCACAGAGTTGCCAGTGTGGAACATTGCAATGCTGATGATGCCATGGTAAATTATGACAGATACCAGGAAAATCATCACCACACAGAGCTGGGGGCCAGGAGAGAGGGCTGTCAGAGCTGGAGAGTGGACTGCCAGGGTTCCAGTGCACCCACCCTGGAGGAGCCAGTCCTTCCAGAGCAAAGGCCCAGTGTCCCCTCACCACAGTGAGGATGGCTGCAGAGCTGGTGAGTAGGTGGGAAAGGCAGCTGTGCGGTTGGAAGTAGGGCTCCTTCAAGCCTGTCACTGGGTTCTGGGTCATCTGCAGGGCCAGGGCAGCAAACTGTAGATGTGGGCACTCCTATCACAGGGGGCAACAGAAATGTGCATCCTAGGGCCAAGAGGCTGGTGCCATGATCCTAGGCTAGGGGAAGCCCCCCACCTTTTCCTGACTGCAGAGGGAGCTCTGGAAGTGCAGCAATGGGTTCTAATTCATTTTTGGTTTTGCAGGACCTTTTTCCCCAGGGCATGGTTAAAAGCATGTGGATGGATGGCTAGATGGATGGTGGGTAGACGGAGAAGTAAACAGCAAATGAGTGGACATGTGGAAAAGGGATAGATAGACAGATGAGTGAGCAGGCAGTAGGCCGACAAATGGGCAGGTAAACTAGGCAAGCAATCAGTAAATTTCTATAGTTTATTCACAAGTAAGTGAGTAGACAGGCAGGTGGGTGGAGGGATGGATGGATGGCCAGGTGGGTGAGCAGATAAAAGTCTAGTGGGATGGTTGATGGACATGAGGATGGATGGATGGATGGATGGATGGATGATGGTTAGGTGAGTGAGCAGATGAAAGTCTGGTTGGATGGTTGATGGACATGAGGATGGATGGATAGATGGATGGATGGATGAATGGGGGGATGGATGGATGAATGGAGGATAGACAGATAGCTAGGTGGGTGAGCGATGAAAGTCTGGTTGGATGGTTGAGGATTGATGAATGGATGGATGAATGGAGGATGGCTGGATGATTAGGTGGGTGAGCAGATGAAAGTTTGGTGGGATGGCTGATGGACATGAGGATGGATGGATGGATGGTTAGGTGGATGAGCAGATGAAAGTCTGTTTGAATGGTTGATGAACATGGGGATATTTGGATGAATGGATGAGTGGGATGGGTGCATGGATGGATAAATGGATAAATTTATTAGTTTAGTCAATAGCTATTAACCATGTACCACTCTGCAATAGATACTGAATATGCCATAGTGAACAAACTGGAGAAGATCCATGCCCTAATGAAGTTTACAAACTAGTTTGTGAGACAGGTTAAATGAATGAACAGAGACATATATATATGTCCTATGAAGGAAAACTTTTTCATGGATGGTCTGAAGAAATGACACTTTAGCTATGACCCAAAAGGTGAAAAGGTGCTAAAGGGACAGTGGAGAGAAGCTTTCTGGGGAGGGAACAGTGGGTGCAAAGGCAGGGCCACTCTTTTTTTTTTTCTTTTTCTTTTTTTTTTTTTTTTTTGAGACAGTTTCACTCTGTCCCCCAGGCTGGAGTGCAGTGGCACGATCTTGGCACATTACAACCTCCTCCTCCCAGATTCAAACAATTCTCGTGCCTCAGCCTCTCGAGTAGCTGGGATTACAGGTGTGCACTACCACACCCAGATAATTTTTGTATTTTTAGTAGACATGGGGTTTCCCTATGTTGGCCAAGCTGGTCTTGAACTCCTGACCTCAAATGATCCACCCTCCTCAGCCTCTCAAAGTTCTGGAATTACAGGCATGAGCCACTGTGCCTGGCACTAAGTTTTGTATTTTTAGTAGAGATGGGGTTTTGCCATGTTGGCCAGGGTGGTCTCGAACTCCTGCCCTCAAGTGATCTGCCTGCCTCAGCCTCCCAAAGTGCTGGGATTACAGGAATAAACTACTGTGCCCAGCCCGCTCTTTTTAAATTAAATTAAATTAATTATTTTTTTTGAGACAGAGTCTCACTCTGTTGCCCAGGCTGGAGTGCAATGGCACGATCTCGGCTCACTGCAATCTCCGCCTCCTGGGTTTAAGCGATTCTCATGTCTCAGCCTCCCAAGTAGCTAGGATTACAGGCACATGCCACAATGCTGGGCTTATTTATTTATTTATTTATTTATTTATTTATTTATTTATTTTGAGACGGAGCCTCGCTCTGTCACCAGGCTGGGCTCACTGCAACCTTCGCCTCCCGGGTTCAAGCAATTCTCCTGCCTGAGTCTCTCGAGTAGCTGGGACCAGAGGCGCGTGCCACCACGCCCAGCTAATTTTTGTATTTTTAGTTGAGACGGGGTTTCAGCACATTAGCCAGATGGTCTCAATCTCTTGACCTTGTGATCCACCCACCTTGGCCTCCCAAAGTGCTAGGATTACAGATGTGAACCACCGCGCCCAGCCGGGGCTAATTTTTGTATTTTTAGTCGAGATGGAGTTTTGCCATGTTGGTCAGGCTGGTCTTAAACTCTTGGCCTCAAGTGATCCGCTTGCTTCAGCCTCTCAAAGTGCTGGGATTATAGGCATCAGCCACCGTGCATGGCCAATTTCAATTTTAATTTAATTCTTAATATATTTTTTAGCGACAAGGTCTTGTTCTGTCACCCAGGCTGGAGTGCAGTGGCACAATCATAGCTCACAGCAGCCCCAAACTCCTGGCCCCAAGTGATTCTCCTGCCTCAGCCTACTGAGTAGCTGGGACTACAGATACATGCCACTGCACCCAGCTAATTTTTTATTTTTTAGTAGAGAGAAAGTCTCACTATGTTGCTGAGGCTGATCTTGAATTCCTGGGCTCAAGTGATCCTCCTGCCTCAGCCACCCAAAGGGCTGGGATTACAGGTGTGAGCCACTGTGCCCGGGCCAGGGCCACTCTTTAAAGTTACCTGAGTTATGTACTGCACTATCCAAAGGGTACCACTGACATTTACTTCGTTGCCTCAGTGTTCCCTTTCTGCTTTTTCAGTCCCCCAGCACCTGTTTAACCAATACCTTATATATTAAATTATCTCTGTTAAAATATCTTGTTTGGTTTTCTATCTTCCTATAACCCTGTTGAATGGATAAAGTGATGGATGGCTGGACAAATGGGTAGGCAGAAGATAGATTATTCACAGATTCACTCAACAAACATTTATGGAGCATCTTCTATGTGCTAGAGACTATTCTGGGCACTGGGGTACAGCAGCCAACATCACACATAAGGTCTCTGCTCTCATGGAGCTCACACGCCAGTGGGAGAAGACAGATAATAAACAAACAAACCATAAAATACAGTGATGAATGCTGCAATTAAATTAAAACAGTGACAGGGCACCTCTCTGGATTAGTGATCAGGGAAGACCTCTCTAGGAAGGAGATATTTGAGACTTGAATGACAAGGAGTAGGCCACATAAGATCTGAAGGGGCTGGGCGTGGTCGCTCATGTCTGTCTGTAATCCCAGCACTTTGGGAGGCCAAGGCAGGCAGATCACCTGAGGTCAGGAGTTCGAGACCAGCCTGGCCAACATGGTGAAACCCCATCTCTACTAAAAATATAAAAAATTAGCTGGGTGTGGTGGCACACACCTGTCATCCCAGCTACTTGGGAGGCTGAGGCAGGAGAATAATTTGAACCTGGGAGGTAGAGGCTGCAGTCAACTGAGATTGCACTACTGCACTCCAGCCTGGGCAACAGGGCGAGACTCCATCTCAAAAAAAAAAAAAAAAGTTGAAGGAAGAGGATTCTGGCAGAGCATAGCCAATATAGCCAATGCCAAGGCTCCAGGATGGAAATGAACTTGACCTATTCAAGGATCTGGTGGAGCCAGTTGGGCAGAACTAGACACAGGCCAGATGGCACAGGGCCTTGCAGGCCACTGTGAGGGGTCTGGATAGTTTCCCAGGTACGTCTCAAATGAGACTGCCCTGGAAGGCTTTGAGGAAGGTAACACAGATGTCACTGTCCTGGCAGCTGAGAATGAATTAAGTGGGGCAAGGAGATCTGTTGCGAGGTCACTGCAGTGGTCCAGGAAAGAGGAAATGGTGACTTGGACTGGAGTGGGGAGAGCTGGGGTGTGGCAGAGGAGGTAGGGAGAAGCGAACAGACTTAGGATCAATGATAAGATGTTTGGATAGACAGGTAGGTAGCTGGATGGGTGGGTGGGTAGGTGGAATGTTTTCTCCTTCTCTGTTCTTGGGAGGGTCTCTTTCCAAGGCCCGGCTTATTATATAAATACTCTCAGTGTTTCACCTCGCCAAGCCTGTATCATCCTGATGTCAGGGGAGGGTGGAAAGTGACCCAGGAAAAGTGTGAGGAGAAGCCAGATTTGGATCCCAGGATGTTGGACTCCAAAGTCTGACCTCTTCCCAGCACACTTTAAGGCCTCTGAGAACTCTGGGAAGTGGGGTTGTGGCCTGGAGGGCTGAACTGGGCATCACCTCCTGGTCCTGGAAGTCGCTGCAGTCCCAGTGGTGGAGGGCTGAACTGGGCATCACCTCCTGGTCCTGGAAGTCGCTGCAGTCCCAGTGGTGGGGGGCTGAACTGGGCATTGCCTCCTGGTCCTGGAAGTCACTGCAGTCCCAGTGGTGGGCCAAGGTGGCACTCCCTGCTTCCAGTGCTCCAGGAAGGCCATGGCCCCAGAAGGACATGAAGATGCTGAAGAACACGGTTCCTGGGTGGTCAAAGAGGCAGCTCAGCTGTGAGGAGGGGAGAGAGGGCACAAGGTAGGGCCAGCATCCAGGCCCAGGTTGGGTCCAAAATACCTACCTGGTTTTTTTGCCCCTTTCCTTGGCTCACCTTGGCCATGGGGCAGATCCCAGAAATATTCCACGTGGCACAGGTATCACAGAGTGGCACCCCCACTGGCACAGATCTCCTGTCTGTGAGCAGAGGGTGCCTATCCTGGGAGGGCCTATCCTCAACCAGGCAGACAACCTAGCCCACCCAGCCCATCCCCCAACCCTTCCACAGCCACCCACACTAGTGTGTTGGTCCCCACGGTGACAAGGCTAGAGATAAAGAGCAGGGTGCCCACCAGGGTCACAGGCAGCAGACAGGCCATGTAGAAACCTGAAGGGTGAGAGAAAGCTCATGAACCCCCATCTCTGCACTCAAGCCCCACTCCCAGTCCCCACCCCAGCGCCAGACTCATCTAGCCAGGCAAAGTGGATGACCACCTTCACCCCAAAGTACTCTCATACTTTGTCCAAAGGCTGGTCCAGGGGCTGGTACTTGTGCCAGTATCCCCAGCAAGCCCAGTATGGGTACAGCAATTGGCAAGAGTTGAGATCTGAACCGGGTACCTGGTACCCAGGCAGTTCAAAGAGGCCCTAGGAGGACAAAAGGAGGGAGAGCTGCAGGGAGGTTTGAGAGTGCTCTCCGGATGCCCCAGCCACTGCTGCTATGCTGTCAGGCCTGGGAGAGATCTGAGCTTGGGACATCTCTTCCTCACGCAGTGGGAAGGCCGCAGTGTAGACTCCCTCTACCAGCAGGTGGGCGATGCCCATCTCTGTATGTTTCTTCTTCCTGGAGATTGTGCGGTCCAGGATTTCTGCCACTTGCCAGAGGAGTCCTCGTGTCAACTGCCCGCTTAAGGTCCCAGCTGGACTCACCCCAAGCAGCCATCTCACCACTCAGTGCATCCACATGTAAGAGAAGTAGGAGCCATGGGAATCTCTGCCCAGGAATCTGTGAGAGGAACAGGGGTCAGAAGCCCAGCCCTCTGCCCGATCTGAAACCTAATACCAGTCCAGAGCCTCTCCGTTGGAGACAGGCAGGTGAGACATGCCAGCTGCCACTGCCAGAGAGCCCTTCTGGCCACAGAGCGCAGCCTGGGCTGGGTGTGCTCCAGTCAGGTGTGCATCAGAGCGGATTGAACAGGTGGGAATCAGAGATGGTGGGCAGGGCTGGGGCCCCAGTTTGCGGAAAGGACAGGGTCAGAGACCTAAAGCGAGTGAGGCGGGAATTGCCTCTGAGGCACGCCGAGGAAGGGCAAATCAGCCTTGGCTGGGCTAAGGCTTCTGCTGGCTCCAGCCCCTCCGCGGACAGACCCTGCCCACCCAAGGGGCCGCCTGGTCTCACTTGTCCGGCTCCGAGCTGCGGAAGGCGCACGAATCCTACGGCCGGCTGGGCACCTACTGCTGCAGAGGGTTGCGCAGGCGCAGGCGTCGCCGTGGCTCCGCCGAGCCCTCAGAGTCGGGGTTGGGCCGGGCCTGGGGTCAAGGGCAGGGTTACGGCCCCCTAGGGAGACTCCGCCCCTGGCGGACCCCGCCCCACCCCTCCACATGAGACGGCGCGCGCAGGCTCAGTTCCTCGGCGTAGCACAGCGGCTCCCAGGCGCGCTCAGCTCGGCGAAGGGTGCGGCGCTATGCCGGGGTACTCTCCTGGGCTGCTCTCCCAGGAGGAGAGGGAAGGACCCCTAAGCCCCTCCCCTCACGATCTCGGCCGGGAGGTGACAGATCCCTTTTTTTGTTGTTGTTTTGTTTTTTTGAGACAACATCTCGCTGTTGCTGGAGTGCAGTGGCGCGATCTTGGCTCACCACAACTTCCGCCTCCCGGATTCAAGCGATTTTCCTGCCTCAGCCTCCCGAGTAGCTGGGACTACAGGCGTGCGCCACCACGCCCCGCTAATTTTTGTATTTTTAGTAGAGACAGGGTTTCACCATATTGGCCAGGCTGGTCTCGAACTCCTGGGCTCAGGTGATTCGTCCGCCTCGGCCTCCCAAAGTGCTGGGATTACAGGCGTGAGCCACCGCGCCCGGCCAGATCCCATTTTTCGCGTCGGTCCTTTCCGCCTTCAAAAGCGCTTTGACATGCCTTTCCTCGTTTAAATTTCAAATGAGGAAAACGAACACCTTCGTTTTTCAAACGCGGAGACAGACGCCGGGTGGGCCGCGTCGTATAGCGACTGATCTTGCTCCTTTCTTGGGCACCTCCAATGTGCCAGGTCCTGGGCTGAGCGCTTTACACCCTGCGTCCGTGTAATCGTCACAGCCCCTGCCTGGGGCTGACACTACGGCCAAATCCATTTGACAGATGAGCTGCTGAAGGCTCTTGTGCGGGTCTCAGAGCTGGCTAGGGGCGTCTGCGCTCGGCCTCGGGTCTCGCAGCCCGCCGGCTCCGTGCTCACCTCCTCCAGGTTCCGCTGAAAATTCTCGCGCCAGCGCCGCTGCCGGAGTCGCCTCTCTCCCGCCGCCGCGGGGGTCGCAGCTTCTCCTCCCAGGCGAGCACGAAGTCTAACCCATCGCGGGGTCAGGGGGACAGTTAGGAGCGGTCTGACCCCGCTCTGTCCCACTTTTATCTGGGTGGAAAAGGGGATCTGAGTCCATCAGTCCCACTAAGGCCAAAATTAAAGGAAATTTGAGTTGTAGCAAAAGGTATTAGGGTTAGTTCGAGGAAGGAACTGCCCATTGCAAGAAAATGACAAGAGACGCTGCGGGATTCCTCGGGGAGGGGAGAGGGGGTTTAAGGGAGAGCCTGTGGCCTGGCCACTCGGGCCTTCTGGGTGAGGTGGGACAAGAGTATGGGTGAGTCTGACCCAAGTCTCACCAATGCAGGTTTTCCCGTCTCAGAAAATGTACCCCTAGAGTCCGGCACATAAATGCCGCCGCAGGGCGCGAGACACAGTCGTCGTCCTGTCGGTGGCGTCATCGCCGTCTTGGTGCAGCAGGCATGGGGTGAAGGTGAGGGGACAGGGCGCAGTTGCAGGTGCCAGAAGCTTCTCAATTGGCCCAGTTGGGCTGCCCCTCCCTCCCCGCACCCCTGACTAAATTTGAAGTGTAACAGTAGAGGCGCTCTCAGCGCGATCTGAGAGGCTTCTTCCTCCCCTCCACCTGCTCTCTGACCAGAACCGCCGCTGCTACTGTAATAACAAGGACGATGATAACAGCCAACATTTACTGGGCTCTTAACTTGGTGCCCGGCACACGCTAAACATTTCACATGCATTTACTTCTCACAACTCAAAGAAGTGGGTGCTGCTATCTCCATTTTACAGATGTGTCAGCTAAGCATAAGATAATTACAAAGAACATCCAAGGTCACACAGTTCCCCTTCAACCTCCTTCCCGACCACCTGTAACTAGGCCTCAGTCCCACCCTTGCCTCTCAGGATCCACCCCTTCTTTGTAGAATATAGCTGAACACCAGCTCCCCTGCTTCTCCCCACCCACCAGAGGCGGAAGGGCCTACAACCCGCTCCTCCAGCCCATTTTTTGTTGTTTGTTTTGTTTTGTTTTTGAGATAGAGTCTCACTCTGTTGCCCAGGCTGGAGTGCAGTAGTGTAATCTTGGCTCACTGCAACCTCCGCCTCCTGGGTTTAAGCGATTCTCGTGCCTCAGCCTCCTGAGTAGCTGGGATTACAGGCGCTTGCCACCACACCCAGCTAATTTTTGTATTTTTAGTAGAGACGGGGTTTCACCATGTTTGCCAGGCTGGTCTCGAACTCCTGACCTCAGGTGATCTGCCCACCTTGGCCTCCTAAAGTGCTGGGATTACAGGCATGAGCCACTGCACCCAGTGGAGCCCAGGAATTTGAGACCAGCTTGGTCTCTCAAAAAGTTTTAAAATTAGCTGGGTATGGTGGGAGCTACTTCCGGGGCTGGGGAGAAACGGGGAGGATCACTTGAGCCCAGGAGTTCGAGGCTACAGTGAATGATGATTGTGCCACTGCACTCCAGCCTGGGCGACAGAGCAAGACCCTGTCTCTAAAAAAATAAGAAGGGCATCAGCAAGAGGGCAACAGCAGAGCATTAAACCAGGTGTGGGGCTCCTTGGAGTTTGAGACCCTGTGTGACTGGACGGGTCACAGTCCCATGCCATCAGCCTGAACACGTGCATGTAAGAACACACTCTCCTCTCACTCACTCTCCACAGGGCTGCCCAGAGACCTCCCAGGAGGCACAGGCGTCGACTATTCAAAGCATTGTGGCTTCCAGTTCTGCACTGTGGTGATGGAGGTCCCGGGGGTGGCCTACTAAATACTAAAGTGGCACCGGTGCTGCGCTGGGAGGAGCTGAGAAGGCAGCCCTGGATGGCTGGTGGAGGGGCTCTAAGCCCCAGCCCTGTTGCCCTCCCCACTTTGTCCTCACCCAGGGAGACACCTCTTGTTTGGGGTAAAGGTGGATGAAGGATCAATTCTATGACCAGAGCAGTGCCAGCCAGGAGAAGACTGCCCTGCCTCGCCGTGGGGGGGTCAGGTTATGCTCCAGAGCAGCTTTCTGGCTTTTGGCTGAGCTGGTGCCCAAGAGGGACAGGAAGCCTCCTTTCTGGGGGGTGGGGGTTTATGCCCAGAGATGACCGGCTGGGATGTGGGGTAGCTGGTGCCCAAACACAAACGCCTGTAGCTGGAGGCCCACAGTCAGGCCTGGGGCTGCCTTCAGGGCCCTTCCCCCAACTCCATTGCTGTCCACGTGAGCCAAGGTCTCCTGGAGTTAAGGACAGAGGGGGACGTGGACAGGCCCACCTGGAAGCAGGGCTGAGGGCTGCAGGAGTGGGAGCCGGCCTGCAGGCTCTGAGGTGGGGGTCCCGCCCAGGGACATTCCTTCTTGGGGTGTGGGATAAGTGCAGGGCCTGAGCTCTAAGCCTTAGTCAGGGGTGAGAAGGTGCTGGAATCAATTCTTCCTCTGGCCCAGACCCTGGAAGGGTTGACAAATGTAGGTGGCAGTACCCAGGGTGAATAGGCTGGCAGTGTGCATGGGCATGTGAGCAGTGTGCTTGGGCGCGGGCATCAGGACAGGTGAGTCTGGGCCTCCTGTGTGCCAGCCGGCAGGAGTGGAAAGTGCTTTCGTCCTAGCACAGGTGTGTGAGCACAGGTCATACTGTGTGAGTGGGGCCTGGTTACAGCTGCAGAGTTCTGAGAGTCAGCTGGCTTTGGGGACACTCTGCTTTGAGCCAGACGCACGCCAGGCCTCAGCCCAGGGGTTCATCTATGGGGCCCAGCAGGGGCTCATTGGAGGGGATCGTATAAAGGTCCCTTTCCCTGGGGACTTCCCCTCATCCTCCTTAGCCTACTTCCACCAGTCTCTGGCTTATGGGGCAGGGCCAAGACACAAGGCTGGGCCTACTCACTCCTCTCCCAGCTCCTGTCCTCAATGGCCTCCCACGGGGCAGAGCTGCCTCTCAGGCCAGCTCACGCCCTGACCCCCACTGGGATGGTCGTTGGCCCTGCATGGTGCTGCTTTCGGGTGCCCCTGGGCTGCCAAGACTCCTATCCTAAGCCTGGCCTGACAACTCCATGATCAAGAAAGGCATTGCAGGCCGGGCGCAGTGGCTCGTGCCTGTAATCCCAGCATTTTCGGAGGCTGTGGCGAGCGGATTATTTGAGGTCAGGCGTTCGAGACCAGCCTGGCCAACATAGTGAGACCCCCATCTCTACTAACAATACAAAAATTAGCCAGGCATGGTGGTTGGCATCTGTAATCCCAGCTACTTGGGAGGCTGTGGCAGGAGAATCGCTTGAACCCAGGAGGTGTAGGTTGCAGTGAGCTGAGAGTGCACCACTGTACTCCAACCTGTGCCACAGAGCAAGACTCTGGAAAAAAAAAAAAAAAAAAAAAAAAGGGCCCTGCAGCGCGACGGGCTTAACTCCTGGACTCACAGGTGGACTCCATGTCCCAGCCTCCCCCACAGCGCCACATGACCACATGACTGCTGGGTGCTGGCCTCTGGAATGTGGGCAGAATGAGGTGCCACCCTGGGCCTGGTCCACAGAAAGCGGGGGGACACCTCCTGCCTGCACTCACTCCCTGGCTGCTGACTGGGTGCTGACACCCTAGGGCAACTGGGCAGGGTAGGGTCTCTGGGGCTGGGTCTCTGCAGGAGCGCCTGGAGCAGAGCCCCACGCCCACTGTCACCTCCTCCCGAGCTGAGGCCTACGTGAGAACGAACACGTCTCTGGAGTTCAGCACTGGGATTTCGGGGTTTATCTGTTACAACAGATGGTGTCACCTCAACCAATACAGGTTCTTGATTGAAGTAACTTGAGAGGCACCCCCTCTCCCAGTCATCCTCCATCGGTGCTGCCAAAGGGGGAAAGGCCACGGGAGATGTTCGAGCTCAGGGCCTTGGTCCCCACCTCCCTGCCATGAATTCTGCAAGGAAAGCGCTGCTCGCGGGTGGGCCTTCTCTGGCCACATCCTCCCTGATCAGGCCATGCTGGCCAGTCCTCCAGATAGGATCCATGTTCCTGCCCCAGCCTCCAGCCCTATGTCGAGACCTGAGGGTTGGGGGTGGGATCACAGGCAACCACTCGTGACTCATTCAGGAGCACTCTCTGGGGGGTTGGGAAGCAGGCCAGCCGCCACCTGGTCCTGGTGCCACAGCTGCTCAGCAAGGCCATTGAGTATGTGGGCAACGTCGGCCAGCCCAGCCCGCCCGTCCAGTGTGCGCCCATCAGCCAGCCGCCGCCCCGGCACACTCTTCACCCGTAGCAGGGGCAGCTCCCAGGCCTGCCGGAAGGCTGTGAGGTCCCGCTCGGGCACGTCCGTGTGCATGTACTGGTCAAATCTGGAGGAGGGTCAAGGAGCCTAACTGGGTGCCTCTGCACAGCCCCCCATCAGACCCTGCCTCTCCCTCCTCCCTGGAGCCCACACCCAGGAGCTGGGGTAGCCATGCTGTACCCTTTAAGTAAAAGCCCAGGTGCTGAATTCCATGCCTGGGCAGAGGCTGGGCCCCTGACCCCCTGGCTCCGTGACTTGCCAAGGATATCCAAAGGATACTTGGAGCCGATGACCATCCTGACGACACCAGGGGCCTCACCTGCTATGCGGGCCAGCTGTCCAGGGAGGTCTTCAAAGGAGGCACGGTCAGTGAAGGAGAAGAGGAAGAGGAAGGCATCTGTGTTCTCCATGCAAGCCTGGTGATGGAGAGGCATATAACCATGTCACCCCCCATCAGCTGCAGGGCCCTCAGAAGAATCAGGAATAATCCCTCCTTTCACAGATTGGGAAACTGAGGCCCAGAGCAAGGAGCGGCTGGTCCTAGGACAAGCATGGGCTGGGACTGTCTCCAGTGCCAGCTCAGGTCTCTGAGCAGTGCCTTGAGCTCATTAATACCCAATCGGCCCCTGGCAGAACCCACCCAGGCCCACATGCCTGCTCACCAGCAGCATATGATCGAACTTTTTGAGTGCAGACTCTCCACAGTCCCAGAACTCAAAACGAAACATGACGACACGGCTGCTGGCCTGCAGCTTGGCTGGCCAAAATACCACGGTGGTCTGGATGCCTGAGGGGGAGCCAGGGTCAGCCACTCACCATGGGAGAGGTGGAGATGGGAGGAATAGGGGACCAGGAAGGAATAGGAAGAAGAGATACATCCCTGCCCTGATGGGTCCCTAGTTTGATGAGGGAGGCACAGTCCTTGACCCGGGATAATTCTCAGTCTGATGGGAGAAACAGAAACTGGCCCTGGAGGAGACTCTGGTACACCAGGAAGATGCAGCCCTAGCTATGGCAAAGCAAGTTTCGTTTGTATGTCCAGGGAGACCCAAAGGGCCCAGGACGCTGGGAGATGTTTCAACATGGTGGAACAATCAGCATCCAGTGGTGAGAAACAACAAAGCAAGATTAGCATTTCCTGAGCATTTACCTTGAGCGTAGCTTGATGCTAGGCATGTTACCACCACCACCACCTCTAGTGGCAACCACACAACAACCCTGTGGTACTATTATCCCCTTGGGACCAAGGAGCCCATGTAGGCTCAGAGACGTGAAGTGACTTTCCAAGGCTACAGAGTAAGAGGTGGTCCAGGGCCAGGTTCTTGCCTCCACCCCCAAGGAGGGCCTCCCAGGATGGGCAAAGGATAGAGGTCCCACTCACCGGTGGTCTCGTGGTGCACCACAGGCACCTCCAGGCCAGCCAGCTTGGCCACCAGCGCCGTCTTGCCCACACCACTCTTCCCGGACACAAAGATCTTGTAGCTGGCAGTGTCAATGGACACAGGCGGCAGCAGCACTGGCCGCTCAAGCAGCCCTAGGGCAAAGAGAGAGCCAGGCAGGGTCAAGGGGTGCTGTGGTTTGAAGGTGTCCCCCAGAGTTCATGTGTTGGAAACTTAATCGCCAATGCACCAGTGTTAGGAAGTGGGGCCTAACACAAGGTGATCAGCTGCCCTCATAAATGGATTAATGTTGTTATTGAGGGAGTGGGTTTGTTATAAAAGCCAGTTTGGGCGCCTCTTGCTGTCTTGCTGTTGCCCTTCTGCCTTCTGCCACGGGATGACACAGCATGAAGGCCCTTTCCAGATGCTGCTGCCATGTTCTTAGACTTCCCAGCCTCCAGAACCATGAGCCAAATAAGCTTCTGTTCATTATAAATTACACAGAGGAGGCCTGGTGCGGTGGCTTACACCTGTAATCCCAGCACTTTGGGAGGCCAAGGCGGGCAGATCACCTGAGGTCAGGAGTTCGAGACCAGCCTGGCCAACATGGTGAAACTCCATCTCTACAAAAAAAAATACCAAAAATCAGCTGGGTGTGGTGGTGGGTGCCTATAATCCCAGCTTCTTGGGAGGCTGAGGCAGGAGAACTGCTTGAACCTGGGAGGTGGAAGTTGCTAAGCCGAGATCACACCACTGCACTCCAGCCTGGGCGACAGAGCGAGACTTTGTCTCAAAAAATAAATAAATAAATAACTTAGAGTGTGGTATTCTGTTGTAGCAGCATAAAATGGACTAAGACGCGGGTAAATCCTGCACTTGCCCCATCAGATCCTGGGCTGGACAGTCTCACTTATTTATTTTTACTTTTTTTCTTTACCTTCTATTTTTAATACGGATGGGGTCTCACTATGTTGCTCAGGCTGGTCTTGAGCTCCTGGGCTCAAGCAATCCTCCCACCTTGGCCTCCGAAAGTGCTGGGACTACAAGGCATGAGCCACCACATACAGCCAAGGACAACCTCATTTCTAATGGCTTCTTCAGGGCTAACCAACCATCTGTGGTTCTTTTTTGTTTTTTTTTGAGACGGAGTTTCGCTTTTGTTGCCCAGGCTGGAGTGCAATGGTGTGATCTCACTGCAACTTCCGCCTCCCGGGTTCAAGTGATTCTCCTGCCTCAGCCTCCCGAGTAGCTGGGATTATAGGCATGCGCCACCATGCCTGGCTAATTTTGTATTTTTAGAGATGGGGTTTCTCCATGTTGGTCAGGCTGGTCTCGAACTCCCAACCTCAGGTGATCTGCCTGCCTCAGCCTCCCAAAGTGCTGGGATTACAGGCGTGAGCCACCGTGCCCGGCCTCATCTGTGGCTCTTAATACTCAACCTAATTTTACAGAAGTCTGGGATACAAAGAGACTAGCCTAAGCATTATAGTCAGTCTGTTGATATTTATTTACTAGCTGCTCTCAGCGTTTGTTGTGGGGCCTGCATGACAACCACTGAATGATACATTCAGGTGCATAAACCCAGCTGTTAAAAAAAAACCCAAATGTCTGCAGTTAAAGTAAAAACACAAAAATTAAAAGCCATCACTGCCATTCCTCTAAGTTATGGCTGCTTAATCCTATCTGTGGCATAGATAATATGGTCAGTGGATTCTATGATGTTCCCAGAAAATCAGCTCAACCTTCACTCAATTCTCTTCCACTCAACACAACTAAATGCAAAATAAATACAATAACAGCCAACCTTCAGTGAACACCCACTGCATGCCAGAACCTGCTTGGTATGTTACAAACACCCTCCTTATTAATTTCCCCAGTAACTCTATGGGGTAAATACTGTGATTATCCCCATTTTACAGAGGTGGGACTTGAGGCTAGAGTTCACTTATTCCCAGCCATACAGCTAGCAGTGGTGGAGCCTGGGTCACTTGCCTGGGTATGTGTGACCCCAAATACAGTGTTGCCAGCCATCATGGGATTAGAGGGACAGTGGCCATATTAGAGGGTCTTTTTTTTTTTTTTTTTTTTGAGACGGAGTTTCACTCTTGTCACCCAGGATGGAATGCAATGGCTCGATCTAGGGTTGCTGCAACCTCTGCCTTCTGTGTTCAAGCGATTCTCCTGCCTCAGCCTCCCAAGTAGCTGGGATTACAGGTGCCCGCCACCACGTCCGGCTAATTTTTGTATTTTTAGTAAAGATGGGGTTTCGCCATGTTGGCCAGGCTGGTCTTGAACTCCTGACCTCAGGTGATTTGCCCACCTCGGCCTCCCAAAGTGCTGGGATTACAGGCCACTGCGCCCAGCCTTCTAGAGGGTCATTTTTTGAATTTAATATAATTTCTTTTAAAAAAACAAACAAACAGTTGACTTATTCACAAATTTTGGTTCTAGCTATCTCACTCTCTGGTCTTAAGTCTTCTGGCACCTTGCTTCTCCTGGCCAGAGCTGGGCTCCACAGCTGATTCCAGGCACCTCTGCCGGCCTGACAGCTGGGCCCTGCCTGGGTGAGTCAGTTTCACCATGGGGAACACCAGCGTCTCATCCCAGAGACAGCAGGACATGGAAGAGGCTCACCTCTATTTATTGGGGTGTGATCTTAGCCAAGTCTGTACCATGTGCTGTTGAGAGGTTAAATGGGCGTGCACTGTGTAACGTGCCCAACAGAGGGCCTGGCACCAGGGGAGTGCTCAATCAACTGCATCTCTGGTGACAGTGGTTGCTGGCAAGGTTTCTGCTGTTTCCATGTTCCTGGCTCTGACGATGGAATTAGCTCTAAGGAGATTTAGGTGTGGGGGTCCCAGAGCTAGGGCTTTCAGTCCCCCAGGCTGAAGACTGCTGAAGACTGCAGTGGAGCAGGCCCTCACTGCCCTGCCTCTCTGCTCTCCTCAGGGAGCAACAGGTGACACTCTTCTCCCCAGGGAAAGACAAGTGGCGGGCTAGAGGAAAGGGGGAGGCACTTACCAAACACCCGCCGGCGGTTCTTGCGCAGAATGCAAGCCAGGTACTCCTTGCCCTCGGCACTCTCGTGCCAGTTTGGGACAACCACCGAACCGGGCACGGGAGGTCTGGCCATGGCTGGGCACCGCGACGGGGTAGGGAGGTGACAGAATGCTGAGAGCAGGGAGTGGGAAGGGGAGTGACAGTACCAAGCCGGGCCTGTGATCCCTCTTAACTGCCCTCTGACTCTCCCGGGGGGCCCCAGAAAGTGCAGTCCCTCAGCCGCCTCTCTCCTTCGCAATGCTCCCTGGGGATAGTCATCCCATTACTGCCCATGGAGGGTATTCACACAGCCCCTCTCCCCTTGTCACCTCCGGGGGTCAGACAGCCCCGCTTCTCCTCTACCTTCTAGATCCCGACTCCCAGGGCTACCTAGCCCTCCCCGTCAGCAGTCCCGGCGGCGAACCGACCTGGGTGCCGAAGGCCCCTTTAAACGCCCACCCGCACTCCCGCCGCCCCAGCCCGCCGGGCCCACTTCCGCCCCGCCTGCGTCCGCCTTCTGCGCGTGCTGGCAGCTCCGGCGCAGGTGCGCGCGGCGCATGTGCGGAGGTTGTTGCCATGGAGACGCCGGAGGTTGGGTTGGGCGGGTTCCGGGAGGCGTTCGTCCCTCCTACAACGTCCGCAGCCTGCGCCGCGCGGTGGCTCTGGACTAGGCCTTTTCCTCTGGGTTGTGGATCCTCTTCTCTATGACTCCGTCCGATCCCTAGTCTTTCTTCCAAAACATCATGAAACCCCCCCTCCAGGAGCCTTTCATGCTTCTCTGTGTCTCAGTTTCCTCTTCTATAACGTGGACGTAACATGTTATTCCCTCCATAGCAGTGCTCCATATGTTTAGTTATGATTGTTGCTATTATTAATATTATTGCTCTATTAATCCTGCTTGGCAGGACCTCTAGATGACTTAAACATCTCTGGCTTCACTGATGGGGACACACACCAGCTCAGAGAGGTCAAGGGACTTGGCTCAAGTTTTAAAAAATGAGTCAGAGGCCCGCTGGATTGTATTTTTCATTCATTCATTCATTCAACAAATACTGAGCACCTAGCTGGGAATACAGTGGCCAACAAGAAGTCCCTGCTCTCCTGGAGCTGACTTTTCAGCTCTGAAACTCTGAGCTCCTCTCCACCGTTCCAGCACTGGACACCAGGCCTGTTACCCAGAAGGTGGGTGCTCAGTAAATGCCCACTGGTTGGAAAGAGTGCAGGTGGGTCATTACTGAGAGTTTGTCTATTACATTTAATTTTTACCATTATCTTTCCGCAATGCCTTCAAGTAGGGCAAATCACTGTTTTGAAAGGAATAATTTAGGAGTTAAGCTTTACCTAAGGCCACCCAAGTGCCAGACAGTGGGGACTTTACAGGGGTCACCTGATTTAATTCTATAAACAAACCTGTGTAAATAGTATTACCCTCTTGTACTGACGAAGACTCTCAGAAACATAACGTGACTTGTCTGAGGTCACACCGCACAGCTAGTCAGTGTGAAACCGACTCAGAACCCACAGCTGGCTGGGTGTGGTGGCTCACGCCTGTAATCCCAGCACTTTGGGAAGCTGAGGCGGGCAGATTGCTTAAGCTCAGGAGTTTGAGACCAACCTGGGCAACATAGTAAGACCCTGCCTCTACAAAAAAAAAAATACAAAAATTAGCCGGGCACAGTAGTGCACGCCTGTAGTCCCAGCTACTTGGAGGCTGAGATGAGAGGATTGCTTGAGCCCGGGAAATGGAGGTTGCAGTGAGCCGAGATCATGCCACTGCACTTCAGCCTGAGTGACAGAGCTAGGCCCTGTCAAAAAAAAAAAAAAAAAAAAAAAAAGAACCCACACTTACCTGACTCTAAAGTACTTATCTGTTCTGCCAGTTTGGGTTTTGTGTTTTTAAAACTTTGCCCCTAGCCACTAGGAGGGCTGTTCCTAGGGAAGCAGAAAGCAGCCAGAGGACTACGAACTCACAGATTTTTAAGGCCCATTATGTCTAAGAGAGGGGATGAGGATGTGTAAGACAAGGTGCTTTCTCTCAACTTGCTCACGCTGTGGCTAGGCAGAAAAACCAGATGAATAACCATTCCTACAGGATTCTGCAGGTGGAATCCTTTGCCCATACTCCCAGGTCACATGGTTCCCATTCCTGCAGCTGTCACATCTGCCCAGTCAGGGAGATTCACAGCTGTCCAGAGCTCTCTCCATGGGCCAGGAGTCACTCAGTGGCAGGGCTCTGATCTGAATTATTTCTGGATTTCCAGACTTCACATCCACCCATCTTTGGCTCGTGGAGGGCTCAGTGAGCGTGTGAGAAAATGAAGCAACTTGGCAGAATGAACGTGCCTGTTAATCTGCAACCCAGAGAAGATGTAAAGTCCTCTTGGGGCCATGTGCGGTGGCTCACGCCTGTAATCCCAGCACTTTGGGAGGCTGAAGCTGGTGGACCACTTGAGGTCAGGAGTTTGAGACCAGCCTGGGTAACATGGCAAAACCTTATCCCTAAAAATATACAAAAAAATGGCTGGGCGCGGTGGCTCACGCCTGTAATCCCAGCACTTTGGGAGGCTGAGGCGGGCAAATCACCCGAGGTCAGGAGTTCAAGACCAGCCTGGCCAACATGGTGAACCCTGTCTCTACTAAAAATACAAAAATTATCTGGCTGTGATGGCAGGCGCCTGTAATCCCAGCTACTCTGGAGGTTGAGGCAGAAGAATCGCTTGAACCTGGGAGGTGGAGGTTGCAGTGAGCAGAATCATATCACTGCACTCCAGCCTGGGTGACAGAGCTGAATAAATAAAATTATGTATTCAGTGGAAGGCTGATCAAGGACTCAAAAGAATGCAATCTTTTGTCTCCTATCTACTTTTTTTTTTTTTGAGACAGAGTCTCACTCTGTCGCCCAGGCTGGAGTGCAGTGGCACAATCTCGGCTCACTGCAACCTCTGCCTCTGAGGTTCAAGTGATTCCCCTGCCTCAGCCTCCCAGGTAGCTGGGACTATAGGCATGCCCCACCATGTCCGGCTAATTTTTGTTGTTGTTGTATTTTAGTAGAGACGGGGTTTCACCATGTTGGCCAGGATGGTCTGGATCTCCTGACCTCATGATCCGCCCACCTCAGCCTTCCAAAGTGCTGGGATTATAGGCATGAGCCACTGCACCTGGCCTTGTCTCTTATGTATTTCTAACCTGGAAGCCCCTGCTTCAAGCTGTCCTGTCTTACCAGACCAAACCAATGTACATCTTACACATATTGATTGAGGTCTCATGTCTCCCTAAAACTTAAATGCAAACTGTACCCCTGACCACCTTGGGTATATGTCTCAGGATTTCCTGAGGCTGTCACGGGCACATCCTTAACCTTGGCAAAATAAACTTTCTAAATTGACTGTGACCTGTCTCAGATATTTGGGGTTCACACATCCAACCCCGACATTCTGTGTCAGGGGCTGGGTAGGTCTGTGAGCCTGCAGATTTGACAAAAGCACTAGGCAGTTCTGAAGTTGGGGTCTATATGAGTCAGCCCAGGCTGCTGTAACAAAAATACCACAGTCTGGGTACTCTAAACAACAGAAATTTATTTTCTCATAGTTCTAGAGGCTGGAAGTCCAAGATCAAGGTGCCAGCAGAGTTGGTTTCTGGGTGGGGCCTCTCTTCCTGGCTTACAGATGGCCTCTTCTCTGTGCTTATACATGTCTGGTGTCTCTTCCTCTGTTACAAATAGGACATTAGTCCTACTGGATTAGGGCTCCATGCTTATGGTCTCATTTAACCTTGATTACCTTTTTCTTTTATTTTTTGAGACAGGGCCTCACTCTGTCACCCAGGCTAGAGGGCAGTGGTGTGATCTCAGCTCACTGCAGCCACGACCTCCTCAGGCTCAAGCAATCCTCCTGCCTCAGCCCCGAGGGGAGCTAGGACTACAGGTGCATATCAGCACGCCTGGCTAATTTTTTTTTTTTTTGTATTTTTGTTTGTTTGTTTGAGACAAAGTCTCGCTCTTGTGCCCCAGGCTGGAGTGCAATGGCGCGATCTTTGCTCACTGCAACCTCCATCTCCCAGGTTCAAGTGATTCTCCTGCCTCAGCCTCCCAAGTAGCTGGGATTACAGGCGCCTGCCACCACACCCAGCTAATTTTTGTATTTTTAGTAGAGACGGGGTTCTACCATGTTGGCCAGGCTGGTCTTGAACTCCTGACCTCGGGTGATCCGCCCGCCTTGGCCTCCCAAAGTGCTGGGATTACAGGCATTAGCCACCATGCCCGGACTTTTTCTTTTGTATTTTTTTAGAGGTACGGTTTTGCCTTGTTGCCCAGGCTTGTCTCAAACTCCTGGCCTCAAGTGATCTGCCTGCCTTGGCCTCTGAAAGTGCTGGGATTACAGTCATCAGTCACCATGCTCACCCTTCATTACCTTTTTTTTTTTTTTTTTTTTTAGTCTAGATGAATTTATTGCCATTCACATATTTCATAGAAAAAAAGATGTAGCAAATGGGTCAGGGTTGTACCAAAAAAATCCAGGTTTATAAGGTTGCTCTATTTACATCTGAGAGCAGGGCTGTCCTGGCATCAGGCACAGCAGCTGCAGTTGTCCGACGTCCCTTTGCAGATGCAGCCCTGGGCACACTTGGCACAGCCCACAGGGCAGCAGGAGCAGCAGCTCTTCTTGCAGGAGGTGCATGTGCACTCTTTTCATTTGCAGGAGCCGGCACAGGCGCAGGAACCATCAGGCGAGCAGGAGCAGTTGGGGTCCATTTAGAGGCAGGGAGAAGCAGGAGTTCCTGATCAAGAGGCAAACACTCAGCGGGACAGATGAAAAGCGTGCCTTAATTACCTCTTTAAAGGACCTATTTCCAAATATGGTCACATTGGGGGCTAGGGCTTCAATGTATGGATTTGGGTGGAGCAGGGCATAATTCAGTCCATAACAGGGTCCACAGACCTCATGTAAACACTGCTGCTGGGCAAAGGAGGCCAGCTGACTGTTGGGACCTGAAAGTGACATGGTTAGAACTGCGTTTCAGAAGGACGCTTGTGGACCGTGTTGGTCTATGAGTTCTGCTCTCCTGTGCCCCTCTGACCACTAAACTATGTGTCCCCCTAAGCCAGCTGCTTCTCCTTTCAGGGCCTCAAGCAAAACATGTAGAACATCTCCCTAAGGACTCTTCTAGTCTAGAGCCCTCTGATTTTTTTTTTTTTTTTTTTTGAGACAGAGCCTTGCTCTGTCGCCAGGCTGGAGTGCAGTGGCATGATCTTGGCTCACCGCAACTTCCACCTCCCAGGTTCAAGCAGGTCTCCTGCCTCAGCCTCCCAAGTAGCTGGGACTACAGGCGCATGCCACCACGCCTAGCTAATTTTTGTATTTTTAGTAGAGACAAGGTTTCACCATGTTGGCCAGGACGGTCTCAATCTCCTGACCTCGTGATCTGCCCGCCTCGGCCTCCCAAAGTGCTGGGATTACAGGCATGAGCCACTGTGCCCGGCCTAGAGCCCTGTGATTAATCCACTCATTTCTTCTTGGTTTGGTCTCCCCACAAATATTTATTAAAAACCTCTTGGACAAGGTCCCCACAAGACCTTGAGAGGACTCCACAAGGCAGGGACACAGTCACCAACTTGACAGAGTGGATGGGAGGCCCAGGTGGGCAGACACACAGGCCGAGCTGGGGTGAGAATGAGGCATGGAGAGCCCTGCCTGAGGATCCTGGGTAGGTGTGGGGCGGGAGGTCAGCTAGGACACCAGGCTTAAAATCCTCTTGGCTCCTAGAATAACACCCACCCCTCCCTCAGCATGGCCTGGCACCAGGAGTGCTCCACTCCCACCTGGAATGCTTGCTCTGCCTCCTAGCAGTCCTTCCACCAGGCTCACTGGCTTTAGGGATTCTCCAAGCTGGAGCCACAGCCAGTTAATCAAGTCAGGTCAAGGGCACCAGCCTCGCCACCAAGCTCAGTGGTCAATTCTCCATCCTCAGATCACCTGACCCTGGGATCATTCCCAGGTGACTGGATGGATGGTGGTGCCCCTAACTGTGGGGGAAGCATGGAGGAAGCGCACAGGGTCAGAGGAGGAGCCCCTGGGGAGTGAGGGAGGGTGGGGGGCTGCCCAGAGAGGACACACTCACAGCAGATGTTGGAATGTAAAGCGCAGGTGAGCGGCCTGAGTGAAGCTGGACATTACTGACGGCGGAGGGACCAAGCCTGAAGCAATGGGTGTAGACAGATGAGAGGTCCGGATGCTGTGGACAGACAGCAGAGCCTTGGATGCCACCTGGGCAATGACAACGACGAGGTCAGACCCAGGAGAGGCAGAAGAACCGGAAACCCCCTCCTCCAGCCCGCCCTGAGGCTCATGTTTGGTGTGCAGGGAGGCTTGCCCAAATCCCAGGGAAGCATGGCTGGGGAGCGATGCTACTCCTTGGACGCCATCTCTTGTGGGCCTTCTGCTGCAGAGAGCACTCTGCTCTGTGCCTCTGCCGTGGCCCCAGCCATGCGGTCCTAAGTGTTGTCTTCCCACTACGGATTCCACTCGGGAGCTCCTTTCCCATTACATCTGAGGGGATGACCTCTGGCCATCAAGTCCACATGGGTCACCCTCCATTGTCCTCAGCCCTGACCACTGGCTGCTGCGGCTTATAGGCTTATCAAGACCCTGCATTACTGACTGCCAGAAGCGAGGCCTAGACCCCACCCATCTGGGATGCCCCAGATAGGTTCTATCCTCATCTGCCCCCCTGCCACAGGTTAGCAGGACGAGGCCAAGTGCCATGATCTGAACGTCCTGCCAGATTCACATGTTGAAGTTTAATCACCACTGTGACAGTATTAACAGGTGGGGCCTTCAGGGAATGACTAAGTCATGAGGGCAGAGCCCTCACGATGGGATTAGTGATGTTATGGAAAGGCGTGAGGGGCCAGTTCATCCCATCCACGGTGTGAAGACACAGCCTTCACGATGGAGCAGCAACAAGGCAATGTCTTGGAAGTGGAGACTGGGCCCTCACCAGACACCAAGCTTGATGGTGCCTTGAGCTTGGACTTCTAAGCCTCCAGAAATGTGGGAAATACATTTCTGTTGCTTATAAATCACTCAGTCTGTGGTATGGTATATAGCAGCACAAGGGAACTAAGACACCAAAGCAAAGAGAAGGCTAACTTCTTGGCTTCTGGCTTCCCGAACAACTGTCCCAGCCCTGGGTGGCTGCACTGGTTGCAGATGGTTCTACTGACTCCATCCTCTTTGGTATCTTTTTAGTATGATACCTGGATTGTCTTTTGACCTTAGAATCTCAGGATTTGTCATTTTTGTTTAGCCCATGTGACACCTCCCTGGTTTGTGATTAGGCTGTAAGCTCCTTCATGGGTGGGCCTCTTTTGTGTCTTGTGTGTGTCCCAGTGCCTCGGGGGTCACAGATGCTCAGGGAATGCTTGCTGAGAGTGAATAGTCTCCCAGTCAGTTCCAGGTGTTCTAGGCCTTGTCAACGGGCCACAGCCCATGTCCTCGGGCAGGAGCATCCTCCCTCTCCCCAGGCTTCTGCTGGAAAGGAGCCCTCCTTCTCTTCCTTGCAGTAGGTGGGCAGACAGGCTCCCTGGTGGGTGCAGAACACACTCTGCTAGGACTTTTTGGCATTTACTTAAGACATGGGCTTGGCTTTGTGCATTCCGACAGGCTCTGGACCCAGAGCCCAGCCCCATGAGAAAGATGGTAATTTTCCCACAGCTGAGGGCTGGGGAAGGAAAGGCAGGTAGGCCAGCTGGAGGATGGTACTTGAAACAAGGCAGGGGCCAGGGACGGGTGCCCCCCAGGCTTAACTGACAGAGGGAGGGGAGAAACAGGCAAGCATTTTCTTACTCCTGCCCATCTGCTTTCTTTCTCAAGACTGCCTCCGACAGATCGCCCAAGCACACTTGAAGCCTTTCACAGGGTGCCCTCAGGTGGCCTTTTGGGGAATCACACCCATCCAATGGATTAAACGATTCTTGGCTGGTTCCAGCTAAGTTGCTAACCTGTGAGGCTGGCTGCCATCATTGCCATTTTACTGATAAAATTGAGGCTCAGTGAGGCAGGATGACTTGCTCCAGCTCAAAGTGACAGTCAGCTCCTGAACCTAGGTCTGCCCTGTCCTACTGCCTCTAAGTCCCTTCTGAGTCCACAGAACTACGTCTCAAAAAATTGAAATGGCATCAAGCGTTTCCTTGGTTCCAATCTTGATCTGATGCATCTCTGTTATTTCCTCCCATGCAGGTGGTCAGACCCTGTTTGAACACTTCCAGCCGTGGGCAAATCATCACCTCACACAGCATCCACTGACATGCTGGCAGTGTTTGTGGGAAGAGAAGTAGTAAAGCCACTGAGACCAGAAGGTGGAACTTAGCTGGGAGTCTCTCCTTGGCCTGGGGGAGGTGAAAAGGCACAGAGCACTAAGACCCAGTCATGTGCGGCAGCACCACGCAGAGGCCAGCCTGCAGGATTTTCACGGGCAAAATTTTGGTGGATGCTTCCTCTCCTGCCTGGACGTGGGGGTGCTCAAAGCCTACCACTTCTAGGAACCTTTCTCAGGCCTCACGGGAGGAGTAATGAAGGCAAAACCTTGGGCTGAGGTGCTGATTCCTGCACTGTCTCCCCTTCCCCAGGCAGATTTTCAATTTACACCCGAATGTGCATAGGCCTCTGGCCCTTTATTTATTTGTTGGGAGATGGAGTCTCGCTTTGTTGCCCAGGCTGGAGTGCAGTGGTGCAATCTTGGCTCAATGCAGCCTCCACCTGGGTTCAAGTGATTCTCCTGCCTCAGCCTCCTGAGTAGCTAGGATTACAGGCGTGCACCACCATGCCTGGCTAATTTTTGTATCTGTAGTAGAGAAGGGGTTTTGCCATGTTGGTCAGGCTGGTCTTGAACTCCTGACCTCAAGGGATCCACCTGCCTTGGGCTCCCAAAGTATTGGGATTACGGGCGTGAGCCACCATGCCCAGCCCACTGACCCTTTAGTATCCAGAAAAGCAAGAACCCTGGCTGGGGAGTGCTGTGCTGGCCCTGCAGTGGAAGGCAGTAGCTGCCAACTTACTATGTGCTGGGCGTTGTGCTGGCGCTTTTCACATACAACTTCAATTAACCCACAGGCTCCTATAAGGTAGAAGCAACTACATTTACAGATGAGGAAGCTTGTATCCAAGGTTAAGTAGTAAGTAGGGAAAAGCAGGATTAAGCCATAGGCCTTCGGAGCTTCGGGACTGCGTTCCAAACCATCATCTGCTGTGCCTCTTCATGCCCCTGGGGCCCTGTGTCTTCATCTTTGCTTAGGGGGCCAGGGAAGATGCAAATGTCGTCCTGGCCCCTGGGCCTCTGCTCCAAGCTCATGACCACTCTTGGATGTCCATTGCAGGCTGGTACTGAGGCTCTGAAACACCAAGCCCTTCAAGCGTGATGGAGGGAGCTGGTTTATTATTAAATGGCATTGTCCCCAAGGAGTGGCAACTCTCCACCTCTCCATGAAAACACAACCTCCTAGAGAAGGTATCTCTTTCCAACTACTGTGCCTTCAATCTCCAACCTCAATTGTTTCCCATCAAGACAATTTTTTTTTTTTTTGTAACAGGGTCTTACTTTGTCGCCCAGGCTGGCATGCAGTGGCACAATCATGGCTCACTGCAGTCTTGACCTCCCTAGCTCAAGTGTGATCTTCCCATTCAGCCTCCTGAGTAGTTGGGACCACAAGCATACACCACCATGCTTGGGTAAATTTTTTTTTTTTTAGAGATGGGGTCTCACTATATTGCCCAGGCTGGTCTCAAACTCCTGGTCTAAGTGATCCTCCTGCCTCAGCCTCCCAAAGTGGTGGGATTACAGACATGAGCCACTGTGATTGACCTCTTTTTTTTTTTTTTGAGACAGTCTAACTCTGTTGCCCAGGCTGGAGTGCAGTGACACAAACTTGGCTCACTGCAACCTCTGCCTCCTGGGTTGGAGCAATTCTCCTGCCTCAGCCTCCCAAGTAGTTGGGATTACAGGTGCCTGCCACCATGCCCGGCTAATTTTTGTATTTTTAGTAGAGACAGGGTTTCACTATGTTGGCCAGGCTGGTATCAAACTCCTGACCTTGTGATCCGCCTGCCTCGGCCTCCCAAAGTGCTGGGATTACAAGCGTGAGCCACTGCGCCCGGCCAGACCTCTTTTCTTTTTCTTTTTTTGCTAATAAAACAGTTAAGACAATTGTCCATTTTATTTGTTAAATTGCTAAAAAGTCATCAGGGGAAAACATTAACAAAAAATGAAATTGACAGATTTAAATATCAATGAAATCCATGTTTCATTCCTACACTGTTATGTGCCCAAAATGACTATCTCAGGGTAAGCCACCTGGCATCCCTGAGTTGTATGGGAAACATCACTCACAGCACCAGCTTCGCCAGGGCACATGGGGTGTGCACTGACATGAACCCTGGTTGGAGGGAGGGGAGCAGAGCAAGTAGAGTGTACAATGGAGCCAACACCTAAAGTTTGCTCTCATTTGACAATGAACACGGTGAGAGGGAGCCACTTACTGGTAACCATGCAGAACATGCCTTCTGCAGTTCATGGAGAGGCTACATGGGACGCAGGCCTGGAAATTCAGCTTCCTCACCACCAGGCGTGGTTAGATCCTCCCCACTGACTTGTGCGCTGGTAAGAGACCATGGATAATGCAAAGTGGAGCATATCACCATGCCAGGATCACCACAAGGACAAGGACAGACAGACAGACCAACCAGGAATACCACTTTTAAGGGGGAAGGAAAGAGTGAAGCAGAAGGAAACCCAGAATGACAAGGTGAAAGAAAGGAAAGGGAAACATCTCTTTGTTCTCCATTGGCTGGTGGCTTTCTGTCCTCCAAAGTCAAGGCTTCTTAAGTTGGTTTTCTTTCTTCCTCCTCCTCCTCCTCTTTTCTTTATTTTAAAGAGTTCCAACACAGTTCCTAGAATAGTTCATGGTTTTCAGCTGTTGCTGTAAAACTCGAACATTAAAATCAAATCAATCCACAGACAGCTGGGAGGAGAGTAAGCCCAGTATGCCCTAAAATGAAATTTAAGCTTGTTTCAACACCAAATTTGTGCTCCCAAAGTGTAGGGTAGGGTGAGGTTGTGGAGTCCACCAACCAAATGAAGGGTGGAAATAGGAATGAAAACACAAAACCCGCTCTGCTGTATAACCTGTGAAATAAGAGAACAGGAAGCTCTGTCCAAGAGGGTAGGGAGAGACTAAAATTCTTAAGTAAGATGGACAAGGTGACCAGTGAAGTCACTAGGCCATGGGAGCTCTCAAAAGGCACACTTGCAGGAATGGAAGGGGTTAAAGCTTCAAGTAGAAACAAAATGAATTTTCAATAAATACGGATAAATATTTGCTTCAGGTGCTCCTGAGGGTTAAAAAAAATTTAGTCTCATTTTTCTCAGTGAATTTTAAGACAAAATTGGTATCATGTGAAAAATGGGGTCATGGTTCAATCTGGCCTGACTGCAGCATCCACGGCATTGTGGAAATGCTCGCCTTGGCCGAGACACGTGAAGTCCCACCGCACAGGTGGCTTCAGGAGGCCTGAGGAGACAATCACCTTCACTGTGTTGAATCACTTTCCCATGGTACACGCCCACAGTGCCCAGGAGCTACCAAGACCAACCATAATGGGGGCAGACAAGGCAGATTTTTCTTAAAAAGCTGTAAGCAAACAGTCTGGTTCCAGGCAGTATGCGTCAAACTGGAATTCAATGGAGTTCAGAGGAACCAGATTACTTTCTAAGACAATCAACATATCTGTTGCCTGCCTACTTGGGGGAAGTGGAAGGAATCAACACGTTAACAGCTGGCTTAGGAAGGCCACAGGACTAAGGGAAAGACTGTAAGGTTGAGATTCTGTACTTTCAGGTTTCTAATATACTTTATATTTAGATAGGAACTACTGAGTTTGGAGGCACAGTCCATGCACAAACACAATGTCCTAACACAAGGTACAGCAATAGCGGTAACACCTGAATTGCTAGCCTTCTGGCCCAGCTTTCCCTTGTAAATAAGGACCCCACATGATCGAACAGTCTTTGCCAAGCAAGGATTGGCAACAGCACCAGAGCCTGAGTCGCGAAAGGGAAGTGTGGAGCTCCAAGCAGTTGGATGCCACATAAGTAGACACATGTTGTTTCCTCATTGAAGGGAACACAAAGAGCAGTTTCTGGAACACATACCCCTCCCCACAAGCTAGGCTTGGCACCAGGGTGGCTTTCCTACGAAGACCACATCATAAAAGCTAATGGCTAAGGGAAAGGATTCAGCATGATGTAACAGGAGAAAACACACTTATCAGTACACTTAGGCTGCCAGATGCTGGCTGAAAGCCAGGACCCAGGGCCAGCTGCAGCAGGCTTTGTGCCTGAGAAACGCTAATAATAAAAAGAGGAGTGTCAGGGTGGCAAGGTGATGTTTTGAAATTAGGATTTAAATTTCAAAACAAAACAAAGGCAAAACAAAAATCCTCTTTCCACTGATGAGAAATCACCAAAAATCCCTATTTAAATGGTGCCATTTGAAATAAACTTATTTTGACATCTCCTATGCCCAGGCCATGGTTGAGACTAGTAACTTTCTGTATCAAGCAAAGAAATGCTCTACTTGGTTACACCTTAATCTCAGAAATGAAGTGAAAGTAAAAACCCAAGCCCTATTTGGGTGACACATGAAGAAGACAAGTGCAAAGGATGGAGCTGTTTCTGAGGTCAGCCATGCGTCAAGAAGTCAAGTACATGATTCTCAACTCCATCACCTGCCAATAGCCAGGAAGAGGAATATATGTCACCACAAGGAAAAAAACATTTCTAAAAAGAACTGTTATTGGAATTCCCTTCCAGAATCAATTTCCACATTCTACAAATATGGGATGAGTGTGCTCAATGTGCTTTGGAAGTAAAAAGAAGCCCATAGGGAAAAAACAGTATCTTTTGATGCTTGCTTCAAAGATTTCTCACAATATTGGCATCTTAGAATTCCCTACTGGCCCCCTAGTGACACCAGGGAAAGGGTTCCACAAGTATTTCTAAGCAGCTTCTGATTTCTGTAGGCACCTGAGCTTTGTAAAAGAAACAGAAAGTCAGACAGGTTTTAGGACTTCACCACATATGAAAAAAAAAAAAGAAAAGAAAAAAGGTAGAAGAAAAAAGCAGCCTGTAAGTGAATGGAAAAGGCAGTTTCCAAGTACCATGTTCTAAGGGAAGAAAGAGGAGAATAAATATGTTTTTTGGCAACTTGCCACCAAATATGATTGATTGTCAGAAATTTCCACAATCAGACACAAAATGTTTTCTGAGACACACAAGAAGCACTCCAAAGACCAATGGACACTACTAGGCGGTCAGATGTTGGCTGCATAAACATTATTTCACAATGACCCGGCACACAAATGTGGAATAAAATCCTTTGTTGGGTAACTTTCCTCAGCCATAAAAGGCAAGAGGGGGCCAGGCACTGGCATTTCTGCAGAGCTGTCACAGGTCCTCTGTGGTTTTAAGAGAAGGGGAAAAACAGTTACTTTTACCCCGACAGCACCTGAAGCATGAGAGTCTAAAACCCTCCACCTTTGCAACTTACATATGCCCTTTCATTTTTTAACTCCAAGAAGGCCACATAAAGATTTACAGGGGGCTCTTCAGTTTCTTTTGGGAAGTTACTGATGTTAGTCTATTCTCTAACTTCTTGGTCTAGTTACCAGCAAGGTAGAAAAAGGCAGCCCAGCCCCTGTTAAAACACAGCAACAACTTTATCTGAACCAGGATGGAAATCTCTCCCTTTTTTTGTCAACAGAGTTGGCTATATAATATATATATATATATTTATATATAATTTTTTTTCTTAATGGAGATTTGATCCCAGCCTGGAGTGACTTCGGTTGGGAATTAAAGAGTTTTGGCTTCTGGGAGTAATTTTGTTTTCCCAATTCTCAGTCCAAATGCTTACACACTGGAAAATTCCAAATTAAAAGCCACAGAAAAGGAAAGGGGTTTAGAACACATTATCTCTTTGCTCGTACAAAGTACAAGGCGTTTGTTTTTGGATAGTACTTCACATTCTGTTTCTTGTCCATGAGTCCTCCAAATATGATGAGTTCACCCCTGCCTTGTACCACGGTATGCAGGCTGGTTTCAGGAGGTCCAACCACAGAACTGCTATTAAATACTTTCCATTTGACCCGCCCCTTCTCCTTGGTGTCTTTAATGTCCAGCACGTACATCTGCATGGGCTTGCAGTTCATACTCTGGTATAGGGGTTTGCCAACATTTAGGGACTGTGGAGGGTGGTGGCCCAGGCGGCGAGCAATGGGAGGTAAGGAATGTCCATCTCCTTGGGCAGGCCCTGGGCGAGGGATGGGCACTGTTTCTCCACTGCTCAAACTCTGGCTCCCAGGAGAGCCTGGAGAAGACCCAAGAGGAGGACTTAGTGCTGCAGAGGCCGAGGGGCCTTTGGAGGACATCGCTTTGATGGCTTCCAGACTCCGACGCAGGGCACCTGGGGAGACGGCCCCTGCAAGGGCACTGGCCACGTGAGGTGGGGTATGCACACCATTTGTCTGTTCAGGAGGGTGTCTCATACTTCCCCCAACTGTCCTATTGTCCATGCCATCCATGGGATTACTACTGGAAGCGGGTTTCAGATCCCAATTCAGATCTATGGATCCTAATCTCAGATCTTTCTGATCTGGTAGTGATCCTCGTCGGGGGGCCAAAGAAAGTCCTATTTTCAGGTCGTATCCTTCAGGAGCAGATGGAGTACTTGGAGATATGGCCTGTACAGGACTGTCCAAAGAAGAGCCACCCACAGCTGCCGTTCCTGGAGACAAACTCCCACCATTGAGGATAGGAGAGCCGTCTCCTCTGGCTGGGGAAAGGCTCCCTTCCCGGGAACCTGAAGGAGTCTGCCTTTGAGCCCTGGGTCTCAGTGTTCCCCAGCGGCCGTTAACACAAGGAGCTTCATCCATGCTTCTTACTGGAGACTGAGAGCGGTACTCTCGGGTTTCAGGAACGAGAGCTGGAGGAGTGGCACTGATAGGTGATGGGCGAGAGTTCAAACTGGGGCTGAGTGGGGCTCTCCCACTAGGAGCCTGGCTGAAGACCACCACACACTGTCCCACCTGGAAGACAAAGGACCAGTGCTCACACTCTTCTATGATTCTGATTGTTCATTCAACTGTCAAACATTTTATCATGAGCATCTGTCATGTGCCAGACATTTTGTAGGTACCTGAGATATGAAGATGAAAATGATGTAGTCTGCCCTCTAGGCTAGAAGTCAGACATGGGAACAATCGCTGCTTTGTGTGACATATGCTATCATTAGAGATATGTATACAGAAGGGGTGGGGAGAAGGGAACAATCAATTTTTGTTAGAAGGAGAAGGGAAAGTTTCACAGACAAACAGATGCTTAAAGTTGGGACTTACTGAATGAGTAGGGCCCCTGTAAGTTTTCCCATTTAGTGAGAAATGCCAAAGGAGCTATGGCTAATGTTCACCTCTTTTGTGACACCAAGGTGTTTTCTATTTTTGTACAAATTTCTTTGTAACCTGACAAAGTAATGTGGTTTTCCACAATTTAGGACCTGTCCTCCTGCTAGCCTGTCAGCTCCCTGCTTACCCGGCAAGCTGGATGGCACCACAGTTCTGGGGCCCCATGCTCTTCATTTTCTACCTTGAGTGGCTGCCAGGCCCAAGGACCAGAATGCATGTGCAACAACCAAGCATCCTTGAATAGCTGTAAGAGAAAAAACCAATAACAAGACTCAGGTGTGATATGCGTTCCAAAACACACACACACAGAGTTGCAGTCTCAAAGCTCTCCTGTCTGGTCTTGAAAGGATGTGGACTCTTCAGAAGGATAGCAAAATCCTCAGTTAATTATTCAGTTGTGCATGCATCCACTTACGCTTTCATTCATTCATATATTACCACTGGCTTAGCACATGGAATTGTGCTTGTGACCCATGAATCAACTGAGTGGTTTTGACACTTGCCCATAATTTTATGTGTATGTATTGGGGATTGAAGGAGAGGATAAATAATACATATCCACAACTTTCTGAATCTGCTTTCTTAAATACTGTGTGAACTCTGACAGTTATCAACCTGCTTTTTTGTTCCACTGCCCTCTCCCCTTTGAAAATATGATAGCAGTAAACTTTATAGCCTAAAAAGGAAATAGGAATGGGAAGAATATAGATATGAATATTCAAGAGACAAATATCTATGATTAAAAGGATCCCCCCACAACCCTAAAAAAAAGCAGAAACAAAGGCCAGAAAATACAAAGGCTATACCCAAAAAGCATTCCTTAAATTAAAATGCCATGGAAATAGTCTTGTATACTCCTAGAAAAGAAGACAGGGGAAACAGGTTTTGAACACTTAGTAGCATGCACATGGGAATGCCACAGAAGCAATACTCACAGCATTGGGACCGCCACACCCTCCGAGGATTAAGATAGTTGCATCATCTATGACAATCTGAGGAGGGGAAGACATTGAAAATAAACCTACAAAGACACAGGTTTCTGACTTTCTATGCTTCACTGGTATATGAGAATAGCCTACCTAGCTCCCAAATGGGAATATTCTAGTTACCATAACCTCTCCATTCTCCTAAAAACATATCAATTCTGATCCCTGTGAATAAATTACTGATAATTCACCTGAAAGGATACATTCTTTGTTGATCAAATATTAACATGAATGTCAACCACATAAAATGCAGGATTCTCTTGAGAAATGACACAGCAAAGTAAATGCTTTGGGGAGGAGCATAATATAAAACCACTATAAATAATATGACCCATTAGAAGTTGAAAAATAAATACCAGTAAAAAAGAATGATACATTTTCTTTGGCTTAGTGCATATTGGCATCTTACCTGACTCCCTCCTCCCTCTCCCGTCCTAACTGAAAGACGCTACAGTGTTTGCTGAATAGTTATTTTAATTCCTGAGCACCTGAGATTGGCCACCTCGAGGATGAGGACTGGGGCCAGAGATGTTCGGCTTGGACCACGCCCACTGCTCAAGGTCAAGGACCCAGACATCATTGCTCCTGTGAATTAAGGACAGAAGGATAAAGGTAGTTAGGAGCTCCCAGGGACCATAATGGTGGCTGGGGAGTTCCACATGCCTGTGGCCCATCTGGCAAACTTGCACCATTTTCACTTTCACAGACTGTGTGGGCTGGAGCAGGTTTTAGAGATGCCCTACTCAGAGTTCAGGGGCTTCTGAACCAGAAAGAGACCATGTTGCTGAATCCCAGCTCTGTAGCCTGAACAAGTCACTTAATTTTCTCTAACTCTGACTTTATCTCTAAAATGAAAATACTGTTACTACTGTCTGAGGAGCTGATATAAAATGAAGGGACCTTTATAAAGATGCGCAGCAAAGTGTTATGCTCCTACTTAGCACTTAGGCTGTATCTTTCTTCCCCTACTTTCCCTAGAAGTCATCCTGAGACCCTCCCTCTGCTCTTTCCACGAGGCCTCATCTGAGCCACGTCTGCGGCCAGACACTAGTGCCTAATGAGATTATTTTTTTAACCATCTATTAACTGAAGTAAAAGCAGATGATTAAAAAATAGTTAATTGGTGACAGCAGGAAATAGACACTGGTTAAGCTACAGTTTTCAAAAGCAAAAACCACAAAGAAGAGAAAAAACGATTCAAAAGGCAGCTTCATCATTGTCCAGGAGTTAAAAGCTTTATCGATTCTGGCTACAAAAAGTAATTGCACAATGACTAATGAAAGCTGCAGTTTTATCAAGGACAGACTGGCATCTCTAACCCTCAAGGGACCAACATGACGAGGACAGACTCCTGGATGGCAGTCTCTCTTTCATGGTCACTTAAGGTCATTGATTCACCCACAAAAATACAGGAATAATAGTTCCAATATCTGAAATCCTAAACTCTCTCATTGGGAGAGTAGCTCCTATAATCTCTCTCCATAACTGTTTTAAAATATGAAGATGGAAATGCCCTAAGGGAGGACAGGTGTGGGATGGTCTTGCTGCTGACAGCTCATCAACTTCCACTTCAGAGCACAGGGGGAATGACCACAACTGCTGCTACCGCTGAATCAGACAGTGATACAGATGGAATGCTCTGGCTCCTGACTATGGCTTGAGCTGTCCAGTATGGCCAGAAGTGGACAGGACAGGAGGTAGGGACAATGACCTCACAGAAATGTCATGCCTGACACAGTTTTCCTGTTCCTACCCATTCCACAACCCATCCCATTTGTTTTTTTCTTTTCTTTCCTTCTTTCTTTCTTTTCATGCCCTTTACATGTGGCTCAACCAACCTATCACATTTGGAGGGCCCACCATTTCCACTTGTCCTGTCAATCTCCCCCTCTTCTCCTCTAAAGCCCAAAAGGGCAAGAGCTGGGTAATAAAGTAGAATAAGTAAAAGCATTCTGTTCTCGAAAGTTGGCCTTCTGCAGGCACAGCACAGCAGGCAAGGTGGAGGTTCCATCAGAATTTGATCCTACTGAATAGAACCATATGTCAAAGAGATTCTATATAACTATGATTTTATAGAGCAAATTTTTCAATTTATTGGTCTGTGATTAAGGGATTAAAGAACAGAATGCTAGGATGAGATAACTAATTGGATTAATTAGAGCCATGCTCAGGAATACTGACCCTAACTTACTTTTTTTTTTTTTTTCCTTAAGAGTCTCGATCTGTTGCCCAGGCTGGAATGCAATGGGGTGATCTTGGCTCACTGCAATCGCCACTTCCCAGGTTCAAGCGATTCTCCTGCCTTAGTCTCCCAAGTAACTGGGACTACAGGTGTGTGCCACCATGCCCGGCTAATTTTTGTATTTTTAGTAGAGATGGGGCTTCGCCATGTTCGCCATGCTGGTCACAAACTCCTGACCTCAGGTGATCCACCCACCTTGGCCTCCCAAAATGCTGGGATTACAGGTGTGAATTAGGCACCTGGTCCCTAATTCACTTTTAAACCTGTTATTCCCAGGAGTATTTACCTTCAGGCTCATATGGAGCAAACCAAATGTACTTACATTTGCCGGGATCCTAAAGAGCCACCAAAGACAATCATTTTATCATCTATCACACAGGAGGAGTGGCCAGCCATGGGAGGTGGCCCATGGGTTGTCACAATGCAGTTCCACCTAATGTAAAAAGACAGGAGGAAGTCAAGAAGTCAGCACCACACACTTTATGTAAAAATAGTAAGTAGGCATCCATTTAAAATGATAATCCTATCACTTTCAGCAGAGATTTGTTGGGATAATAAGTAGAGGATGGCATAATGTATTTATGCCTTTCCTACAAGTTTGCTTAAAGTTATCTTCTTTCAAGTTCTGAATGTAAACGGTCTGGAGGGAGAGAGATGAGAAAACGATGACAAGAGACAAGATCATGGCTTCTTTGGCCTGGTTTGCTGACAAAGCACCACCTGCCACCTGCTACCTTTCCCTATGGTCCTGATCAGTAACAGCTAACAAGCGCCACGTACTAAGTCTTCCATTACAAGAAACGGCGGTTGCTGTCATTAAGAGATATATGTTTGAAAAACAATTCAGAGTAAGTCTTGGAGACACAGTTAGGAGTAAGGAATCATCTGGATCTACAACACTCCTGGAGTGTTAGCAGCCAAAGCTGAAGAGCTCGCTGTTCTTCAACTGGCTCATTCATTTTTCTTGAAAGAGGAATAAATCTCTTCTATTTTTTCTCTTTAGAATAAGGATTCTAAATGCAGGGTTCTAAGAGAGTCCTGTAAACTCTCTGAAACTGTTGGTAAAATCTGTGAATATGTGCATTTTTCCCCTCCTGGGAAAAGAGTCCACAGCTTTCCATCTAATTCTCAAAGGGACTCTTGACACAAAAAAACAAAGAATCCACTGATTTAAGGCCTTTTCTTCCAGATTTAAAGAGTTTATCTTTGTGACTTACCAATTTTTAGAGGGTGAGTAAGTGTGTATTTCATCAAAGAATCTCTCTGGCTGGTGTAGGGGATAAGGGCTTGGCCGCGTCCAGCCACCAAACAGCACTAGCAAGTCCTTGTACACGACCAGAGTTGCTCCAGCTTTGGGGGAAGGATAGGACCCTAGGGAAAGTCAGTAACACCATGGTTAGCATTCAGGATCTCACAACAATCCGTAGTTAGGCTATCCATAGATCACCTTTCCCTGGAAGAGCAACAAAAGGGGAACTAATACTACAAAGTGTAGAGGAAAGGTGGAAAGAAAACTGGGTTTGAGTCTGAGAGAAAATCATCACTAATTCACACGTCTTTTATTATTAACAGAGAAATATGAGTTAGAGAAAAGTTACTTAGCCTCTCTCATGTTTATAATTTGCTCACCTAAAATTAGGGATGAGAGTACCTATCTCATAAGGCTGTTTTGAGTATTAAATAGTATATTCAAAGCACCTAACATAATGCCTGGCACATAGAAAGTGCTCAACAAATGAGCACCCCTTCCCATCCCTTTAACAAACTTAACAGAGGTCACAAAGAAAAGAAAGAATGTAGAGGACCAGGGAGAAGTATACATAGAGGCTGGATGTCTGGATGCAACTTAAAAATAACTCGTTACAAAACACAGGTAAGAAAAGGAGGCAGGAGGCAGTTCTTATTTGTCCCGTGAGTCAAATTTTAACATAGGGACCTCCAGGCCCCTAGCTATGGGCTTCACATAACCAGATAGCCTCAGCCTAGCACAAATGGGGCAGACCTTCAAGGATTGGTGTGAAGGAATTCCAGTGAAACCATAAGTCTTACACCAAACACCATCTAGACTGGACCTCTGGGCTACACTGACCAAATTCTGAAAAAAAACACTTTGGCTTATGCTGGAAAACTTTAGAGATAACAAATGTCTTACAGGAGCATAATTTTTCAAAATCTATTGTCTTTGAAATAACAATTGCTATTTTTCCCCATCCCTCACTCTACATGTCACCTTTAGTTTCCTCAAGACCAAAGTAACTTGTCCCAATATCCAGGTGTCAGTAAATACCAGAATACTTTTTTTTTCCTTTGGAGGTGGAGTCTCGCTTTGTCACCCAGGCTGGAGTGCAATGATGCAATCTCGGCTCACTGCAACCTCCACCTCCTGGGTTCAAGTGATTTTCCTGCCTTAGCCTCCTGAGTAGCTGGGATTACAGGCATCTGCCATCATGCCCAGCTAATTGTTGCATTTTTAGTTGAGATGGGGTTTCACCATGTTGGCCAGGCTGGTCTCAAACTCCTGACCTCAGGTGATCTACCCGCTTTGGCCTCCCAAAGTGCTGGGATTACAGGCGTGAGCCACCATGCCTCGCTGAGAATACTTTTTTTTTTAAAATCTTTTTTTTTTCTTTTTGGTTAAAGCTGCAGGACTCATTTTTCAAAGGATATCTTAAGCAGAAGAAATCCCAACACTACATTAACCTGACAGCAGTCGAGATGCTCCAATCTAGGTGGAGAGCTTTGCTTCCTCTTTCAGTAGCACATTACAGAACACTGTTTGAAAAGCCCTGCTCAGACTGCTTTAATGGTGTCACTTACAAAGTCTCAAGGTTGAGAAGGTAGAGCAGAGGACTGTCTTTCTTGTGATCTCACTTAGGGGAACAATACGATTTACTGAGAAGGCATCAGTCCTGAAGAGTACAGGGTGAGCATCTAAGAACACCATGTGGCATCAGCTATTTTTCATTTCTTCTTCCTTTTTTTTTTTTTGAGACAGGGTCTTGCTGTTGCCCAGGCTGGAGTGCAGTGGCACAATTACGGCTCACTGCAGCCTCAACCTCCTGGGCTCAAGGGATCCTCCCACTTTAACCTCCCAAATAGCTAGGAATACAGGCAAGCACCACCATGCCCGACTAATTTTTAAATTTTTTGTAGTGATGGGGACTCCCTGCATTGCCCAGACTGGTCTCGAACTCATGGGTTCAAGCAATCCTGCCGCCTTGGCCTTTCGAAGTGTTAGGATTACAGGTGTAAGCCACTGTGCCTGTCCGTGTCAACTATTTTGAATACTTTCATAAATAAAACCAACACTAATCCAGACCACAGGAACTGACTGTAGAAATGAGTCTTTATTTATTTATTAATCTTGAGACAGGGTCTAGCTTTGTCACCCAGGCTAGAGTGCAGTGATGCGATCATGGCTCACTGCAGCCTCGACTTCCTCAGGCTGAAGCAATCCTCTTGCTTCAGCCTCTCGAGTAGCAGAGGCTACAGGCATGTAATACCATATCCAGCTAATTTTTAAAATTTTTTTGTTGTGATCAGGTCTTGCTATGTTGCTCAGGCTGGCCACGAACTCCTGGCCTCAAGCGATCCTCCCGCCTCAGCCTCCCAAAGTGCTGGGATTATAGGCATTACCCACCTCACCCAGTCAGAAATCTTCTCTAGGAAGAGTTATCACATCAATCTGAAGTGCTGAGGTATTCTCTACCCTCAAATCCCACAAGAATAGTGATTAAAGAGGCTGTTGTCTTTCATATAGCCTTACTGTTCCTGGTCAAAAACATTTACCTCCCCAAGGGGATCTATCTCCTAGCCCAATTAGAAAGCCTAAGTAATATAATGGTCTAGTTAAAACACAACTATTGCTCTAAAATAATTTAATTTGTGAAATACCAGACAAAGCTTCCAAGTTCTTGCCTCTAACTTGGAAATCATCAGTACTATGAAACAGTTAGAAAAAAGAAAAAACAAATAAACACATCACAGACTTCAGCAAAATAGTAATGTAAACTCTCTAGACTAGAATGTGGATTTGGATTTGAGATACTGGGCTTAAAGAAATTATAAATGCAGTATAAGAATATATACCTCTTGCCAGGCGCAGTGGCTCACACCTGTAATCCCAGCACTTTGGGAAGCCAAGGCAGGCAGATCACTTAAGGTCAGGAGTTTCAGACCAGTCTGGCCAACATGGTGAGATCCTGTCTCTATTAAAAATATTAAAAAATTAGCCAGGCATGGTAGCCCACGCCTGTAATTCCAGCTACTCAGGAGGCTGAGGCACAAGAATTGCTTGAAACTAGGAGGTGGAGGTTGCAGTGAGCCGAGATTGAGCCACTGCACTCTGGCCTGAGTGAAAGAGCAAGACTCTGTCTCAAAAAAAAAAAAAAAGAAAGAAAGAAAAAAAAGAAAGAAAGAATATATACCTTTTAAGGTGGGACATATTCATAGAATTTTTAAAAGTATTCATAAAACATGGCATACATAATGTAAGTAGAGGAAAGACTACACTTTAGATCTGTACTGCCCAACAAAGTCACCACTGGCCACATGTTGCCCGTGGTTATCAAACTGAAGAGCACAGATGTAGGACATTTCTATCATTGCAGAAAGTTCTATTTAATAGCGGTATTTTAGAAAAAGGTTTTAACTTTGTCAACAGTGTGCCTATGCTTGGGGATTACGGGAAAGTAGCAGGGATAGATGAATAACTTAACTCCAAGAGAAATGACAATTATTGTTACTATAACTCTTACTACTGCTACTGATGGTAATGACTAATATTTATTGAGCATCTACATCTATTATGTACTATGCAGCTTTTTTTTTTTTTTTTTGAGACAGAATCTCACTCTGTCACCCAGGCTGGAGTGTAATGGCACGATCTCGGCTCACTGCAACCTCTGCCTCCCAGGTTCAAATTATTCTCCTGTCTCAGCCTCCCAAGTAGCTGGGATTACAGGCGTATACTGCCACGCCCGGCTAATTTTTTGTATTTTAGTAGAGACGGGGTTTCACCATGTTGCCCAGGCTGGTCTCAAACTCCTGAGCTCAGGCAATCCACTGGCCTCAGCCTCCCAAAGTGCTAGGATTACAGGTGTGAGCCACCGCGCCTGGCCCAATTACTATGCAGCTTTTTAAGTGCTTTGCATGTATTAATTAATTTAATCCTTCTAAAATTCCTAGTTTTATTCCTATTTTACAGATAAGAAACCTGAGGGCACAACTCTTTAAATAACTTGTCCAAGGTCGTAGAACTAATAAGTGAAGAGCCAGGATTCTAATCCATTTATTCTGGATTTTAATTTTTAATTTTATTTTTTTGAGATGAGGTCTCACTCTGGCACCCAGGCTGGAGTGCAGTGGTGTGACTGATCATGGCTCACTGCACTTCTGACCTCCTGGGTGCAAGGGATCTTTCTACCTCAGCCTCCTAAGCAGCTAGGACTACAGTCACAGGCCACTACATCCAGCTAATTTTTTTCTTTTTTTGGGTAGAGATGGGGGTCTCTCTGTGTTGCCCAGACTGGTCTTAAACTCCTGGCCTCAAGTGATTCTCCCACCTCTGCCACCTCCCAAAGTGCTGGAATTACAGGCATGAGCCACCTCACCTTAAAAGAATGAGCTTTAAAGTCAGAATATATCATGCTGCACTTCATGCATACAGATACATTCCTTCTGAATAGTTGCCACAAACAAGTCTGATGCCTTAAAAGGTCTAGTGTTTCAAAGCTGAAGAAGTTCTTTCTTCAATCTTAATCCGGTAAAGCCAAAGACCTAGTCAGAGAGAAGTAAATTAAACAGAAGGCTATTCTTAGAACCTCTTTTTCTCTACAAGGCTCTGGGACACACTCCACCTCTAATATAGGACCATTTACTTATTCTCCGAACTCTCCAAGGAAAGGTAAGCTGAGGCCAGTGATAATGATAAATCAATATAAGAGATCCTCTAGGATTATCTTAGGTAAGGGCTTTCCAAAACGACGTCTCAGATATCTTGACCTTTTAGAAAGGCAAAATCTTTCCCTCTACTTTTTATCTCATGAAGTTGGAGAACTCCTCCATCTAGAATTTATCTCCATGGCCTATTTTATGTCACAAAGTAGGAGCATCTTAAATAGCTCAACTTAATTTCAGCATCTTAATTATCTCAACTAAGTAGGGGAAAGTTAAATCAATTGTATACCCCCACCTCAATTTGTGGGTGAACTGGAAAAAAACTTACCATACAAGAACAAATGAGGTGGCAGAGATCAACATACAGCTTTTATACAGTGAGTTCAGCAACCAGAAGTCAAGGATACAGGTATATCAATTTTTTTTTTTTGTTTTTGAGACGCGTCTCACTCTGTCGCTCAGGCTGGAGTGCAGTGGCGCGATCTCGGCTCACTGCAAGCTCCACCTCCCAGGTTCAAGGGATTCTCCTGCCTCAACCTCCTGAGTAGCTGGGACTACAGGCACCCCCCGCCATGCTCAAGCTAATTTTTTTTATTGTTGTATTTTTAGTAGAGGCAGGGTTTCACTGTGTTAGCCAGGATGGTCTCGATCTCCTGACCTTGTGATCCACCCGCCTTGGTCTCCCAAACTGCTGGGATTACAGGCGTGAGCCACCGCGCCTGGCCCAGGTATATCAAATTTTATGTGACCCTGAGTGCCCATATAATATTTGGCATATTTATTGCAAATTGGATACTTTTAAATTATTGCTACTTTAAGAATTGATATTGTGAAGCCTTTATAAAGAACTCCTACTTCCATTATTTCTAAAAATCTACATATTTCATATATATGTGTGTGTGTATATGTATATATATTTTAAGATGGGGTCTTGCTATGCTGCCCAGTCTGGTCTTTAACTCCTGAGCTCAAGCATTCCTCTTGCCTCAGCCTCCTGAGTAGCTTGGACTACAGGAGTATACCAAAATGCCTGGCTCATATTTCATACTTTGAATTTGTTTAAAGCAGATGGTCCTTAATTCCCTCTCGATGATCTTAAAGCAAAATCTATAAATCAAATGAATTTATGGTGAGATCACATGGGGTGTGGTGGCTCAAGCCTGTAATCCTAGCACTTTGGGAGGTCAAGGCGGGTGGATCACTTGAGGCCAGGCGTTTGAAACCAGCCTGGGCAACATGGCAAAACCATGTCTCTACTAAAAATACAAAAATTAGCCAGGTGTGGTGGCATGTGCCTGTGGTCCCAGGTTCAAGAATCGCTTGAACCTGGGAGGTGGAGGTTGCAGTGAGCCCAGACCGTGCACCAGTACACATGGGGTGGTCAGAGATTACGCGGATCCATCAATTTTGGCAATTTCTTTTTCTTTTTGAGACAGGGTCTCACTCCGGTTGCCCAGGCTAGAGTCTGGAGTGCAGTGGCGTAATCGATCTCAGCTCACTGCAACTCCGACTTCTCAAGCTCAGGTGATTCTCACACCTCAGCCTCCCAAGTAGCTGGGACTACAGGCACGTGCCACCACGGCAGGCTAGTTTTTTGTAATTTTAGTAGAGACAGCATTTCACCATGTTGTGTAGGCTCGTCTCAAACTCCTGGATTCAAGCAATCTGCCCGCCTCGGCCTCCCAAAGTGCTAGGATTACAGGCGTGAGCCACAACTTTGGTAATTTCTATATCAAAGAATAACATTCTCTTTAGCCAAAGTGGAGTTCTGGAAAACAAACAATAAGTCTCTACTAGAATTTCAAGAAAAACAAGAAAAGCCATATTCAAATTACATAACTTTATTCATTTTTTTTTAAGTTCCAGGAAAAGCAAGCCATTTAAAGAGTGCCTAAGCCAGGCGCGGTGGCTCATCCCTGTAATCCCAGCACTTTGGGAGGCTGAGGCGGGCGGATCACGAGGTCAGGAGATCGAGACCATCCTGGCTAACATGGTGAAAAATACAAAAAATTAGCTTGGGTGTGGTGGCAGGTGCCTTGTAGTCCCAGCTACTCAGGAGGCTGAGGCAGGAGAATGGCGTGAACCCGCCAAGCTTGCATTGAGCCAAGATCACGTCACTGCACTCCAGCCTGGGTGGCAGAGCGAGACTCCATCAGAAAAAAGAGTACCTACAAACTTTCTTTAAAAGCACACGGCCGGCCAGGCGTGGTGGATCACCTGAGGTCAGAAGTTCGAGACCAGCCTGACCAACATGGTGAAGCCCCGTCTCTACTAAAAATACAAAAAATTAGCCCGGCATGGTGGTGCACACCTGTAATCCCAGCTTCTTGTGAGGCTGAGGCAGGAGAAACGCTTGAACCCGGGAGGCAGAGGTTGCAGTGAGCCAAGATCGCACCGTTGCACTCCAGCCTGGGCAACAAGAGCGAAACTCCGTCTCAAGGAAAAAAACAAAAAAAAACCGAAAAACCAAAAAACAAAACAAAACAAAACAAAAACAAAAAACCCACGGCCATACATTAACTTTTTTTTTTTTTTTTTTTGGAGGCAGAGTTTCACTCTTTTCGCCCAGGCTGGAGTGCGATGGCACAATCTTGGCTCGCTGCAACTTCCACCTCCCAGGTTCAAGCGATTCTCCTGGCTCAGCCTCCCGAGTAGCTGGGATTAGAGGTGTGTGCTACCACACTTGGCTAATTTTTGTATTATTAGTAGAGACGAGGTTTCACCATGTTGGCCAGGCTGGTCTCGAACTCCTGGCCTCAGGTGATCCACCTGCCTCAGCCTCCCAAAGTGCAGGGATTACAGGCATGAGCCACCATGCCAGGCCAACAATAATTTTTATATGGAGTAGCCGTAGATAAAATGTCAAGTAATGACTTTGAAGAACTGCCCGAATGTGCATGTAATTCATTCCAAACAGCAGCTACAGTTATAGCACATAGGTTTAATACATTTTTATTAAAACACACATATCTTCCACACTAGCACCTGAGTAACTGGAAATCTTGAACAACATGGAGTACTCTCGGAATAGCTGATATTCGATAGTTAAAAAGGCACATAACCACTATGGTGACATATGATGAAATAAATACTGCTCCTGCAAGAACACTTATAAAATGAAGGTTTTATACTCATTAGGACATTTCCTGGCCTGCCTTCAAAATAACAAAGCCACTGGGCTTCTAAATTCAGTCTAAGTGCCATTACTGCACAAAAGTGAAGAAAGGAAGGGTGTCATTCCCATTGAGTTCCCATCAAGCACGACAGGACCAAATGTGCCCACATCAAGCGTAGATGAACATGTTACTTGAGCCTCTTCCCCTAGAGCCCTCTTCCCCTAGAGCCAGGAGTCACCCTCATGGGCTTCATTCCCCAAACACATCAAAGGCCTCCTAAATCGCACAGCAGATATGATCAATGGAACAAATTTCAAAACAAGGCACAAGCCCAAAAGGCAGCTGTGGCAAACTGAATAATCAGATAGACACCCTATACAACAGAACTAACATTCCCTAAAACTGCTAATAGGTTCAGCTGTTTCCCAAGGTTCCTATGAAATCAGAATAAAATTTCACATATGATGGTGGTATAATTACACGGCATTCTTGTTTACGTTTGCAAAGAAGCTGGTTAAACAGTGAAGCAGTTCCAAATCCTAGTTTGATTTCTATGCCACTTTCCCACAATTGTAGTGTCTATTTACACAGAACCCAGGACTACATAGAGCAGCTCAACTATTTGATAACAAGATAAAACAATCACCTGTTTTAATTGGGGATGCCTGTATTTTATGCACGATTTAAAAATGTATGTATATATTTTTTGAGACGGAGTTTCGCTCTTGTTGCCCAGGCTGGAGTGAAATGGCGCAATCTCGGCTCACCGCAGCCTCTGCCTCCCAGTTTCAACGGATTCTCCTGCCTCAGCCTCCCGAGTAGCTGGGATTACAGGCATGCACCACCAAGTGGCTAATTTTGTATTTTTAGTAAAGATGGGGTTTCTCCATGTTGGTCAGGCTGGTCTCGAACTCCCAACCTCAGGTGGTCCTCCCGTCTTGGCCCCCCAAAGTGCTGGGATTACAGGCATGAGCTACCGTGCCCGGCCTAAAAAATATTTTTATATCTCCATGCTATTATCATTTTTTAGTATTAGTTTATTGTTAAGGAGTTATAAATAATACTGTTTGATGGCCTATTATGTGCTAACTACTGAGTGCTACAAATTTTATATTTATTATCTAATTTAATCATTATAACCTTAAAATGCAGGTATTACTAGCCTCATTTTACAGATGAATAATGGTAGGTGAAGCTAATGCATAATGCTTACACTGAGCTAGACACTGTTCTAGGTACCTCTTGAAAACTAAAAAAGAAAAAAAAAAAGGCAAATTCCATGTTCTGAGTAATCAAGAAATCCAACCTAAAGGGTTATTTAATGAAAGAAGAGTTAATCCCTTGTCCTTGGAAGTTTAGGTTCAGATAAGTCCCTATTAAAAAAAAAAAAAAAGACATTTCAAGGCCTCCTAAAGGAGCTCTATATGGCTCACAAAGCCTTTTGGTCCCTGATCTGCATACTACACAGTTGGCTCTGAGTACAGGTGTCTTAGGCAATAATAGCCAAATGTCACAAGATGAGAAGCAGGTATATAATCCTACCATTTTCTCAATATCACTTACATTCTCAACAAATAGAACTGTTACTCTAGTCTTACACACTTCAGACTTTTGGGGAGAAACTGACTTATTTATTTTTATTTCCTTAAGAAAATGAAAGTGCTTTAAAACACTTTCAAATAAAATAATCAAACAAGATAGAACTTTTGAAAGAAAAAGTCAGAACCCTTTCTACCCCACGGAAAATGGCTATTTTCATGGCTGTTTTCAAAGTATAGTTTTTTTTAAAAAAAATAGAAACATCTCTTTCATACATATATAGAGTAAACATGTGTTAGGATATATTTAACTTATTAATAAGGGAGCAAGCAGGAAGTAATGCTAATTCAAAGGAGAATTTGAGGAAAAGAGCCATGCTAAAATAAGTTTGCTAACAGCTAGGCACAGTGGCATGTACCTGTAGTCCCCAGCTACTCAGGAGACTGAGGCGGGAGGATGGCTTAACCTCCTGCCTTAAGATAGGTTAAGTCTCCCCATCTTAACCACTCTGTGCAGACTCGCTTTCTCAGAGTGGGTCCAATATAAAGCATTCACTTCCAACTCCAGCTCCACAGGCAGTATACCAGTCCTTCACACACAAAACTGGCCTTGAGGGCAAAGTAATGCCAGATAGACCAGTTAACTAAAACCCTACCCCACAGATGCTGTTTTTTGTTTTGTTTTGTGGTAGTGAGGAGCCTCAAACTGGCGTGTGTATGGGGGGTGGGAAGGATGGATTTTGCTGATAAAACCAAAGCTGGGTCTTGGAAAGCTCTGACTAAGCATCTGGCTTGATAAAGCTGTCATCATGGTATTGTGTGAAGTGACTGACCTCAACAGCAGGAGTTCAGAGATCAGGATAATTTGGACAGATATTTCCCAGAATACCATATTACCATCATAATCAGAAAACCTAGAGGGCACTGGAGGATAGCGTGGCACATATAACTTTGAAGGAAACAGATTCCTTAAAGAAAAACTGCTGGTGTTATAATTTAACTGCTTACTCAAAACTATTTTGATTTTACAGGCAATACTTCGTAAGGGCAACAACAAAAGCATGTTTCATGGTTCTGTGGTGTGAGGAGGTAGGGATAAAAGGATAATTGAGAAAAACACTTCAAAATTCATGAGTATAAAGTCTGTCTTGACCATAAACACCTTGAAGACAACTATTTGGAATGGTCTCCAAAATACTGCAGCCCAAGGACCAAGGGGTTTCTATCTGGAACAGATACTAGTTTCTCTTCTGGTAATAAAAATATTTCCAACTTAACATCAATGTGGCCAATAATAATTACAAGTCATTGCATTTATATAAATGCCCATGAAGATACAAGTACATAATGCTTTAAAGAAAGAAATAGGAAGTAAATACAAAGTTACAGAACCTCTAAACTCCTGCTTCCTAAGACTTGGTTCTACCCAGGAGTGCTCTTTAATTGCAGTTCTAATCAGGGGTGTTGAAATTATCCATTTAGATTCTCCCCAGTAAGACTACACTATCCTAGAAGACAGGGACTATTTCTTATGAAAATGTTTGTTGAATTGAAGCCATCCACGGAAGCCAAATGGTTATAGATCTCTCAGGAGCTGAGATCAGGGTCGGCTCCAGCTACTTATAACATACCCTAGAGGCATCAGCCCACCTTTGGGTGGGGTTAAAGCCAAACATTTTTTTGGGTCTCCCCCTCTACCCACTCCATTTTTTTCTTCCTATTTTACTCCTCAATTGTAAAAAGGCCAGAAAAGTTACTGATTGACATCAACATTCACTGGTATTAGACAAAACTTGTCTGGATCTCAGGATTCAGGGTATACATTATTATTACAACTATATCCACATCTTTAAAAACATCATTCTATGGGTCATTTATGAAATATCCAAATAACAGGAACTTTTGTAATGGGCATGAGAAACTTTTAGATCTTATCTAACTATGCCACAGGCATGAACTAAAGGAAATTCTCTATTGGCATTGTTTTCACTTCTTAACAAAACCATATGAAAGACCACTTGATGAATAGGGCAGCACTTATCAGCTAAAAATGAACAATACAAAAGCCAGTAATAGTTCCTTGTTACCATTTCAAGTAGTCTTTTGATTCAATTTCTGAGGGAGGAGAGGAGGTCCAAAGTCTCAGTTTAATCTGATAATTTGTTAATTGCAGTTCTAATGGGGGTGGGGGGCATAGGGGGTACTCTTTCAAGTAGGGACTTTAAGAAGTGAAAACAATGTTACCAGTCATAAAGTTTCTAGCCTGGTGTCAAAACAGAAAAATCCTTGTCAGCCCTGAGAGTGAGCCAAACTGAAATATGGTAAAATCTTACTTATTCTCTCCCTGGGAGGACTAAAAGTTACCCAGATCTGTCCTATACAAATTTTCCCACTCTTCTCTTTAGCAGGAGGTAATGTGTATACACCTTAGAAAAGCATGTATTCTGGAAAAATCCCAGGGTCTGAACTTTCTAAATAAACAAGAAGGATTTCTTCCTTTTCTAAGGGAACCTACTGGCTCTGCTTTCATTCACATGTCCTGAGACCATCACAGGTCCAGGTTGTTACAGGACTGCAAAGGGCTACAGGAAACAAGGAAGAACCACCACCTCATGAAGAAGGTTAACCAGGAATAGGTCCATGGGTCAGGGAGGAGCTAATATAATAACTTAAAATATTCCCTTAAATAACATCTTAACTCCTTCTTAATCAAAAGCACATCACTTTAATAAGAACAAAGAGGCCGGGCACAGCAGCTCACGCCTGTAATCCCAGCACTTTGGGAGGTCGAGGCAGGCAGATGACCTGAGGTCGAGAGTTCAAGATCAGCCTGACCAACATGGAGAAACCCCGTCTCTACTAAAAACGAACAAACAAACGAACAAAAAAACAAAATGAGCTGGGTGTGGTGGCACATGCCTGTAATCCCAGCTACTCGGGAGGCTGAGACAGGAGAATTACTTGAACCCGGGATTCTCCGGTCTCAGCCTCCCGAGTAGCTGGGACTACAGACACGCATCACCACACCCAGTTAATTTTTGTATTTTAGCAGAGATGGGAGTGTTTCACCATGTTGGCCAGGCTGGTCTCGAACTCCTGACCTCGTGATCCACCCACCTCGGCCTTCCAAAGTACTGGGATTACAGGCGTGAGCCACCGCACCTGGCTTTTTTTTTTTTTGTGACAGAGTCTCTGTCTCTGTCACCCAGACTGGAGTGCAGTGGTGCAATTTCAGCTCCTGGGTTCAAGCGATTCTCCTGCCTCAGCCTCCTAAGTAGCTGGGACTACAGGCACATGATATCATACCCGCCTAATTTTCTATATTTTTAGTAGAGATGAGGTTTTGTCATGCTGGCCAGGCTGGTCTCAAACTCTTGACCGTGGGTGATCTGCCTGCCTCGGCCTCCCAAAGTGCTGGGATTACAGGTATAAACCACCGAACCCAGACTTTTTTTTTTTTTTAAGAGAGTATCACTCTGTTCCCCAGGCCGGAGTGCAGTGGCACTATCTCAGTTCAAGCCATTCTCGTGCCTCAGCTTCCTGAGTAGCTGAAATTATACATGTGCCACCACATCTGGCTACTCATAATTTTTTGTTTATTTGAGACAGAGTTTCGCTCTTGTTGCCCAGGCTGGAGTGCAATGGCGTGATCTCGGCTCACTGTAACCTCCGCCTCCCAGGTTCAAGCGATTTTCCTGCCTCAGCCTCCCGAGTAGCTGGGATTACAGGCATGAGCCACCATGTCCAGCTAATTTTGTATTTTTAGTGGAGACGGGGTTTCTCCATGTTGGTCAGGCTGGTCTCAAACTCCCAATCTCAGGTGATCCGCCTACCTCGGCCTCCCAAAGTGCTGGTATTACAGGCATGAGCCACCATGCCTGGCCTATTCTTTATGTTTTCTTTGTTTTTTCTGTTTTGTTTTGTTTTGTTTTGTTTTTGAGATGGAGTTTCACTCTGTCACCCAAGCTGGAGTGCAGTGGCTCAATCTCACTGCAACCTCCGCCTCCCAGGCTCAAGTGATCTTCCCACATCAGCCTTCCAAGTAGATGGGACCACAGACATGCAAACCACAGCTGGCTAATTTTTTGTATTTTTGGTATAGACAGGGTTTCATCATGTTGCTTAGGTTCATCTGGAACTCCTGAGCTCAAGTGATCAGCCTGCCAAGGCCTCCCAAGGTGCTGGGATTACAGGTGTGAGCCACCACGCCCAGCCACTTTCTCTTCTTATAAAGCCACCAGTCCCCACTCCCAGTCTAACCCATTAATCCAGGAACGAATTAATCCATTCTGCTGTCATGACCCAAACACCTCTTAAAGACCCCACCTCTCAATACTGCTACACTGGGGATTAACTTTCAACACATGTTTCAGAGGGAACAAACATTCAAACCATGGCAAGCCCCATCACTTCCAGTGTCTCTGCTAGATGGAGTTAGGCAGCAGTAAATGGAGAAAACAATTTAATTAGGCCTAACAACTGGACGCTGAAGTACTTAGGATTTGTCCAGAAAATAATTCCCAAGGGAAGATTGGGGATGAATTCATAAATATAATCATGTCCCTTTCTTTTCATCATCCTTCACTTATTCACCAGAGCCTTCAAGATAAAGGCCAGGCCAGGTGCAGTGGCTCACGCCTGTAATCCCAGCACTTTGTGAGGCTGAGGTGGGAAGATTACTTGAGGCCAGGAATTCAAGACCAGCCTGAGCAATACAGAGAGACTCTGTCTCTCAAAAAAAAAAAAAAAAAAAAAAGAAAAGAAAAGAAAGAAGAAAAGATAAATTCCAAATCCCTTACTTACCATGAGATACACACACACACACACACACACACACACACACACACACACATATAAAATTCCATTCTTTGAGCAACTACTATGTGCCAGGTACTAGAGTCAGCAGTGACTAAAACAGACAAAAAGCCCTCAGCCCCAGGAAGCGTATAGCTTGCTGAGGGGAAGAAAGACAGTGTGACATATGGTGATAAGTGCCAAGGGGGGAAAAAAAAAACAAAACAAGAGGAAAAGGAGTCAGGGAAGTTGTCCTTTCAAACTGTAGTTAGGGAATGCCTCACAGAGGGAGACATATGAATAAAGACCTGTGAAGCAGGTAAAGGAGAGAGTCACAAGGACATGCAGGAAGAGTGTTCCAGGCAGAAATAGCAAGAGCAGAGGCCCAGGTGTGAGGCTAAAATACAGTGAGGGACAGGAATGCAGCAGGCAATGAGGTCAGAGAGATGAGGGGACAGGATGACTGTGCAGGACCTTGTTTGGCCATACTTTGATCCCTAACTACTGTGTGCGTGTGTGTGTTGGTGTGTGTGTGTGTGTGTGTGTGTGTGTGTGTGTGTGTGTGTGTTGGCATCTAACTCTGTTGCCCAGGCTGGAGTGCAGTGGCATGATCTCAGCTCACTGCAACCTTCGCCTCCTAGGTTCAAGCCACTCTCCTGCCTCAGCCTCCCAAGTAGCTGGGATTACAGGCGCCTGCCACCACACCTGGCTAATTTTTGTATTTTAAGTAGAGATGGGGTTTCACCATGTTGGCCAGGCTGGTCTCGAACTCCTGAACTCAGATGATCTGCCCACCTCAGCTTCCCAAAGTGCTGGGATTACATGCATGAGCCACCGCACCTGGCCCCTAACTACCTTTCTAATACCCACTTGTACCACTCTCCCCTCACATATCCTGGCTCAGGAACACCCAACCTATTTGTAAGTCCATGAACATGCCAAACTCTCTTACCTCCATCCACAGCCTTTTTTCAATGGCTATCCATAGCCCTCTTCATTTACCACATAAGTGTTTGGTTTTCTTCTGCTAGATGGAGAACCTCTTAGGATTAGGAACTCCTGTTACTTAGTACTATACCTGCATACCTAGCATAGTCATTGGATGCTCAATAGTCCTCTGTAGGCTGGGCGCAGTGGCTCACACTTGTAATCTCAGCCCTCTGGGAGGCTGAGGCGGGTGGATCACCTGAGGTCAGGAGTTCGAGACCAGCCTAGCCAACATGGTGAAACCCCGTTTCTACCAAAAAAAAAAAAAAGAAAACAATACAAAAATAGCTGGGCGTGGTGGTGCATGCCCATAGTCCCAGCTACTCGAGAGGCTAAGGCAGGAGAATTGCATGAATCTGGGAGGCGGAGGTTGCAGTGAGCCAAGATTGTGCCACTGCACTCCAGCCTGGGGGACAGAGCAAGACTCCGTCCCAAAAAAAAAAAAAAAAAAAAAGTCCTCTGTAGACTGAAATGATTAATGTCTAACAGCATGAAGTCTGGCCAGATGTCCACAGAGACGCAAACTATAAGGCTCACTGCAACTCTCTTTTTTTTGAGACAGAGTTTCGCTCTTGTTACCCAGGCTGGAGTGCAATGGCACGATCTTGGCTCACCGCAACTCCCGCCTCCCGGGTTCAAGCGATTCTTCTGCCTCAGCCTCCCGAGTAGCTGGGATTACAGGCATGCACCACCACGCCCAGCTAATTTTGTATTTTAAGTAGAGACCGGGTTTCACCATGTTAGTCAGGCTGGTTTCGAACTCCTGACCTCAAGTGATCCACCCGCCTTGGCCTCCCAAAGTGCTGGGATTACAGGCGTGAGCCACCGTGCCCGGTGGGTCACTGCAACTCTCTAATAGGTAAAGGCTTGGCTGAAGGAACAAGAGTATGCACAAAGGTAGAGGTGGAGAGAAGGGAAGATTATGCAGGATCTTGTCAGCCACACTTTGATCCCTAACTACCTTTCCTATCCCTGAGACCCAAGGTGGCAGCAAGTAGGATACTTTGGGTAAAAGGACATGTTAGTCATCGAAATTTGTGTACATAAAAATCCATAGCTTTTCCTGATGTTATAACTTCTAGCCTTTACACGAACAATGGCTAGCATTTGATGAATTCTTAGGAATATTTCATTTTCATGAAAGTATCAACCAGGGTCCCCAGAACAGGCAACTGCAAAAATAATCCTGTTGAATGGATGTAAAGTTCTTGTCTCGATTCTTTTTGTTTCTTTCAGATTCCCTAGAGACAAAGCCAGTTTGCCTGACCTCTCAACCAAAGAACCCTGACAACTTACTCCTTAGCTAGTATCTCCGTATATATAAAGATGTCAACTTCATCATCAGTTCCCAGAAACCCTCTCCAACTGAGTACTGTATTGTATGTAATATGAACAAAAACTATGAAAGGTAGGTATTACCATCTCTACCCTAAAGGTAAGGCAACTGGGGTTAAACAACCGGTAACCAGCAAGTGACAGGGCTCAAATGAAAAAGTATGCCTCCTGGCACAAAACCCATCATTTTTATGGTATTACTAACGAGCCTCCTTCCCTCCTACAATATCTTCCTCACATTACTTTAGGTCATTAGCCCCTAATAATTAGTATCTTTTATTATTAGCCAAGTGGTCTTTCCTCCCCAAACTTCTGTAATACTTAGTTATATCATCAGATCTTTCAGATGGAGCAGGACTAAGGAAATGGAGAGCTCTCTGGGATGCTTGCTATGTCTAAAATATCTCTTAAAGTTGACAAGTAGGAAATGAGTGCATATATCCACTGAAAAGTACAAACAATGTTGATGGCAGCTATATTCAAAGTAGAAACAGCCCAAGTATCCATCAACAGGAGAACAACTTAAAAAAAAAAAAAATGAGGGCCGGGCATGGTGGCTTATGCCTGTAATCGTAGCACTTTGGAGGCTGAGGTGGGCAGATCTCTTGAGCCTAGGAGTTCAAGACCAGCCTGGGCAACATGATGAAACCCTGTCTCAACAAAAATACAAAAATTAACCGGGTGTGGTGATGCACATCTGTAGTCCCAGCTACTTGGGAGGCTGAGGTGGGAGGATCACTTGAGCCCAAGAGGTAGAGGCTGCAGTGAGCCAAGATTGTGCCACTGCACACTCCAGCCTAGGCAACAGAACGAGACTCTGTCTCAAACAAGAAAAAAAGTGGGATATTCATATTAAGAAGCACTCATGGTAATGGAAGGGAATAAACTACTGACAGATGCAACCACATAGATGAATCTCAAAAACGTGTTCAAAGAAAGAAGCCAGACATAAAATACTACCTATCACAGACGTCCATTTACACGAAGTTCAAGAACACAGAACTATACTTTGGGAATCTGAGGCAGGAGGATTGTTTGAGACCAGGCATTCAAGACCAGGCTGGGAGACATAGCAGTACCCCATCTCTACAAAAACTAAATTAGTCAGGCATGGTGGTGTGCATCTGCAATCCCAGCTACTTGGGAGGCTGAGGCAGGAGGATTGCTTGAGCCCAAGAGCTGGAGCTGCGGTGAGCTATGATAATCATGCCATTGCACTGCTGCCTGGGTGACAGAATGAAACTTTGTCTCAAAAAACACAAAAAAAAAAGAAAAGAAAAGAAAAAAAGAACAGAACAAAGCCACAGTGTTAGAAGTCAGAATAGGAGCTGACCTCTATGGGGGTTGTACAGACAGGAAAGGGGCATGAGGGGGCTTTTTTGAGGTGAAGAAAGTTTTCGTATCTTGATCTAGGTAATGATCACATGACTGTATACATATGTAAAAAACAAAATCTCTGAGTTGTGCACTTAAGATTTGCTCATTTAACTATAAGTAATGTATATCCCCCCCCCATACAAATTATGCCCCCGTTTTTTTTTTTTTTTTTTTTTTGAGACGAAGTCTTGCTCTGTTGCCAGGCTAGAGTGCAGTGGCGTGAACTTGGCTCACTGCAACCTCCGCCTCCTGGGTTCAAACGATTCTCCTGCCTCAGCCTCGCAAGTAGCTGGGACTACAGGCACCCACCACCATGCCCAGCTAATTTTTTGTATTTCAGTAGAGACAGGGTTTCATCACGTTGGCCAGGATTCTCTCGATCTCCTGATCTCGTAATCTGCCCGCCTCAGCCTCCCACAGTGCTGGGATTACAGGCGTGAGCCACCATGCCCAGCTATCAAATTATGTCTTAATAGAATAATATTGTTTTTAAAAAAAGAATCGCTAATGTAAAAGCTGGCAGTAAACTGTAAACCATGTTCATACTGGTGTCACATGGTACCACCAACTACTTTAGCCAGTAAGCAGAAATATCAGCAATCCATTATTAGAATTAAAATTCATTATATGAGGTCTTTAAGAACCCATTCATCACATAAAATGCAACTACCCTGTAACTCACATATGTAAATTCAATAGCAAGAAACATTCTGAGATTCAGCAGTGGGATTTCAGAAAGCTTACTAAAATGGGAGAGAAGACAAAAAAGGGACACAACATAAAAGCCAACAAATCAAATATAAAACCCACAACCCATCATCACTTCTAGAGAGAACTACAGAAAAGAGGAAATTATCAGGGGCACAATTTATTTGAAAAGTAGAATCAATTAATGCATAGTACATCAGGTGCGATGGCTCATGTCTGTAATCTCGGTACTTCGAGAGGCCAAGGCAGGGGGATCACTTGAGGCTAGGAGTGCAAGACCAGTCTGGGCATTACAGTGAGACGCTGTCTCTACAAATAATAAAATAAAATAGCTGGGCATAGTGGTTCATGCCTGTAGTCCTTGCTACTTGGGAGGCTGAAGCAGGAGGATCGCTTGAGCCCAGGAATTTGAGGCTGCAGTGAGCTATGATGATGCCACTGTATTCCACTCAGGGACAAAAAGCTAGACCCTGTCTCTTACCCAAAAACAGAAAAGGAAGAATAAAAATAAAAAGCCATAGTTCAAGAGTTCATCTCCTCAAGGGGGAATGAGAAATAGCTTCTGAGTTTTAAAAGGACAAAGGAGGCCAGGAGTGGTTGCTCATGCCTGTAATCCCAGCGCTTTAGGACGCTGAGGTGGGTGAATCACCTAAGGTCAGGAGTTGGAGACCAGCCTGGCCAACATGGCAAAACCCCGTCTCTACTAAAAAAATTAGCCAGGCGTGGTGGTGGTACGTGCTTGTAATCCCAGCTACTCGGGAGGCTGAGGGAGGAGAATTGTTGCCAAGAACAGCCTTGGCAACAGAGTGAGACCCCGTCTCAAAATAAATAAACAAAAAAGGGCAAAGGAGCCTCCTAGAATTCAAGGTGATATTTATAAGTCAATAAACGACCCATCACAGCTCTTACCCACCTAGGAACAGCACATCTCCTCACAGTTATGAAAACTGGAAAACTTGGCAGGGTGCGGTGGCTCACGCCTGTAATCCCAGCACTTTGGGAGGCCGAGGTGGGTGGATCACGAGGTCAGGAGATCGAGACCATCCTGGCTAACACGGTGAAACCCCGTTCTACTAAAAATACAAAAAATTAGCCGGGCATGGTGGCATGCACCTGTAGTCCCAGCTATTCGGGAGGCTGAGGCAGGAGAATGGCGTGAACCCAGGAGGCAGAGCTTGCAGTAAGCCGAGATCACACCACTGCACACCAGCCCGGGCGACAGACCGACACTCTGTCTCAAAAAAAAAAAAAAAAAGAAAAGAAAAGAAAAGAAAACTGGAGAACTTGAGAAACTGGCCTGATCCTAATTACATAGAAACTAAACAGCCAAACATTGAGCACGAGCCATGAATTGGTCCATGGCACTACCAAGTGTCCTTGAAACCAAGAGGGTCATTCCTGGGAAGCAGAAGTTAGAAATGACTCAGGGATAGTATCTTGCGTTCCTCTCCCATTTAGAATTAGCCTCTTATAACTACATTTAGGACATAAAGTTAATCTATATAGCATTGGAGATATACAAGGATAAGGCATCATATGAAATGAAATTTATTGTGGTAATAAAACATGAAGTACTGTTAGGAGATTACATGGATACCTGAGAATAAGAGAAACAATGCTAGATGATTTGAGACTTTTACTCCATGGGGGAACCCAAGAGTAAACAAAAACTGTCCAGATGGTAGGCAGACAGGATCACAGCATGTAGATTTGAAAGCTGAGAATTCTAAGAAATGTCACTGCTTATTTTCACTGACACTACTAAAATAAGAAGGTTTTATTTTAGATGGTTTTAAGAAAGAATAGAAAAGTCTCATGAGTTTGACCCAATGACTACAAGTTAAAGGAGGCAGGATTTTCAACATGGAGGAGAAATAGCTAAGGACAGATATTAATACATTTTGGTAATAAATACATTTGGTAATCAAGGAAAGATCTGTGAGTAGAACTGGATTGTCTCATTCACAAACAAAATACTAAAACAATGAGATCAATCACTCGTTTTTAAGACAGAATAGAAGCTAGGAGTATATTTGAAAGGCACGTGTGTCCTCTTGTTATACTGTCTGATATTCAGCAGTTAATCATCATCCACTTCTTCCCCATTGCCACAAGATTTGGCATTCTCCTAACACATTTGCATATTATAATTTTAAAAATGTATAAAGTGCTTAGTGCAAAACAATATTAAAAAGCAGAATCGAATAGTGACAAGCACATTAATACATCATTCTTTTTTTTTCTTTTTTTCTCCTCCCTGCCCCCACTACTAATATATTATTTTTAAAAATTCCATATCCAGGCTGGGCATGGTGGCTAATGCTTGTAATCCCAGCATTTTGGGGGGCCGAGGCAAGCGGATCACTTGAGCTCAGAAGTTTGAGACCAGCCTGGCCAACACGGTGAAACCCTATCTCTACTAAAAATACAAAAACTAGCCGGGCGTGGTGGTATGCACCTGTAATCCCAGCTACTCAGGAGGCTGAGGCAGAAGAATTGCTTGAATCCAGGAGGCGGAGGTTGCAATGAGCCGAAATTCGCCACTGCACTCCAGGCCGGGTGACAGAGCGAGATTCTGTCTCAAAAAAAAAAAAAAAATTAAAAAATTCCACATCCAGGCTGGGCGTGGTGGCTCAGGCCTGTAATCCCAGCACTTTCGGAGGATGAGGCAGGAGGATCACTTGAGCCTAGAAGTTTGAGACCAGCCTGGGCAACAGGGCAAGACCCTGTCTCAACAAAAAATTTAAAAAATTAGCTGGGCTTGGTGGCATATGTCTATAGTCCCAGCTACTAGGGAGGCTGAGGCAGGAGGATCACTTGAGCCCAAGAGGTCGAGGCTGCAGTAAACCATGTTCGTGCCACTGTACTCCAGCCTGGGTGATGGAGTGACACCCTGTATCAAAAAATAAATAATTTTTAAAAATCCACATCCAGGCCAGGCGTGGTGGCTCATGCCTGTAATCCCAGCACTTTGGGAGGCCGAGGCGGGCGGATCACCTGAGGCTGGGAGTTTGAGACCACCCTGACCAACATGGAGAAACTCCATCTCAACTAAAAATACAAAATTAGCTGGGTATGGTGGCACATGCCTGTAATCCCAGCTACTCGGGAGGCTGAGGCAGGAGAATCGCTTGAACCCGGGAGGCGGAGGTTGCAGTGAGCCGGAGATCACGCCATTGCACTCCAGCCTGGGCAACAAGAGCGAAACTCCATCTCAAAAAAAAAAACAAAAAACAAAACAAAAAAAACCACATCCAGCTGTTTCAATGTTAGCACCGACGTTTGGGACCTGAGCCAAAGGATGGACTGGGAAATCTTTTCCCAGAATAGACTACTGTCTTTTTTATTTTTATTTTGTTTTGTTTTTTGTTAGAATAGACTCTACTGTCAGCTGCTTTAGTTATACCTGGTACCAGGTATCAGTCCCAGACTCCCTTGTTTAGACATTTCCTGGTGATATTACCACAGGCTCAGGGAAGATAACCTAAGATTAAGCTTTTCCACTAGACACATGACAGTAAGCTTCATTAACGGGACTGACAGCCCCATATGTAACCTTTTTAAGGTATCATTTACACTGTAAAAGAAACAGTAATATTCTGGACAGTTATTTCTAGACAGTTATTTCTCTTTTTTTCTTTTTTTTTGAGACGGAGTTTCGCTCTTGTTGCCGAGGCTGGAGGCTGGAATGTAATGGCGCAATCTTGGCTCACCACAACCTCCGCCTTCTGGGTTCAACCGATTCTCCTGCCTCAGCCTCCCGAGCAGCTGGGACTACAGGCATGTGCCACCATGCCTGGCTAATTTTGTATTTTTAGTACACGGGGTTTCTCCATGTTGGTCAGGCTGGTCTCGAACTCCCGACCTCAGGTGATCTGCCTGGGTCGGCCTCCCAAAGTGCTGGGATTACAGGCATGAGCCACCGCGCCCAGCCTAGACGGTTATTTCTGAACAGTTCTAGCACTGGTCGTGCTCCCTATCCAATTTTTAAGGATATCCTGTGGTCTTCCTACTGACATGTGATATGACCAATACTTTTTCCTGCCCCCACCTCCGAAAGTAAATTAGCTTTTCTGCAAGATTACTCAGTGATTTTGGAAGATATTGTTCTTTTAGAGAATAGCCCTAAAAAAACAAAATTATTTCCAACGGAGCTTCTAACTCTGGATAGCTTGAAAGAAGGGAGGCTGAGGCAGGATGACTGCTTGAGTCTAGGAGTTTGAGGCTGCAGTGAACTAGGACCTATGACTGAGTCACTACACTCCAGCCTGGGCAACAGAGTGAGACCCCATCTCTTGAAAAGCAAACAAACAGGAAGAGATATCTTGTCTACATCTTGTCTAGCATCCTGCTCCTCACCAAAAAAATTTTAAAAGCAAATCATGTTGATATCTAAAAATTCTCTAAGCTGTGAAAAAGTTTCTTCAAATGATATACCCTCTTCTCATTATCCTTTCCTGACTCTAATGATAAACATAATAGTCAAATAGCTTAGTTATTCCCCTAAAATTCAATGGAACATCGAGAACCAAGGGCAATTACAAATGGGTAAAAGAGAATAACAGGAAAAGAAAGCAATAGACTATAAAAAAGAATTACAAGGCAGAGAAAAGAGTAACTCTACAGTGGAAAATCAAATGTATACTATTTCAACCAGGTGATCCTGGTTAATAGAAACAGTGAAAAATCATGTTGACAATGGTTTTTTTTTTCTTTTTTTTTTGAGACAGAGTCTTGCTTTGTTGCCCAGGCTGGAGGGCAGTGGTGCAATCTTGGCTCACTGCAACCTCTGCCTCCCTGGCTCAACTGATTCTTGTGCCTCAGCCTCCTGGGTAGCTGGGATTACAGGCCTGTGTCACCACACCTAGCTAATTTTTGTATTTTTTAGTAAAGACAGGGTTTCTCTATGTTGGCCAGGCTGGTCTTGAACTCCTGGCCTCGAATGATCCACCTGCCTTGACCTCCCAAAGTGCTGGGATTATAGGCGTGAGCCACCACACCAGCCAACAATATGTACTCTTGATCTGATGTGATGAGAATGGCATTATATCTCCACGGTCTTCTTCCCAAAAGCCATAACTCCAGTCTAACCATAAGATAAACATCCAAGTTGAAGAGTGGTCTATAAGATACCTGACCAGTATTCCTCAAAACTGTCAAGATAATCAAAAACAAGTTAACTCTTAGAAACTGTCACAGCCAAAAGGAGCCTAAGGAGACAAAAAGCCTAAATGTAATGTATCAAGGATGGGATCTTAGAACAGAAAAAGGATGTTATGTTAAAGAAAGAAATCAGAAAATCTGAATAGTGTATGCATTTTAGTTAATAATAACGTACCAATATTGGTTTATCATTATTCAATGGCAAAAACCGCAATTACTTTTGCACCAACCTAATAATTGTCACAGTGTGCTATACTAATACAAGATGCTAACATTAGGGAAACTGGGTGTCAGATATATGGAAACTCTCTCTGTTCTATTCTAAAATAAAACACTATGTTAGCACCTGAAGTCCCAGCTTCTTGGGGGCTGAGGAAAGAGGATCACCTGAACCCCGGAGGTCAAGGCTGCAGTGAGCCAACATCCGCCACTGCACTCCAGCTTGGGAGAGAGAGTGAAACCCAGTCTCCAGAAAAAAAAACAAAAGAAAAGAAGAACGAAAACTACTCACAGCATGGCTTAGTAGAAAGAACACAAACTTTAGAGACAAAATCTTGGGTTTCAATCCTTGCTCCATCACTTACTGGCTATGTGATTTTAGGTAAATTACCAGGTGATTGTGAGCTTTGGTTTCCTCACTTGTTGTGTGTGTGTTTGTTTTTGTTTTTGTTTTTGAGACAGAGTTTCACTGTTGTTGCCCAGGCTGGAGTGCAATGACACGATTCTCAGCTCACCGCAACCTCTGCCTCCCAGATTCAAGCAATTCTCCTGCCTCAGCCTCCCGAGTAGCTGGGATTACAGGCATGCACCATCACACCTGGCTAATTTTGTATTTTTAGTAGAGACGGGGTTTCTCCATGTTGGTCAGGCTGGTCTCGAACTCCTGACCTCAGGTGATCCGCCCGCCTCGGCCTCCCAAAGTGCTGGGATTACAGGCGTGAGCCGCAATGCCCTGCCTCGGTTTCCTCATTTGTAACATGGAGATAATTATAGTATCATCCTATTGAGTTGATATGAAGGTTAGATAATATGCATAAAGAATCTGGGCGAACCAGCACCTCATCCCTAACAACCTCTCAAGGTCCACGTACATCTCCTGGGACAGTATGCCACTCATGACTAACTGGGTTTGTAAAAGGTGGCTATTTCTTTTCTTTTTCTTTTTTTGTTTTTTTTTTTTTTTGAGATGGAGTCTCGCTCTGTCACCCAGGATGTAGTGCAGTGACAGAACATGGTTCACTGTGACCTCTGCCTCCCAGGTTCAAGCAATTCTTGTGCCTCGGACTCTTGAGTAGCTTGGACTACAGGTATGGATCACCATGCCTGGCTAATTTTCTTTTTTTCTTTTTCTTTTTCTTTCTTTTTTTTTTTTGAGACGGAGTCTCACTCTGCTGCCCAGGCTGGAGTGCAGTGGCAATCTTGGCTCACTGTAACCTCCACCTCCCGGGTTCAAGCGATTCTCCTGCCTCAGCCTCCTGAGAAGCTGGGATTACAGGCGCACATCACCACATTCAGCTGATTTTTGTATTTTTTATTAGAGACAGGGTTTCACATGCTGGCCAGGCTGTTCTCAAACTCTTGACCTCAAGTGATCCTCCTGACCTCAAGTGATCCACCAAGTGAAGTCACTTGACCTCAAGTGATCCTCGACTCCCAAAGTGCTGGGATTACAGGTGTGAGCCACCATGCCTGGCCAAAGGTAGCTATTTCTACAAAGCAGCCACTGAGAGCACAGAGTGGCTATGTTGCTTCCTAATGATAGCTGAGGAATCCAGTTTAGCACATCACATACTCACCTAATTTACTGTAATAACACTGAGAGAGCTCACATATTATACAGTAAGACTGCAAGAAGATATCATAGGGCTCCAGGATTTCAAAATTTAGCTATGTTTAGAATCAACTGAGACATTTTCTTTTTTTTTTTTTTCTTTTTTTTGAGACAGAGTCTCACTCTGTCCCCCAGGCTGGAGTGCAGTGGCGCGATCTCGGCTCACTGCAACTTCTGCCTCCTGAGTTCAAGTAATTCTCCTGCCTCAGCCTCCCAAGTAACTGGGATTACAGGCGCCCACCACCATGCCCAGCTAATTTTTGTATTTTTAGCAGAGACGGGGTTTTGCCACGTTGGCCAGGGTGGTCTCGAACTCCTGATCTCAGGTGATCCACCCGCCTCGGCCTCCCAAAGTGCTGTGATTACAGGTGTGAGCCACTGTGCCCGGCCATTTTCTCTTTTAAAAAAAAAAAAAATGCTGATCCATGACCAGGTGCAGTGGCTCATGCCTAAAATCCTAGCAGTTTGGGAGGCCAAGGTAGGAGGACAGCTTGAGGCCAGGAGTTCAAGACCAACCTGGGCAACACAGTAAGACCCCATTTCCATTTTTAAAAATGCTGATCGGCTGAGTGCAGTGGCTCATGCCTGTAATCCCAGCACTTTGGGAGGCCAAGGCGGGCAGATCACCTGAGGTCAGGAGTTCGAGACCACCCTGGCCAACATGGTGAAACCCCGTCTCTACTAAAAATACAAAAATTAGCCGGGCGTGGTGGTGGGTGCCTGTAATCCCAGCTACTCAGGAAGCTGAGGCAGGAGAACTGCTTGAACCCAGGAGGCAGAGGATGCAGTGAGCTGAGATCACACCACTGCAGGCCAGCCTGGGTGACAGAGTGAGACTCCGTCTCAAAAAAAAAAAAAAAATGCTGATCCACCATCTTATCCCCAACTCCTGAGATTAGGTGAGTCTGCTATGGGGCCAAGGAACCCACAGTTTAGGTAAGCTTCTCAGGTGATCTGAATAAAGGTGATCTGTTATCCAATTTTTATGAACAGTAATTTTGTCTCTTCTTCTTTTTACAGGAAAGAAAATTGAGGCCCAGAGAATGCAAAAAATGATTAAATTCAGAGGCAAATAACTGAGAAGTAGCAAGGCCAAGAACAGGCATCTAGGTTACACATCTCTATCTTCGAGTGCATTTTTCTAAAACAAAGGGCTTGGACCCACAAACCATCACCTGGAATTGCATGTGTGACTGAAAGGGAGGAAACTGCAAAGAAAAAGAAAATCCTTGGGAAAGACAATTCTGTGGGGAGAATGTGGTGGGAAAATCAACTGTGCTCCAGTACCAGTTAGTGAAAATGACAGACTGAGCTTTAAATCTTTACCTGGCATTTATAGACTCTTCTAACTGTGGCAAGTTTTTTTTTTTTTTTTTTTTTTTGAGACAGTCTCGCTCTGTCGCCCAGGCTGGAGTGCAGTGGCACAATCTTGGCTCACTGCAACCTCCACCTCCCGGGTTCAAGCAATTCCCTGCCTCAGCCTCCCGAGTAGCTGGGATTACAGGCACCCACCACCATGCCCAGCTACTTTTTGTATTTTTAGTAGACACGGGATTTCACTATCTTGACCAGGCTGGTCTTGAACTCCTGACCTAGTGATCCACCTGCCTTGGCCTCCCAAAGTGCTGGGATTACAGGTGTGAGCCACCGTGCCTGGCCTGTGGCAAGTTTTAAAACTGAAATTTGTTCCCTTTTTGCAAATGGGTTTGGGTTAATCTCTAAGCAGTTTTGAAAATCAGAATACTCCAGTTTTAATTTAAATGTAAAATTTCTACTTGAAAACTTCTATCTTGATTTAAAGTAACCGAAAAAGGCAGTATGACTTACGTTGACTCTGTATTAAACAGATGCCAAAATCAGTCTGAGTTTGAATAAAGGGTAATTTATTTCAGAAACAGTGGTTTAAACATTAGTCTTTCAAAGCACCTGTCCCAAGAACTGCTCATTTGTTTTGGGAATTGAACAAAGGCTAAGTCATACAAATCTGATTAAGAATTAAGGTGTTACCTTCAGACAATACTAGAAGGTGAAACATTCAACTTTCTAGAACCATTTGGCAAAGACTACAATGTACATAATTATACATTCACAATTACTGGCCAGGATTTCCAATGGTTTCTGTTCTACCCTCAATTATTTTACCTGAGTCATAAAGCGATCAATAGAGAACTTCCACCAGGATCCACTGCATCTACCCACTCACCAGCACCTGCAATCACATATTCCCTTTTGTTCATACAGATACACAATGTTCTTATCTCAGGCCAATGTCTCCATTTGATTCAGTGTTTCTCACTACTTGAAGATATTGCTCTAACAATTCTCCCCCTCTATCCACATCAACTTCTCCCCTCAGGAAGATCATTCCCATCAGCATACATGTATGCTATAAAATCTGTCATCTTAAAAAAACGAGCTGGGCGTGGCAGCTCATGCCCATAATCCCAGCACTTTGGGAGGCCAAGATGGGCAGATCACAAGGTCAGGAGTTCAAGACCAGCCTGGCCAAGATAGTGAAACCCCATCTCTACTAAAAATACAAAAAAATTAGGCCAGGCGCAGGGACTCATGCCTGTAATTCCAGCACTTTGGGAGGCCAAGGCAGGAGGATCATCTGAGGTCGGGAGTTTGAGACCAGCCTGACCAACATGGAGAAACCCTGTCTCTACTAAAAAATACAAAATTAGCTGGGTGTGGTGGTACATGCCTGTAATCCCAGCTACTTGGGAGGCTGAGGCGGGAGAATCGCTTGAACCCGGGAGGTGGAGGTTGCGGTGAGCCAGAGATTGCACCACTGAACTCCAGCCTGGGCAACAAGAGCAAAACTCTGTCTCAAAAAACAAAACAAAACAAAAATAAAGTTAGCCGGGCGTGGTGGCACGTGCCTGTAATCCCAGCTACTCAGGAGGCTGAGGCAGGAGAACTGCTTGAACCTAGTTGGCGGAGGCTGCAGTGAGCCGAGATCGCACCCCTGTACTCCAGCCCCGCGACACTGCAAGACTCATCTCAAAAACAAACAAACAAACAAAAAACACAACGAACATCTCAATTCTACATCTACCTCCACTTAGCACCTCAGCTCCTTGCTCTCCTTTAGCAAAATTCCTCAAAAGAAAAAAAAAATCAATGTATTGTTTATACTTAATGCCTTTAACTTCTGTCTTCCCATGCTCTGTTGCCCAGGCTGGAGTGCAATGGTGCAATCTCGGCTCACTGCAACCTCCGCCTCCTGGGTTCAAGTGATTCTCCTGCCTCAGCCTCCTGAGTAGCTGGGATTATAGGCAGGCGCCACCATGCCCAGCTAATTTTTGTATTTTTAGTAGAGACGGGGTTTCACCATGTTGGTCAGGTTGGTCTCGAACTTCTGACCTCCTGATCTGCCTGCCTTGGCCTCCCAAAGTACTGGGATTACAGGCATGAGACACCATGCCCATCCTGTCTTCCCATTTTCTAAAATGTATTACAAACTGGCTTCCATCTTTATCACTCACCCCACAAGCTTTCTTTACTAAATTTAAGGGTAATTCTCAGTCTTTACATGACTTGACCTCTTCGCTGCATTTGATGCAGCTGATTATTTCCTCCTTTCCTGGAAACGCTTTCCTCATATGCTGGCTTCCCAGATGCCACATTCTCCGATGTTCTCCTTCCTTACTGGGTGCTCCTTTTCGAGTCCCCTGATTTCCAAATGCTGGAGTCTCCCAGACTCAATCCTTACACCATTCTCTTTTTTGTTTTTGTTGTTCTTTTTGAGATAGGACTTGCTTCGTCACCCAGACTGCAGTGCAGTAGCGCAAACATGGGTCACTGCAGCCTCAACCTCCTGGACTCAGGTGATCCTCTCCCCTCACCCCTGCCCGCCTGCATCAGCCTTCCGAGCAGCTGGGACTATAGGTTCACACCACGCCCAGCTAATTTTTTTTTTAATTTTTTGAGGAGATGGCCAGGCTGGTCTCAAACCCTTAGGCTGAAGCAATTCTGCCTCAGCCTCCCAAAGTGCTGATTTTACAGGCGTGAGCCACCATGCCTGGCCTTTATACCATCCTCTGTCTTCACTCAGTCCCTTGGTAATCTCATGCAGTCTCATAGCTTTAAATCCATCTGGATTAGTCTATTCTCACAGTGCTATGAAGAAATACCCAAGACTGAGTAATTTATAAAGGAAAGAGGTTTAATTGACTCACAGTTCCGCATTGCTGGGAGGCCTCAGGAAAATTACAATCATGGCAGAAGCCAAAGGAGAAACAGGCACCTTCTTCCCAGGGCAGCAGGACGGAATGAGTGCAAGCAGGGGAAATGCCAGACAATTATATAACCATCAATAACTCACTCACTATCATGAGAACAGCATGGGCGAACCACCCCCATGATCCAATTACCTCCACCTGGTCCTGCCCTTGACACATGGGGATTATGAGGATTACAATTTGAGGTGAGATTTGGGTGGGGACACAGGGCCAAACTATATTACTAACTAATAGGCTAATGAGCCCTACATGGCTACCTCCAGCCTGTGTGTCTCCCCTGAACTCCATATACATATATCTCCACCTGGATGTCCTAATAAGCGTCTCAAACTCAATACGTTTCAAGTGGAATTTCTCATCTCTCCTGCCCCTTGCCAACCTTGATCACCCAGTCTTCCCCATCTCAGTTAATGAAAATTCCACCCTTTCAAATGCCCAGGATAAAAACCTGAAGAGTCATCTTGATTGCTTTCTTTCTCTTTCCTACTCTACATCCAAAATATGAGCAAATCCCTTTGGCTCTATCAAATCCACCCAGTTCTTACCTTTTGTGAATACTTTACTCCAAGTGCCTATCATTTTCAGCCTAGATTATGCTACCACCTTTTAACTGGTCTCCTTGCTTCCATACTTGCCCTCTTCTCAGAAACCTACACAACTAGCCATTCTATTCAGTGAATATGACAATGTCCTTACAACAGCCAGAAAGCCACACATATGTGATACATCCCTTTCATTTTCTGTCCAACCTCCTCTCCTTTGTTCACTCTGCTCCAGTCACAATGGATTCCTCAGTATCCCTTGACTATATCAAGCACACTCCCAACTCTGGGTCTTTGCACTGATTATTCTCTGTTTGAAACATTCGTTTCTCAGATACCCACATGGCTCACTTCTTGTACCCATCAAGTCCTTGTTCTAATGTCGCCTTCTCTCTGATTCTCCTAGTTATAATCCTCCTAGCCATACTGTAGTTTCTCAATAGCACTTTCCATCCTCTAACATACTGTTATATATTTGTCATTTTTAGTATCTGTCTTCCTTCATTTGAATGTAGTCTCATTAGGGCTGAGATGTTTGTCAGTTATTGACTCATGTGTCCCTGGCATATAGAACAATACCAGGGGGGCAATCCATGAATATTTGTTACATGAACAAGTGAAGGATGAGAGAAGAATTTAACTGAACAGAAGGACTGTAGAGTCATTTATTTTTTATTATTTTTGTAGAGATGGGCTCTTGCTATGTTGCTCAGGCTGGTCTTGAACTCAAGCCATCCTGGCCTCAGAGTGGCCTGGCCTCAAGCCATCCTCCCACTCAGCCTCCTGAAGTGCTAGGATTACAGGTGTGAGCCACTGTGCCTGGCCTGTGCTGTCATTTAAGGGAAGTCAGGCCCTTTGTTTTCAGTGTCAAACTCTCGGCCAGGCACAGTGGCTCATGCCTGTAATCCCAGCACTTTGGGAAGCCGGGGCGGGTGGATCGCCTGAGGTCAGGATTAACCTCAGGTGATGAAACCCTGTCTCTACTAAAAATACAACGTGATGAAACCCTGTCTCTATTAAAAATAGCCTGGCCAACGTGATGAAACCCTGTCTCTACTAAAAATACAAAAAATTAGCTGGGTGTGGTGGTGGGCGCCTGTAATCTCAGCTACTTGGGAGGCTGAAGCAGGAGAACCACTTGAACCCAGGAGATGGAGTGAGCCGAGATCATGCCATTGCACTCCAGCCTGGGAAACAAGAGTGAAACTCTGTCTCAAACAAACAATAATAATAGGCCGGGTGCAGTGGCTCAAGCGTGTAATCCCAGGAGGCCGAGGCAGACGGATCACGAGGTCAAGAGATCGAGACCATTCTGGCCAACATGGTGAAACCCCATCTCTACCAAAAATACAAAAATTAGCTGGGCATGGTGGCACATGCCTGTAACCCCAGCTACTGGGGAGGCTGAGGCAGAAGAATCACTTGAACCCGGGAGGTGGAGGTTGCAATGAGCCCAGATCGCACCACTGCACTCCAGCCTGGTGACAGAGCGAGACTCCATCTCAAAAAAAATAAAAATAAAAATAAAAATAATAATAATAATAATAAACAAATGTCAAACTCTCATAACAATGAATTACTAGATACTACTACTTAAACATTTAATAGGAACCAAAAACTAACCTCTCCCAAATATTTATTTTCCACTTCAGCAAATGGCCCCACCATCAACGTAGCTGTATAAACCTGAAACATAAGTCACCCTTGATTGGCCTTCTCATGCTCCTAAATCTAATTCATTAAGAAGTCTTGGCCGGGCGCAGTGGCTCATGCCTGTAATCCCAGCACTTTGGGAGGCCAAGGTGGGCGGATCACTTGAGGTCAAGGGTTCCAGACCAGCCTGGGCAGTATGGTGAAACTCCACCTCTACTAAATATACAAAAATTAGCCTGGTGTGGTGGCACACTGCTGTAATCCCAGCTGCCTGGGAGGCTGAAACACAAGAATTGCTTGAACCCGGGAGGCAGAGGCTGTAGTGAGCTGAGATTGCACCATCATACTCCAGCCTGGGTGATAGAGTGAGACTATGTCTCAAAAAAAAAAAAAAAAAGTTTTGTCAGTTTCTTACTGATATATGCTCATCTGAGTCTTGTCAATATTGATGGCCTTCTGTCTAGTCTGGTTTACTTTCTTGCCTTCCTTCATTTCCTAAATAGAAGCAAAATGTGCTCTAAAATGTAAATTGAGGCAGGGAAGGGCAGTGGCTCATGCCTGTAATCCAGCACTTTGGGAGGCCAAGGCAGGAGGATCATTTGAGGCTAGGAGTTGAAGACCAGCCCAGGCAACATAGTGACACCCTAGTTCTACAAAAAAAAAAGAAAGAAAAGAAAATGTCCCGATGTGGGGGTGCAAACCTGTGGCTCCAGCTATGCAGGAGGCCGAGGTGGGAGGATCACTTGAACCCAGGGGTTTGAGGCTATAGTCAATTAATTATGATTGTGCCACTGCACTCCAGCTTTGGCAAGGGAGCAAGATTGTCTCTTTAAAAAAAAAAAAAAAAGTAATCCAGATGATGACATTCCTCTCATTAAAATCTCAAAGGTTTCTGAGTCCCCACCTTAGTCTGTGAATAAGCTTGCTCCTGTCTTTATCTCAACTCCCCCTGTGCCACTCTCTCCCCTGCTCCTTAGGCTACATCCACAAAGGTCTGCTTTAAGCTCCTCTAACATGTCCTTTTCTTTGCTGCACCAGGCACATGCCATTCTCACTTCCCTCCACTATCATTCTTTAGGTCTCAGCCAAAAACAAACAAACAACAACAACAAAAACAAACAAACAAAAAGTCTCCTGTTTAAAGTAGGTCTCCCCTAACAGCATGGGCAACATAGTGAGACCCCATCTCTACAAAACAATACAAAAATTAGCCAGGCATGGTGGTGCACGTTTGTATTCGCAGCTACTCAGGAGGCTAAGGCAGGAGGTCGAGGCTACAGGGAGCTGTGACTGTGCCATTGCACTCCAGCCTGGATGACAGAGTAAGACCTTGTCTCAAAAAAAGGAGCTCTCCCCTTATTCTATACTTCATTCCGTTTGTTTCCTTCATAATTTATAACAATTTGCTTACTTGCTTCTTGTTTCTTTCCCGTTACAATATAAGCTCCATGAGGGCAGGGGCCACAAAAGCAGGTGTAAATGGGAGGAGGTGTTACCTTGTTGGAAATGTCTGAGAAGTACTAGCTGTGGGTCTCTTTTAGTGTAAGATCTGTCATCCCAACACTCGTCACCACTCTACCTCCAATACCACTCTTCCTCCAGATGGAGCACTTCTATCATTTTGAAAGGAACTAAAGACAAGATTTCACTGGGAAATTACATTAATTCCAACTGGTATAGATGGAATTGTGTCCTCCACCAAATCCATATGGTGAAGCCCTAACGCCAAGGTGATGCTATGGTGGAGATGAAGCCTTTGGAAGACAATGAGGTTTAGATGAGGTCATGAGGGTAGCCCTCATAAGATGAATCCCCTTATAAGAAGCACAAGAAGCTGGGCACAGTGGCTCATGCCTGTAATCTCAGCACTCTGGGAGGCTGAGGTGGGTGGATCACCTGAGGTCAGGAGTTCAAGACCAGCCTGGCCAACATGGTGAAACTCCGTCTCTACTAAAAATACAAAAATTAGCCAGGCATGGTGGCACACACCTATAATTCCAGCTACTCGGGAGGCTGAGGCAGGAGAATTGCTCCAACCCAGGAGGCAGAGGTTGCAGTGAACCAAGATCGCACCACTGCACTCCAACCTGGGTGACAGAGTGACAAAAAAAAAAAAAGAAGCACAAGAGATGCCAGAGCTCACTCTCTGCTACATGAAAACACACTGAGAAGGTGGCAGTCTGCAAACCAGGAGCTGGGAAGAGAATCCTCACTAGAAGCCAACGATGCCAGATTCTCATCTTGAATTTCCAGCCTCTAGAACTGTGAGAAATACATTTCTGCTGTTTAAGCTACCCAGTCTATGGTATTTTGTATGGCACCCTGAGCTGACTAAGACACCAACCAATAGGAGAATGCTCTAATCTCATAACCACATAACCAAATACACATGTAAAAAGACATCTGATGCAGCAGTATTCTCTATCAAGACTCTCCACTCCCAACCAAAAGTGTTCCACTCCTTGCTTGATGCTCTTACTTCTCCAACAGCTACACTTTTGAAGTCTGAACACTGTTAAAGCAACTATTACCTTCCTGTACATACTCTGTTAGAAGACAACCTCACAACTGACAGTGCCCTCCCCTCAGTCACCCTCCAATCTACCTACCTCGATGCACTAAAATGAGTGAGTCAGGTACACCAAGACTTATAAACAACTATGTTTTATTCAGAAGGACTAATTGACATTTCAGTTAGGAAGTGATTTTGATTAGGACTCATGATAGCATACAGAAACATTGTCTTAGGGCATCTTACATGGGGTTTCTGCCTAAATGAGAATCTCATGGGACTTTTTTTTTTTTAATTTATTATTTTATTTTGAGACAGTCTCACTCCGCCACCCAGGCTGGGGTGCTGTGGCGCAATCTTGGCTCACTGCAACCTCTGCCTCCTGGGCTCAAGTGATTCTCATGCTTCAACCTCCTGAGTAGCTGAGGTTACAGGCACATGCCACCATGCCCTGCTAATTTTTTGTCTTTTTAGTAGAGATGGGGTTTCGCTATGTTGGCCAGGCTCGTCTGGAACTCCTGGCCTCAAGTGATCCTCTCACCTCAGCCTCTCGAAGTGCCAGGATTGTAAGCGAGAGCCACCAAGCCCAGGCTATTTTTTGAGACAGGGTCTCCCTCTTTCACTCAGGCTAGAGTGCAGTGGAGCAATCATCACTCACTGTAGCCTTGAACTCCTGGGCTCAAGCAATCCTCCCACCTCAACCTCTCAAGTAGCTAGGACTACAGGCACATGCCATCATGCCCGGCTCATTTTTAATTGTTTTGTAGAGACAGGGTCTCACTATGTTACCCAGGCTGGTCTCAAATTCCTGGCCTCAAGAGATCCTCCTGTCTCAGCCTCCTAAAGTGCTGGGATTAGAGGAGTGAGCCACTGTGCCCAGCCAGGACTCTTTATTAAACAATTGTTTTTTATAAGTAGACATTTCAAAAAGCTCAGGTTTTCCTCCTTCTAAAACTAGCCTCTAATTGCAGATTAGGATGAGGGAGTAACTAGATTCTTTGAGACATTTTGTTAGAAAATTACTTTAAACATTCAGGAGTTTGTATGTTTTGTCAAAGGGAATATTCCAAATGCTCTATTTTTAAAAATTCATATTCCATAGAGAATGTAAATGATTGAAGCAGTTATTTCTCCAATATTTCTACTTTGGGAATTTCAAAGCATAACCTTTTCTTTGGCTTCCCTCCCTCCCTTCCTGCCTTCCTCTTTTCTTCCCTTCCTCTCTTTCTCTTTCTTTGTTTCTTTTTTTGAGACACAGTCTCACTCTCGCCTAGGCGTCTGGGCTTATATCTGTGGGCTCAAGCAATCCTCCTGTCTCACCCTCCCAAGTATCTGGGACTATGGAGGCATGCCACCATGCCTGGCTAATTTTTTGTTTTTATTTTTTGTAGAGATGGGGGTCTCACCATGTTGCCCAGGTGAGTCTCAAACTCCTGGCCTCAAGGGATCCTTCTGCCTTGGCCTCCTAAAGTGCTGGGGTTATAGGCGTGAGCCACTTCGCCTAGCCACAAAGCAGTCTTTAAACTTGATGGTTTAAAAAAAAAAAGTCTTACTCCATATTACAGGGAGAAATAAGCACAGTAGTTGGCAGAGGCTATGAAGGTCCCCAAACCAGAGCTCCATTTTAACAAGAAAGAGCACCACCCATGCTAAATTATCAAAGGCATAAAGCTTGTTTACAAAATAAAGACAGTAATAGTATTTTGTGACTGAAACTATCAAAGCTCCTCTGAAATAAGACCTGTACAAGATCCCAAGCATGGTGGCAATAGGATGCTTAAGCTGAGAAGATCTTCTATATTTTAGAATCCATAACTCAGCTGAGACTGCAGTAAGCTGTGACTGTGCTACTGTACTCCAGCCTGGGTGACAAAGCAAGATCTTGTCTCAAAAAACAATACAAAACAAAACAGAAGCTGTAACTCCAAATATTAATCAATTTGCACTAAGTGCAATATGGTATAAAGGGCTAGAAAAGGTTATTCTCCAAAGTACAAAATTCTCAGGGCCCTGAAATAGTTCTAGCTATCAAACTTTTTATATGATTACCATTTCTTTATTATTCCAATAGTTTTTGTGGAGACTTGCTCTGTTGCCCAGGATGGAGTGCAACCTCCACCTCCTGGGTTCATGAGATTCTCCTGCCTCAGCCTCCCAAGTAGGTGGGATTACAGGTACCCATCACCATGCCCAGCTAATTTTTGTATTTTTAGGAGAGACAGGGTTTCATCATGTTGGCCAGGCTGGTCTCGAACTCCTGACCTCAGGTGATCCGCCCGCCTTGGCCTCCCAAAGTGCTGGGATTACAGGCGTGAGCCAGTGGGCCTGGCTTGTAGGTTTGTTTTTGTTTTTGTTTTTTATGAATGGCACAAACGGCCTTTATTGGTTGTGACAGGAAGTGGAAGAGAAGGGGATATAATAGCTCCTCCTCCTGGTGTGGCCATCTGCAGACTGGACCACCACCCTCCTACCCTCCAAATGCCAATAATTTTAATAAAGAACTTCATCTACACAAAGCCCAGCTCCACCCATGGTATCCACTCAGTAGGCTCCTCCTATATTTGCCTAATGTAGGTGGAAAGAACAGGAACTTAAGTTTTAGGGAAGCAAAATGCAGCTTCTTCTCATAAACAGGTTTAAGTCCCTGGCCTAGACATTCACAGTAGCGGTTATAGAAAGGGAAACATAAACTAGCCTTTTTAGCCCATTTAAAAATAGTCATTTAGTACTACTCCACATTTCTCCCAGAGAAGTGCAATAACTTATTTATAGTTACATGGAGAATTGGTGACTATGCCAGGAAATGAAACTCATGTCCCCTCACTCTTAGTCCAGTGCCCTTTCTAATATACAATGATGCCTCCTATCTGGTAATCAAAGTAGTAAGGCAAGGCCTAAATAAATAAGGAACTTGCCCAATGGAAACCCAAATGTCCTTAGTCCTAAGACTGAGTCCTAATACTAAAAAGCCAAATGAATGTTTTGGGAAAAGCTTGCCAAAAAATCTAGCAGAATACTTTATACTCAGTGGACACTATTTCTCCATCACACCAACCCCTCCAATCTATGCCTCCTCAAATTGCCCTGCCTCATGAGTGCAAAAACCATTGTTTTTATTTTTTCCCCCAGGAGAGGTTAGGTCAAAAATAAGAAAATAATCTAGTTTCTTTCTGCCAGATTTCTGGCATAGTGGGACTGGGTAGGAATGTACCTACTGTAGAATCTTCCCACACCCCTGGGTTGTTAAGAGTAACTAGCAGAGGCACGTCCCATACACTCCCCAAATATCTGAGCTGGCAACAACAACAGATATTCAGAGACCTTAGCCCTAGGACAATAGCTTCTGTCAGTCAACTACAGTTCTCACGACTCTGTGTTTCTGTTCTTACTTCAACCTCCTACCAAATGATGTATCACACCTGTATGAGTATACTTGAGAAAACCATGCAAATGAATTCACACAGCAGTACAGCAATTTTGGCAGGGCACCATTACTAATGATAAAGTATAATTTAACAAAAAACAAAGACTTACACAAGCATATTACTATTATCATTTACATGGCACATTAAACTTAAGGACCTGAGTCCCAGTAACCCATCCTTGAGACCAACACCAAAAATGATCAGGTAGAGTTTCCATGCCAAGGGAGTCACCTGGTAAGGAGGCAAAGATCAGCATTTCATCTCTTACCTGAAGCCAAAGGTCGGATCCACTCTTTGCTGTTTAGGTCAAGTCTCCAGAGGTCATTGAAAGCAGCATTGCAGCTGCTCTGGGTACAGCCTCCAAACACATACATAGACTGATTAGCATCATAATAGCATGCACCTAGAAAGAAAATACACAAATAACTGCTGTGAAAATTCTGAGGCCCTTCCAACATTTTAACCATAACATATATTTTTCAAAGCTTATTTCACACATTCAGCAATTTTGTTACCAAGTACCAAATTTCTATTACCAGCCTCTTGTCTCCAAGTGGATCAATATATTACCCTTTAAAACAAGGTCCAGAGGAAAGCTATGAAAATTTTATTTCTGAGCACACTAAGCAAGTTGACAATGATGTAACAGTGTAAGTCCAGCAAGAACACATAATAATTCACATTAAAGGTGCTCAAATGAGGGAAATTTCAGCACAGCTACATAATTGATCTAAATCTGCATCATTATCCTCTAGAGCTAAGCAAAGGTATGCCAACACATGTACTCTGTCCTCCCATTCCTTTCCTCCAATTCTCCTATTGTTTTTGTTTTCAAATTAAACCTGAAGCACAAATCAATAAATGAATCTTTTTTTTTTCTTTCTTTCTTTTTTTGAGATGGAGTCTCCCTCTGTCAGCCAGGCTGGAGTGCAGTGGCATGATCTCGGCTCACTGCAACATCTGCCTCCCAGGTGCAAGCGATTCTCCTGCCTCAGCCTCCCAAGTAGCTGGGATTACAGGTGTGCACCACCACACCCAGCTAATTTTTTTGTATTTTTAGTAGAGATGGAGTTTCACCATGTTGGCCAGGCTAATCTCGAACTCCTGACCTCAGGTGATCCACCCGCCTCGGCCTCTCAAAGTGCTGGGATTACAGGCATGAGCCACCATGCCCGGCCAATAAATGAATCTTTATATGACACACAATGAAATGATTTTAATCAATACTATGAAGTAACCACACATAAAGTCCAATGTGATTGAAGAAATACAGTTTTTATTAATTCCAAAGGCCAGTGGGGGAAACTCAATAGTAGTATGGTCTTGGACTAGTCCCAAAGCAACAGATTGAAAAAGCATGGAAATCATTAAGTCCCAATATGTATCCAAGAGCTACCAAGGCATGCTGGTTGGAGCCGACTAGAAAACAGAACGGTAACATTTAAAAAACACCAGGATCTCTAAAAAAAGCCTTCTTTGATTAGATGATTGTATACACATCACCAGGCATTCCTAAGAAAAAGAGGCAATGACTATCAGAAGGGCTGTTACCCAAAAACTACAAAGACCAAAGCCAGAGTCTAGAAAAGATGCATGAGTGCTAAGTTCTGCCCCTTGCGGTCTCTATCCTTTGGAAATGACGATCACATTCCTTACAGTCTTGCATTTGCCATCTTGGATTTCAGGAAGAGGCCCAAGCAAAGCTTTCCTTGCCATCCATTTCATGCACGCAGGAGGTAAAAATAAAATAAAATAAAATTAAGTAAACAAAAAAGACTTCTCAATGTTCATGTGAAACTAACGGTTCAGTGTCATATAAAAGGAAGGGGAAAGGAAAAAGAAATTCACAGATTCAGGCCAGGTGCAGTGGCTCATGCCTGTAATCCCAACACTTTGGGAGGCTGAGGCAGGCGGATCATGAGGTCAGGAGTTCGAGACCAGCCTGGCCAACATGGCAAAACCCCGTCTCTACTAAAAATAAAAAAATTAGCCAGGCGTGGTGGCGCATGCCTGTAATCCCAGCTACTCAGGAGGCTGAGGCAGGAGAATCGCTTGAACCCGGGAGGCGGAGGTTGCAGTGAGCCAAGATTGCGCCACTGCACTCCAGCCTGGACGACAGAGCAAGACTCCATCTCAAAAAAAAAAAAAAAAAAACAAAAACAAAAAACACCAACAAGAAATTCACAGATTCATTGCCCTGTGCATGGCTTTAATGATCATCTAGCATATTTGTAGGTCTAATTCAGTTTAGCACACCAATATTTTTAAGGTCTCTTCTGAACTCTGGCACTAGTTACCCGAGTTCAGAAAAAGGGAAATGCTACTACTGTTGACTCATCCAATGCCACTACTATAATCACCTCTGTGATACACACTATACTAGCTCTGGGAATAAACTCCCCCCTCCCCCGCACCCCCCACCCCCCGCTTTTTGTTTTTTTTGAGACAGAGTCTTGCTGTGTGGCCGAGGCTGGAGTCCAGTGCCACAATCTTGGCTCACTGCAACCTCCACCTGCCAGCTTCAAGCAATTCTTCTGCCTCAGTCTCCCGAGTAGGTGTAACTGGGATTACAAGCACACACCACCACACCCAGTTAATTTTTGTATTTTAGTGAAGACAGGGTTTCACCGTGTTGGCCAAGCTGGTCTCGAACTCCTGACCTCAGGTGATCCACCCGCCTCAGCCTCCCAAAGTGTTGGGATTATAGGTGAGAGCCAATGCGCCCAGCCCCCCACCTTCTTTTATTTTCCCTTAATTCAGCCCTCCTGTTAGACCCCTGGGACTCTCTACGGTAAGAAGGCCAAGTCAGAAAACTGAGCAAGTTAAGAGGTAATGAAAGCAGTATGTTTAGTGCCTTAAACCCCATAATCTCAGTCAGTGGAAGGGTTAAATCCAAATTATCTGACCTCTGACACTGTGGAATAATGGAGCTGCAGGCTTTTAAAATTACCAAAGAAATTAGACAAAACAGATCTGAAGAAATAAAATACCATCTAGCCATCAATAGGCTCACACCTGCAAAATATTTATGGTATCCCCAGAACTCTACTAAGAAGTCAAGTCCAGGCCGGGCGTGGTGGCTCACGCCAGTAATCCCAGCACTTTGGGAGGCCGAGGCAGGCAGATCATGAAGTCAGCAGATCGAGACCATCCTGGCTAACACAGTGGAAACCCCATCTCTACTAAACATACAAAAAAAAAAATTAGCCGGGCGTGGTGGCAGGCGCCTGTAGTTCCAGTTACTCAGGAGGCTGAGGCAAGAGACTGGCATGAACCCGGGAGGCGGAGCTTGCAGTGAGCCAAGATCCCGCCACCGCACTCCAGCCTGGGCGACAGAGTGAGACTCCATCTCAAAAAAAAAAAAAAAAAAAGTCAAGTCCAATGAATCCATGGCTCACATGTCAGATCTGTTAAGAACTACAAATAACAGGCTGGGCACAGTGGCTCATGCCTGTAATCCCAGCACTTTGGGAGGCTGAGGCGGGTGGATCACTTGAGGTCAGGAGTTCGAGTCCAGCCTGGCAAACATGGTGAAACCCCTCTCTACTAAAAATACAAAAATTGGTCTGGCATGGTGGCATGCACCTGTAACTCCCAGCTACTGGGGAGGCTGAGGCAGTAGAATCGCTCGAACCCGGGAGGTGGAGGTTGCAGCGAGCTGAGATTGCGCCACTGCACCCCAGCCTGGGCGATAGAGCAAGACTCTGTCTCAAAAAACAAAAACAAAAACACCAAAGAACTACAAATAACAAAGGATCAAGTTAGAAGACATTAGACAAACAAAAGGACAATTACTGGAGCCACATTTTAATCTCCACTAAAGGAGCTCAACTCCAGATATCCTGGTCCTCTTAGACATATCTTGACCTAGTAATCCTAAAAAATGGGGCAATTTTGAAATGAGCCAACTGGTACCAGGTTGGCTCAGTAAAAGCACATTCTTCTCCTCTTGATATTCCAGACCTCCAGAAAAAGAAATTAGCAATGTCCTATGAGTTATTTATTTATTTTCTGAGATGGAGTCTCACTCTGTCACCCAGGCTGGAGTGCAGTGGCACAATCTTGGCTCACTGCAACCTCCGCCTCCTAGGTTCAAGTGATTCTCCTGCCTCAGCCTCCCAAGTAGCTGGAATTACAGGCGCCCACCACCACGCCCAGCTAGTTTTTGTATTTTTAGTAGATATGGGGTTCCACTATGTTGGCCAGGCTGGTCTCGAATTCCTGACCTCAGGTGATCCGCTCGCCTCGGCCTCCCAAAGTGCTGAGATTATAGGCGTGAGCCACCGCGCCCGGCCAATGTCCTATGACTTCTGAAACCTTAACTAGTGTCCATTATAACATTGCTTAATAAAACAAATCCATGATTTCATAACTAAAAGAGTCAAGGGTTTGTTACGTCTCCCAGTTCCTCACAGATAACTTCTTGGCAGCTGCTTCCTTAGTGTAGCAAAAGAACACAGTGCCTGTATTTTTCAAAAAGGTAACAAACATTTTTCCTTTTTAATTTTTTTTCCTCGAGACAGAGTCTTGCTCTGTCACCCAGGCTGGAGTGAAATGGTACAATCTTGGCTCACTGCAACCTCTGCCTCCTAGGTTCAAGCAATTCTCCTCCTCAGCCTCCCGAGTAGCTGGGATTACAGGCATGTGCCACCATGCCTGGCTAATTTTTTGTATTTTTAGTAGAGACGGGGTTTCACCATGTTGGCCAGGCTGGTCTCGATCTCCTGACCTCGTGATCCGCCCGCCTCGGCCTCCCAAAGTGCTGGGATTACAGGCACGAGCCACCGCACCCAGCCCACATTTTTCTTCTCTATTTGGACTGAAAACCCAGCCAACAGCGGGGCCCTGAGGTCCTTACCACATGTATTTTAATCCCACACTAAAATAGGGCAATTGGCATTTTCCTGCTTCTCTTGAGCAAACAAAGGTTTCTGGAAGAGGAAGGCACAGCCCAAAGTATGCAAAGCTAATGGCACTAAAATGGCAAGTTTCACACACTACTGTATTTTCAGTGACCAGCAGTCAATTATCAACAAAGTTGGGAGAGGAAGGGAGTCAGTTTAGGCAGCTATATTTAGAACTCAGATATAATGGAATGAGAAAATAACTATCAATAATACGCTTAATTATTATTATTATTATTTTTTTGAGATGGAGTCTCGCTCTGTCACCCAGGCTGGAGTGCAGTGGCACGATCTCGGCTCACTGCAACCTCCGCCTCCTGGGTTCAAGCGATTTTCCTGCCTCAGCCTCCCGAGTAGTTTGGACCACAGGCACGCGCTACCATGCCCAGCTAATATTTGTATTTTTGGTAGAGATGGAGTTTCACCATGTTGGCCAGGATGGTCTCAATCTCTTGATCTCGTGATTCACCTGCCTTGGCCTCCCAAAGTGCTGGGATTACAGGCGTGAGCCACCATGCCCGGCCACACTCAACTATTTTAAGCACCCTAGCCTACTGAACTTTACTTATTGCCTATTTTTTATTTAAGACACCTATAGATTGATCTGAGAGGGGCAGGGGCAGGGAGGAAGACCCAACAAGTTCAAATGAACCTTTTAGGAAAAAGAATTTGAGCAACTCCCAGTGCTCCAGTAGTAATTTCCCTTTTCACAAGTTCTCAACCTAAATAGAAAATTTTCCTTTCAGAACATCTAGACCACTAGAATGTGCTATACAGTTACAGCTCACAGTACAGTATGAATACTGGGCTAACAAATAATACTGAGAGTGTCTATTCCAACTGGTAAATCTCTTCAAGTTTTCTGAAATGGGCTTAGTTTACGACACATACTAATCATCCCTATTAAAATACAAGTCAAATAGTCACAATTTAATTACACACAGAGCAAGCAAACAGTTCTTCACAGTTCTGAATACTTCTCCACTATTCTATAATCATCTCAAGTGCAAGATCTTCCAGTAGTTTCATCTTTTCCATGGTGTATGGAGCATTCAATAAATGCTCACTAAATGAATGATATGCTTTTGCATTTTCAGACGTCAAATTCTCTTTTGTTTCTTCACCTGTCTCCAGGGAAAGATCCTGAGGCATTTATCCCATGCTTAAAGAGACTATGCTGTCATGTGTCTCACACCTACAAGCCAGAACATATTTGATAAGGTCTCTAATTACGTAACTATGAAGAAGCAAGGGCGGTTATCCAGTCTGGGCCTGCTGGCTCCTGCAGGAGCATGATGAGCATTGTGTATGAAACTACCTGACTATATGTGACACCTACAACACTGAAACATTTTTCAATGCATGATGTTGGGGACTCAGGAGACCCCCTACATCAATCTGAAAAGGACATTCTACATTAATTAAAGCTTGCATGATTAGCTATGCACACATTCACCAAAAAGCTAGAATTGGCCTTTTTTTTTTTTTTTTTTTTTTTGAGACAGAGTGTTGTTCTGTCACCCAGGCTAGAGTGCAGTGGCATAATCTTGGCTCACTGCAACCTCTGCCTCCCAGGTTCAAGCGATTCTCCTGCCTCAGCCTCCCGAGTAGCTGGATTACAGGCGTGCGCCCACCACGCCCAGCTAATTTTTGTATGTTTAGTGGAGATAGGGTTTCACGATGTTGGCCAGGCTGGTCTCCAACTCCTGGCCTGAAGTGATCCACCTGCCTTGGCCTCCCAAAGTGTTGGGATTACAGGGGTGAGCCTCTGCACCTGGCCCTAGAATTGGCCTTTTTACTTCACCTGACTTTTTTGTCCCAGACTTTTCCATAGGAAAGATACTATACTGTGCATACCTTTGTTGCACTTAAGTCCACAAAAATTATTAGGTATCAAAATATATTGATACCAAATTTATTAGATATCAACTATGAACAAGGTGTTGTGAAACAGTACAAGAAGGCTGGGTGCGGTGGCTCACACCTGCAATCCCAGCACTTTGGGAGGCTGAGATGGGCAGATTTCTTGAGCCCAGGAGTTTGAGACCAGACTGGGCAATAGGGCGAAACCCCGTCTCTACTAAAACTACAAAAATTAGCTGCGCGTGGTGGCAGGCACCTGTAATCCCAGCTACTTGGGAGGCTGAGGCAAGAGAATAGCTTAAATCTGGGAGGCAGAGGCTGCAGTGAGCCAAGACCGCGCCACTGCACTCCAGCCTGGGTGCTTGGGTGACAGAGTGAGACCCCATCTCAAAAAAAAAAAAACAACAAAAAAAAAAGAAACGGTACAAGAATGTCTAAGACATGGAGCCTGTCTATCTTCAAGTAGACGACAATCTTGTGGGGGAGACATCATCATCATCCTACTTTTTTACAGCTTAAAATATATACATATATTTTAATTTTAAATAGAGATGTTGCCCAAATTGGTCTCAAACACCTGGGCTCAAGTCATTCTCCTGCCTCGACTTTAAAACATATTTTTACAAGTGTTTTCTTAAATGCATTTCTCAGCAATCTATGGCACAAACAGAATTTGTCATATCCATTTTTCAGACAAAGAAACTGTGGGTCAGACAAGCCAAGAAACTTGCTTCCCACATCCAAAGGCCTTTCCTTTTTAGCATGCAGCCTCTCTCACACAGATAATAATGGCAAAAGACAGATGGTAATAAATAATGGAGGAAGGTATGAATAGTATATTAGGGAAGCAGAGAGGAAGAAAAGAGCTTAATATCTACGGCGAGGAATCTGAGAGAAGTTGGTAAAAAATGTGGCTTTTGATTTTATCTTTGAGATGACTTTTAGAGAACAGGACACTTTCAGTCCATTAAGAAGGGCAGGCCGGGTGCGGTAGCTCAACGCCTGTAATCTAGGCACTTAGCAAGACTGAGGTAGTGTATTAGTCCATTTTCACACTGCTATAAAGAACTATCCAAGACTGGGTAATTTATAAAGGAAAGAGGTTTAACTGACTCACAGTTCCACATGGCTGGAGAGGCCTCAGGAAACTTACATTTATGGTAGAAGGCAAAGGAGAATCAAGCAACTTCTTACAAAGCAGCAGGAGAAAGAGCACAGGGGAAACTGCCACCTTTTTTTCTTTTTTGAAACGGAGTCTCGCTCTGTTGCCCAGGCTGTAGTGCAGTGGTGCAATCTCAGCTCACTGCAACCTGCACCACAGGGGTTCAAGCAACTCTCCTGCCTCAGCCTCCCAAGTAGCTGGGACTATAGGCACCCGCCACCAGGCCCGGCTAATTTTTGTATTTTTAGTAGAGACGGGGTTTCACCATGTTGGCCAGGCTGGTTTCAAACTCCTGACCTCAAGTGATCCGCCCTCCTCAGCCTCCCAAAGTGCTGGGATTACAGGCGTAAGCCACTGCGGCCAGCCGAAACCGCCACTTTTAAACCATCAGATCTCATGAAAATTCTTTCACTATAACAAGAACAGCATGGAGGAAACCGCCCCCATGATCCAGTCTCCTCCCACCAGGTCACTCCCTTGACACATGGGGATTACCACTGGAGGAGATGAGATTTGGGTGGGGACACAGAGCCAAACCATATCTGGCGGGCACACTGCTTGAGCTCAGGGGTTCGAGACCAGTCTGGACAACATGGCAAAACACAATTAAAAATTTCAAAAACTAATTCAAAAAAGAAAAAAAGGGAAGGGCAAATAAGGAAGTTTAAGACATAACAAGGAGGTTCATGTGGCTGAAGTCTGGCTACCTAAGGATGCAGCAGTGAGTCAGGCTGAAAAGGCAAGCCAGGTCCTTGAAAGGCAGGCAGAATGAAAACTCCTACATGCAGCACACTAACGCTGAAGCTTGCTGACGGAAGAATGCAAGGCTAGTTGCATGTTTCAGACTTGCAGTATTTCCCAACAGGAGCTCTTATCATTTGGGGCAGGATAATCTTTTTATCTGTAGGACTGTCCTATGCACTGCAGGATGCTGCACATCCCTGCCCCTTGCCTACTTCATGTTTATACTGCTTTTCAGTGATGACAGTAAGCAATGACTTTACAGATTTCTTACAGATTTCCGAATGTCAGAGGAGGAGGAGATACTGTCCCCAGTTTTAGAGGTGGTTATTAATGGTCTTTAGTCCAGGTTCACATGAAGAGAGAAGAAAGGCAAGAAGATAATTTTTTTTTTTTTTTTGAGACAGAGTTTCGCTCTTGTTGCCTAGGCTGGAGTACAGTGGCATGATCTCGACTCACTGCAACCTCCGCCTCCCGGGTTCAAGTGATTCTCCTGCCTCAGCCTCCTGAGTAGCTGGGATTACAGGTGCCTGCCACCATACCTGGCTAATTGTTTATATTTTTATTTTATTTATTTTTGAGACGGAGTCTCACTCTGTCACCGAGGCTAGAGTGCAGTGGCGTGATCTCGGCTCACTGCCAGCTCCACCCCCTGGATTCACGCCATTCTCCTGCTTCAGCCTCCCCAGTAGCTGCGACTACAGGCGCCCGCCACCATGCCCGGGTAATTTTTTATATATATATTTTTTTAAGAGACGGGGTTTCACCGTGTTAGCCAAGATGGAATTGTTCATATTTTTAGCAGAGACGGGGTTGTACCATGTTGGCTATGCTGTTCTCAAACTCCTGACCTCAGGTGATCCGCCCGCCTTGGCCTCCCAAAGTGCTGGGATTAGAGGCGTGAGCCACAGCACCCAGCCAAATTTGTATTTTTTTTTTTTTTTTTTCTGAGATGGAGTTTCACTCTTGTTGCCCAGGCTGGAGTGCAATGGTGCAATCTCGGCTCACTGCAACCTCCGCCTCCCAGGTTCAAGCAGTTCTCCTGTCTCAGCCTCCCAAATAGCTGGGATTACTGGCATGTGCCACCATGGCTGGTTAATTTTTTTTTCTATTTTTAGTGGACAGGGTTTCACCATGTTGGCCAGGCTGGTCTCAAACTCCTGACCTCAGGTGATCAGCCAACTTCAGCCTCCCAAAGTGCTGGGATTACAAGCGTGAGCCACTGAACCCAGCCCAAATTTGAATTTTATAATCGACACTTGTCACATTCAAAATTTTTGTAGGAGTCCATTTAAATTTTGTGTTTGCTGAACATGTATTATGTTAAATAGCCATTATATGACCTAGTACTAAAATCTGACTACTCCCTAAGCAAAATCTTAGAAATACCCTCATGTACAGCTTTCCTTTGTTTTCCTCTTAGATAATGTCAGATGTTTAAAACGCTAAGCATAACACCTTGACCACTCTGGAGTAGAGAAAAATCCAATGAAAAAGCAGAGGGCTGGGCGCGGTGGCTCACACCTGTAATCCCAGCACTTTGGGAGGCCGAGGTGGGTGGATCACCTGAGGTCAGGAGTTCGAGACCAGCCTGGCCAACATGGCGAAACCCTATCTCTACTAAAAATACAAAAATTAGCCAGGTGTGGTGGCACACACCAGTAGTCCCAGCTACTCAGGAGGCTGAGGCAGGAGAATCATTTGAACCCAAGAGGTGGAGGTTGCGGTGAGCCAAGATTGCACCACTGCAATCCACCCTGGGCAACAGAGACTCTGTCTCAAAAAAAAGAAAAAGCAGAATATAAAATTCTTAACAAACTGCCTACAATATATTTAGGCTGACACTTTTCCCTAATTCTGGTTATAAAATTAATATAAACTCTCATTTTACATTCTCTTCATTAAAAAGTCAGATAATGGCCAGGCACAGTGGCTCACACTTGTAATCCCAACATTTTGGAAGGCCAAGGTGGGAGGATCGCTTGAGCCCAGGAGTTGAAGACAAGCCTGGGCAATACAGTGAGACCCCATCTCTACAAATAATTTTTTAAAAATTAGCCAGGCGTGGTGGCATGCACCTGTGGGCCCAGCTACTCGGGAGGCTGAGGCAGAAGGACTGCCTGAGCCGAGGAGGTCGAGGCTGCAGTGACCCATGATCACACCACCATATCACAGCCTGGGTGACAGAGTGAGACTCCATTTCAAAATAAATAAATAAATAATTAAAAGTCGGATAAAATACATGCCTTGGCTGGGTGTCGTGGCTCACGTTATGTAATCCCAGCACTCTGGGAGGCCAAGGCAGGCCTATTGCTTGAGCTCAGTTCAAGACTAGACTGGGCAACATGGTGAAACCCCATCTCTACAAAAAATACAAAAGTTAACCAGGTGTGATGGGGCACGCCTGTAGTCCTCATACTCAGGAGGCTGAGGTGGGAGGATCACCTGAGCCTGGGGAGGTGGAGGCTGTAGTAAGCTGTGATTATGCCACTGCACTCCAGCTTGGGTGATAGAGTGAGACCTTGTCTCAAAAACAAACAAAAAAACATGCCACCAAACAAGTTTCTGGAAATATGACCACAGGCAGGGTGGAATCTGCTTTCACAGTAAATACTTACTGTGCGAGAAGCGCTGAGTGATTGGGGTTCCAGGATAAGGATAGGTACGGCTCTCCCACTGAATGTTTCCTTCCTGGACAGCCTTCATGAAACCATGATAACACTGATGGGCTACACCTAAGACAGAAAGAGCAAACCCTTCAGTCCAGACACTTAACTTATCCATCAAATTATTAAAACTGTGTCTATTACCTGTTTTTATCATTTTTATACAAGTTTCTTTTTTTTTTCTTTTTTTGAGATGGAGTCTCACTCTGTCGCCCAGGTTGGAGTGCAGTGGCACGATCTCGGCCACTGCAACCTCTGCCTCCTGGGTTCAAGTGATTCTCCTGCTTCAGCCTCCCGAGTAGCTGGGATTACAGGTACCTGCCACCATGCCCAGCTAATTTTATTTTTAGTAGAGATGGGGTTTCACCATCTTGGCCAGGCTGGTCTTGAACTCCTGACCTCGTGATCCACCTGCCTCGGCCTTCCAAAGTGCTGAGATTACAGGCATGAGCCACCGCGCCCAGCCTATAAGACAAGTTTCTTTGAGGAATTCCAAATTTATCTGATTTTCATTCAAAGAAAGGAAATACAATTTTAAAACTGAAAGGCAATCCTTCCATTTTATCAAAGTTCATGGAGGTTAGGTGACATTAAAAATTACAAAATTAGCTCACACTGTAACTCTAGTCCCTTTTATTTTATCTCATAAGGCAACATATCAAGATCATTGATATTATTTACTCCAAAGCAAAGGTGTTGGGGGATAATTTAGCCTTATGAAAGAGTATGATAAAACAATGTCTAGAACATAACAGGTGTTCAGTAAATATCTATAGTTGGAAACTATAATAAAGCATTCTCTGTCTTAAATATGGAGATAATAATTAGTTTACAATTGATTATGTTTTGTTTATTTATTTTTTTCTTTAGACAGGGTCTCGCTCTGCTACCCAGGCTGCAGTGGCATGCATGACTTTAGCTCACTGCAATCTCTGCCTCCCAGGCTCAAGCAATACTCCTACCTCTGCCTCCTGGGTAGCAGGCACTACAGGCAAACACCACCATGCCTGGCTAAAATGGATTATGAAATACATAACTCAGGAAAGTTTGTTTTCTTTTTTTTTCTTTTTGAGACAGAGTCTCGCTCTGTTGCCTAGGCTGGAGTGTAGTGGCTCACTGCAACCTCTGCCTCCCAGGTTCAAGTGATTCTCCTGCCTCAGCCTCCTCAGTAGCTGGGATTACAGACATGCATCACCATGCCCAGCTAATTTTTGTATTTTTAGTAGAGACAGGGTTTCACCACAGTGGCCAGGCTGGTCTCGAACTCCCCACCTCAGGCGATCCACCCGCCTAAGCCTCCCAAAATGTTGGGACTACAGGTATGAGCTACCATGCCCAACCAGGAAAAGTTTTCTAAAAGATGAGAGGCCAGGCGCAGTGGCTCACACCTGTAATCCCAGTGCTTTAGGAAGCCAAAGCAGAAGGATAGCTTGAAGCCAGGAGTTTGAGACCAGCCCGGGCAACATAGCAAGACCCCATTTCTCTGCAAAAAAATTAAAAATTAGCCAGGCATGGTGGTCTGCACTTGTAGTCCTAGCTACTTGGGAGGCAGAGGAGGGAGGATCACCTGTGCCCAGGAGTTCAAGGCAGCAGTGATCATGCCTATGATCATGCCATGCCACTGCACTCCAGCCTGGGCAAGACAGTGAGACCCTGTCTCTTAAAAAACAAGCAAAAAAAAAAAAGACGAACATATAACAATGGAGAGGAATTGATTATGGAATCATAACCTGTCTTGGTCCTAGAGCTAATAAGCAAGATTGCAGGATACAAGGTTAGCATACAACAATGAACAAGTAGAATTTGAAATTAAAACACATAATTTGAAATTAAAACACATATACATTCGCACCAAAAAATGAAATACTTAGATATAACAAAATACATACAAAATCTATATGAGGAAACCCATAAAACTATGATGAAAGAAATCAAAGAACTAAATAAAGAGATAGTCCATGTTCATGGATAGGATAAGAAGACTCAATATTGTCAAGATGTCAGTTCTTCCCAACTTGATCAACAGATTCAATGCAATCCTAGTCAAAACCCCAGCAAATTATTTTGTGAATATCGACAAACTGTTTCCACAGTTTATGTGGAGAAGCACAAGACCCAGAATAGCCAAGAAAACATGGAAGGAGGAGAACAAAGTCAGAAGATTGATACCACCTGACTTCAAGACTTACTATAAAAGCTACAGTAATCAAGACAGTGTGGTATTTGCAAATAATAAACAAATAAATCAATGGAACAGAATAGAGAGCCAAGAAATAGACCCATACAAATACAGTCCATTCATTTTTTTTTAATAGAGGTGGGGTCTCACTATATTGTCCAGACTGGTCTCAAACTCCTGAGCTCAAGTGTTCCTCCCATCTCAGCCTCTCAAAGTGTTGGAATTACAGGCGTGAGCCACTGTGTCCAGCCTTTACTGATCTTTGACAAAGAAGCAAAAGTAATGCAATGCAGAAAAGACAGCCTTTTGCCAGGCTCAGTGGTGTATGCCTGTGGTCCTAGCTACATGAGAAGCAAGGCAGGAGGATCGCTTGAGCCCAGGAGTTCGAGGCTGTAGTGCACAATGATCCCACTTGTGAACAGCCATTGAATTTCAGCCTGGGAAACACAGTGAGACCCATCTCTCTTTTTTTTTTTTTTTTTTTCCTTTAGACTGAGTCTCACTCTGTCACCTAGGATGGAGTGCAGTGGCACGATCCCCGTTCACCACAATCTCTGCCTCCTGAGCACAAGGGATCCTTCCACCTCAGCCTCCAAGTAGCTGGGACTACAGGCACACACCACTGCACTCAGCTAATTTCTGTTTTTTTGTTTGTTTGTTTCATAGAGATGGAGGTTGACCATGTTCTCAGGCTGGGAGACCCCATCTCTGTTTTTTTTTTTTTTTTTTTTTTGAGAAGGAGTCTCACTCTGCTGCCCAGGCTGGAGTGCGTGGTGCAATGTCAGCTGACTGCAACCTCCACCTCCCAGGTTCAAATGATTTCCCTGCCTCAGGTTCCCAAGTAGCTGAGATTACAGGCATGTGCCACCATGCCTAGCTAATTTTGCATTTTTAGTAGAGACGGGGTTTCACCATGTTGGCCAAGCTGGTCTCAAACTCCTGATCTCAAGTGATCCGCCCACCTCGGCCTCCCAAAATGCTGGGATTACAGGCGTGAGCCACCATGCCAGGCCGGGAGACCCCATCTCTTTTTTTTTTTTTTTTTTTTTTTTTTTTGAGACAGAGTGTCACTCTGTCACCTAGGCTGGAGTGCTGTGGCGCGATCTTGGCTTACTGCAACCTCCAACTCCCAGATTCAAGCGATTCTCCTGCCTCAGACTTCCAAGTAGCTGGGATTACAGGCACGCGCCACCATACCCAGCTAATTTTTTTTTTCTTTTTGTATTTTTAGTAGAGATGGGGTTTCACCACGTTGGCCAGGATGGTCTCAATCTCTTGACCTCATGATCCACCCACCTTGGCCTCCCAAAGTGCTGGGATTATAGGCATGAGCCACCGCGCCTGGCCAACCCCATCTCTTAAAGAAAAAAACCTTTTCCAAAAATGATGCTGAAATAAATTAAAATCTACATGCAAGAAAATGAATCTAGACATCTTCCATGAAAATGAACTAAAAATGAATCACAATCCTAAATGTAAAACATAAAACTCCTCGAAGATAACAGGAGAAAATCTAGAAGACCTTGACTTTGGGGATGACTTTTTATACACAGTACCAAAGGCATGATCCATGAAAGAAAGAATGGCCAGGCATGGTAGCTCACGCCTGTAATCCCAACACTTTGGGAGGCCAAGGTGGGAGGATAACTTGAGCCCAGGAGTTCAAGACCAGCCTGGGCAACACAAGGAGACCCTGTCTCGACAAAGTATTTTTTAAAACATTAGCCGGGTGTGGCCGGGTGCAGTGGCTCACACCTGTAATCCGAGCATTTTGGGAGGCCGAGGTGGGTGATCACTTGAAGTCAGGAGTTTGAGACCAGCCTGGTCAACATGGTAAAACCTACTCTACTAAAAAAGGTTTTGTTCTTACTAAAAACAAAAATTGGCCGAGCGCAGTGGCTCACGCCTGTAATCCCAGCACTTTGGGAGGCCAAGGCAGGCAGATCACAAGGTCAGGAGATCGAGACCATCCTGGCTAACACAGTGAAACCCCGTCTCTACTAAAAATAGAAAAAATTAGCCGGGTGTGGTGGTGGATGCCTGTAGTCCCAGCTACTCGGGAGGCTGAGGCAGGAGAATGGCGTGAACCCGGGAGAGGAGCTTGCAGTGAGCCGAGATCACACCACTGCACTCCAGCCTGGGCAACAGAGCAAGACTCCATCTCAAAAAAAAAAAAAAAAAATTAGCCGGGCGTAGTAGCATGCACCTGTAATCCCAGCTACTTGGGAGGTGGAAGCAGGAGAATTCCTTGAACCCAGGAGGTGGAGGTTGCAATGAGCTGAGACTGCGCCACTGAACTCCAGCCTGGGTGATGGAGTGAGGTTCCATCTGAAAAAAAAAAAGAAAAACAAATTAGCTGGGTATGGTGGCATGTGCTTGTAGTGCCAGCTATTTGGGAAGCTGAATTTGGAGGATTGCTTGAGCCTGGGAGGTTGAGTCTGCAGTGAGCCCTGATCACGCCACTAGACTCCAGCGTGGGTGACAAAGCAAGACCTTATCCCCTCCCCAAAATAACTGATAAGCCAGAATTCATTAAAACTAAAAGTTTCTGCTCTGTGAAAAATACTGTCAAGGGAATGAGAAGATAAGCCACAGACTGAGAGAAAGTATTTGCAAAAGACATATCTGATAAAAGACAGTTATATAGAATATCCAAAGAACTCTTAAAACTCAACAATATTAGGGCCAGGCGCGGTGGCTCACGTCTGTAATCCTAGCACTTTGGGCAGGTGCTCAAATAAATTAAATATTATTTATTTATTTATTTGGTGGATCACTTGACATCAGGAGTTCAAGACCAGCCTGGCCAACACAGTGAAACCCTGTCTCTGCTAAAAATACAAAAATTGCCAGGAAATTGCTTGAACCCAGAAGGTGGAGGTTGCAGTGAGCCAATATTGTGCCACTGCACTCCAGCCTGGGCAACAGAGCCGGACTCCATCTCAAAACAAACAAACAAACAAACAAAAAAACTCAACATTAATAAACAAACAACCCAATTAAAAAATGGGTCAACGCCGGGCACGGTGGCTCACGCCTGTAATCCCAACACTTTGGGGAATGGCATGAACCCAGGAGGCGGAGCTTGCAATAAGCCGAGATCGCGCCCCTGCACTCCAGCCTGGGCGACAGAGTGAGACTCCGTCTCAAAAAAAAAAAAAGGGGGTCAAAGGCCTGGCATGGTGGCTCATAATCCCAGGACTTTAGCAGGCCCAGGTGGTAAGATTGCTTGAGCCCAAGAGTTCAGGACCAGCATGAGCAACACAGTGAGACCCCATCTCTACAAAAATAAATAAATAAATACAAAAATTAGCTGGGTGTGGTGGTACACACTTGTAGTCCCAGCCACTTGGGAGGCTGAGGCGAGAGGATTGCTTGAGTCCAGGAAGTCAAGGCCGCAATGAGCTATGACCATGCCACTGTGCTCCAACATGGGTGACAGAGCAAGATCTTGTCTCAAAAAAAAAAAAAAAAATATATATATATATATATATATATACATATGTATATATAAAATAAAAAATGGGTCAAAGACCTGAAACAGACACTTCACCAAAGAAGGTATGTGGGTAACACATAAGCGCATGAAAATACGCTCCATATCATTTGTCATCAGGGAAATGCAAATTAAAATGAGATACCACTACACATCTATGAGAATGATGAAAATTCCAACTACTACTACAAATGCTGGTGAGAATGTGGAGCAAAAGGAACTCTCATTCACTGCTAGTGGGAGTACAAAATGGTTCAGCCACTTAAAACAGTTTGGCAGTTCCTTACAAAACTAACGATGCTCTTACCATATGATCCAGCAATTGTGCATCTTGGTATTTATTTACCCAAAGGAGCTGAAAACTTATGTCCACAGAAACACCTGCACATGGATGCTTACACCAGCTTTATTAATAATTGTAAAATCTTGGAAGCAACTAAGATGCCCTTTCAGTAAGTGAATGGGTAAACAAACTGTGGTGCATCTAGACATGAAATATTACTCAGCACTAACAAAAAAAAAGCTAAGAAATCATGAAAAGAAATGGAGGAAGCCGGGCACGGTGGCTCACACCTGTAATCCCAGCATTTTTGGAAGCTGAGGCAGGAAAATCATTTGAGCTTAGGAGTTTCACACCAGTCTAGGTAACAGCAAGATCCTGTCTCTATAAACATTTTTTTAAAAAAATTACACAGGCATGGTGGTGCACACCTGTGGTCCCAGCTATTCTGGTGGCTGAGGAGGGAAGATGACTTGAGCCCGGGAGACGGAGGTTGCAGTGAGCCAAAATCGCACCAATGCACTCCAGCCTGGGCAACAGAGCATGACTCTGTCTCAAAAAATAAGGAGGAAACTTAAATGCAAATATTACTAAGTGAAAGAAACCAATCGGAAAAGGCTGTATACTGTATGATTCCAACTATATGACCTTCTAGAAAAGGCAAAACTATGGAGACAGTAAAAAAATCAGTGATTGCCAGTGGTTGGTGGAAGGAAAGGATAAACAGGGAGAGTATACAGGATTTTTAGGGCAGTGAAGCTATTATGATATTATAACAGTGGATATGTGTCATTATACATTCATCCAAACCCATAGAATGCACAACACCAAGCATGAACATTAATGTAAACTATGGAATTTGGGTTTATGGAATGTTTCAGTATAGGTTCATCAATTTTAACACATGTACCACTCTGGTGGGGGATGTTGATAATGGGAGAGGCTATACATGTGTCAGGGTAGGGGATATATGAGAAATCGGTTTTGTTTTGCTTTTTTTTTTTTTTGAGACAGAATCTCTGTCTGTCATCCAGACTCGAGTGCAGTGGCTCGATCTTGGCACACTGCAACCTCTGCCTCCCAGGTTTGAACGTTTCTCCTGCCTCAGCCTCCCGAGTAGCTAGGACTACAGGCACCCACCACCATGCCTCACTAATTTTTGTATTTTTAGTAGAGATGAGGTTTCACCATGTTGACCAGGCTGGTCTTGAACTCTTGATCTCAGGCGATCCGCCCACGTTGGCCTCCCAAAGTGCTGGGATTACAGGCGTGTTCCACTGTGTCCGCTCAGAGGAATTTGTTTCTCCTACTCAATTTTGCTGTGAACCTAAAAGTGCTCTTTAAAAAAAAAGTCTACTAAAATTAAAAACAAACAAACAAAACTATCTTGTCAGTGACTTCTGCCAGAAAGATCGATCTAAGATTGTGAGTACTAGGGTAGGGTTCTTCTCTAAATAAAAATAAAAAAAAAAGAAAGAAAAGAAGAAAGAGAGAGAAAGAAAGAAAGAGAAAAGAAAACAAAGAAAGAAAGAAAGAAAGAAAGAAAGAAAGAAAGAAAGAAAGAAAGAGAAAAGAAAGAAAACCAAAATAAGACTGCCAAAGAAAACCTAAGGATAAATTCATATATTTGATTAAATCACAGTCCCTTACCTGTGGTTTTCCTCCCTTTATTTGAGAAGTGAAACCATGTATTTCCACATTGCAGGGAGCCAATCTCTCCTGAAGAGCCCATCAACTCAGAATATAGAAGCAGGCTGTGTGTGCCAGTATTGGCAGTTATAATCAAATGAGCACAGGGCCAACAGAGCAGTTTCAATACAGCTGGTTCTTAGCCCTCTAGGTGGACTTTGGGAGTTGACAAGGACTCCATGAGAACCACCTTGATGCAAGGAAAACATTTTAAAACTGATTGATTTTGATCTAAAGATTGTTCTCTGTTATATCTCTGGCTGCCTTGTTCCCCCAGGAAAGAACACATTGAGACAACCCTCGCTTGATAAAAAATGACTCCACTTGATTGATCATCTTCAAACAAAAAATGGGCCCTTTCCACTTAAGATGCAATGAAGCCACTAACTGCTTTCTGCTAATTAAAAATACAGCATGTCTAGCACCTAAACATTTAGCAAAAAGTTGAAATCTTGATTAGGAAAAGGATGAAAAAAAGGACCAGAGTCTTGCTCTGTCGCCCAGGCTGGAGTCCAGTGGCGTGATCTTGGCTCACTGCAACCTCTGCCTCCTGGGTTCAAGCAATTCTCTTGCCTCAGCCTCCCGAGTAGCTGGGATTAGGTGCCCACCACCACACCTGGCTTATTTTTGTATTTTTAGTAGAGACAGGGTTTCACCATGTTGGCCAGGCTGGTCTCGAACTTGACCTCAGGTGACCCACCTGCCTTGGCCTCGCAAAGTGCTGGGATTACTGGTGTGAGCCACCACACCCGGCCAAGAAACATATTTTAAAAAGTAAAAGATGTATATAGGGTCTTTGCTGTTTAGAGATAAAATCAAGTGACAAATGTTTTCAAGAAAGCAGTTGCTAAAAGTAGCTACTCAGAGACAATCTGTAGCCTTAATAAGAGCATGGACTTTAAAGCCAGATCGCCTGAACGTGAATCTTTAATCCTGCATTTACTATCCGTGTAAATAAGTTAACTGTGTTTCACTCAGTTCTGTCATCTATAAAATGCAGGATCTTCTAGTCAGAGTTTGCTGTGAGAATGTAAAGCAGTTACAATAGTGCTTGACACGTGATAAAAGCTATGTTCACATTGGCTATTACTATTATCCCATATCCATTTCTATTTTGCCCATTCAAGAACAATACAATTAATCCATTTGGGACGCTGAGGCGGGCGGATCACGAGGTCAGGAGATTGAGACTATTCTGGCTAACACAGTGAAACCCCGTCTCTAGTAAAAATACAAAAAATCAGCCGGGCGTGGTGGCAGGCGCCTGTAGTCCCAGCTACTCTGGAGGCTGAGGCAGGTGAATAACATGACCCCGGGAGGCAGAGCTTGCAGTGAGCCGAGATTGCGCCACTGCACTCCAGCCTGGGCGACAGAGTGAGACTCCGTCTGAAAAAAAAAAAAAGAAAAGAACAATACAATTAACCAGATCAACTCTAAGAATATGAAGCTTTTAAAAACAATCCTCATTTTAAAATGCAAATGGGATTAGATACTTCAGTATTCAAGCTGTTCATTAAACTAACCAGGGTAAGAAAGAAAACCGGGTAGTATCGTCTAATGCTAGATTTTATAACCATAATACATTTAAGGGAGGAAAAAAACTAAATTTGGAGTCTAAAAATAAATCAGTGAAATTTGAAATCAATAAATAAACCTTTCTCCTATCCACAGTACCTTTGATAAGTCGATACCACTGTTTGCAGACAAGGGCCGCAGTTTTGTGTTCCTGATACGGTGAGAGAAAGGACAGGATATACTCCAAAACCTCTTCTGGCAGCTCCGACATGGACCTATTATGTCTAGTCTCCTCAGCCTCCAATACTGGGTGGGGCTCCTCATCTTGATCCATTGTCCCTTCCAGCACAGTTTCTTCCTGGTCCACAGCCATGAAACTGTCATCTTCACTGTCCGAGGAGCTGGCCATGACATTCCACTCAACAGCTGTAATAGGTAAAACATAAATATCAGTATTCCACTGAAAGCAGCTCAAAAACAATTCAGGCATGTACATCCAAGCTCTTTGTAATTTCGTTTCCACTCTCAGTGTGAAATCTGCTCTTCAGCACTTTCCAATACCACTTGTGAGCCACCTTAATTCGACAGGTACAGCTCAAATACCAAGCCCATCCCCAAAGGCTTTTGATTACATTTTTTCTCTTCACTGAAAACCAGAGTGGCAGCCAAGTTCTGGTATAATCGTAAACCAGAAAACTTGTTCTCCAACAATTCTTCTAACTCAAGGATCTGACTGACCGACAGCAAAGGGAAGAGCAACTAGCCTCCTTGGCCAGTAACAATGATCTAAGACCTCAAATTTTGAAGGAAAAACTAACTCTGGGTCTTGCAAAAAGTAATAACATTCTGAGAATATGGGTTAAGAAATAACCGTTTTTCGACCAGGCATGGTGGCTCAAACCTGTAATCCCAGCACTTTGGGAGACCGAGGCGGGCAGATCACCTGAAGTTGGGAGTTTGAGACCAGCCTGACAAACATGGAGAAACCCCGTCTCTACTAAAAATTGAAAATTAGCTGGGCATGGTGGCACATGCCTGTAATCCCAGCTACTCGGGAGGCTGAGGCAGGAGAATCACTTGAACCTGGGAGGCAGAGTTGCAGTGAGCCGAGATCATGCCACTGCACTCCAGCCTGGGCAACAAGAGCAAACCTCCATCTCAAAAAAAAAAAAAAAAAAGAAAGAAAGAAAAGAAAGAACAGTTTTTCTAAACTTTTATGCAAGACGATTCACTTAACCTTTTTCCTGTTTGCCCGGAGAATACTTGCCAGCGGTGCCTGCAACTGTGGTGTTTACCCCGAGATAACTTTGCCACAAAATATCTCTTTTGTTACTGTTTTCACATCGCTCTAGTACATCAACTTTAGAAACAAAAGACATCATTCTATTTATAGCATTCTGTTTTTAATAGTGGTTATTTCCACTTACAAAATATAGTAGTTCTTGGTTGGGTGCAGTGGCTCACACCTGTAGTCCCAGCACTTTGGGATTCTGAGGCCGGCAGATCACCTTAGGTCAGGAGTTCGAGACCAGCGTGGGCAACATGGCGAAATCCCATCTCTACTAAAATACAAAAATTAGCCAGGTGTAGTGGCGCGTGCCTGTAATCCCAGCTACTCAGGAGGCTGAGGCAGGAGAACTGCTTGAACCTGGGAGACAGAGGTTGCAGTGAGTCGAGATCATGCCACTGCACTCCAGCCTGGGACACAGAGAAAGACTCTCAAAAAAAAAAAAAAAAAAAAAAAAGATAGTAAATGTTCCAAGAATAGACTTCACTTGCTAAAATACCAAATACAAGGCAGTATTTACAATAGAAAATATGAATCATTAAGAGATCCAGGCAGTAAAAAACTAGAACAACATGAATGTCTATCAACAACAGAGCAAATAAATTGTGGTACATTCGCCATGAAATATAGAGCAAAGAACCACAGGTTATATACATATAAATAAATCTCTCAAACATAATGTTAAGCAAAAGAAGATAGAAGGCCGGATGCAGTGGCTCACGCCTGTAATCCCAACACTTTGGGAGGCTGAGGCGGGCGGATCACCTGAGGTCAGGAGTTCAAAACCAGCCTGACCAACATGGTGAAACTCCGTCTCTACTAAAAAATACAAAAATTAGGCCGGGCGCAGTGGCTCACACCCGTAATCCCAGCACTTTGGGAGGCTAAGGTAGGCAGATCATCTGAGGTCAGGAGTTCAAGACCAGCCTGGCCAACACAGTGAAACTCCATCTCTACTAAAAATGCAAAAATTAGCTGGGCGTGGTAGCGTATGCCTGCAGTCCCAGCTACTAGGGAGGTTAAGGCATGAAAATCACTTGAACCCAGGAGGTGGAGGTTGCAGTGAGCAGAGATCACTCCGCACTCCAGCCTGGGCAATAGAGTGAGATCGTCTCAACAAACAAACAAACAAACAAAAATCCAAAACTTAGCCAGGCTTGGTGATGCATGTGCCTGTAATCCCAGTTACTTGGGAGGATGAGGCAGGAGAATCACTTGAACCTGGGATGCAGAGGTTGCAGTTAGCCAAGACTGGCCACTGCACTCCAGCCTAGACAATACAGCAAGACTCCATCTCAAACAAGCAAACAAACAAACAAACAAACAAACAGAAGACAGAAGAATGGGCAGGCACAGTGGCTCATGCCTATAATCCCAACACTTTAGTAAGCCAAAACAGGAGGATCATTTGAGGTCAGGAATTTGAGACCAGCCTGGGCAACAAAGTGAGACACCATCTCTACAAAAAAATAATTAACCGGGTGTGCTGGCACACATCTGTGGTCCCAGCTACCCAGGAGGCTGAGCAGGAGGATCACTTGAGCCCAAGAGTTTGAGGCTACAGGAAGCCATGACCACACCACTGGACTCCAGCCTGGGCAACCGAGTTAGACCATGTCTCGAAGAAAAAAAAAAAAAGAAGAAGAAGAATATATACTATACGATTACAATTATATCAAGTTCAAAACGAGGCAAAATTTATGCTGTTACAAGTGAGGTATCTGAGGTACTAGTAAAGTTCTGTTTCCTGATTGGGTACTGGTTACACAGATGTTTTTTGTTTGTAAAAAATTTACTGAGCTGAATACTCACGCACTTCTCTAAAGTTTGTCAAAATACTGGCCGGGTGCAGTGGCTCATGCTGTAATCCCAGAACTTTGGGAGGCCTAGGCGGGTGGATCACCTGAGGTCAAGAGTTCGAGACCAGCATGGCCAGCATGGTGAAACCCGTCTCTACTAAAAACACAAAAATTAGTTGGGTGTGGTGGCACACACCTGTAATCCCAGCTACTCGGGAGGCTGAGGCAGGAGAATCGCTTGAACCCAGGAGGCAGACGTTGCAGTGAGCTGAGGTCGCTCCACTGCACTCCAGCCTGGGCGACAGAGCAAGACTCCGTCTTAAATAAATAAATAAAGTTGCCAAAATAAGCCATTATCAGCAGTTACTTCTAGTGGGAATATTATTAATAATTTTAAAAATGTCTTGCTTCTGCTTATCTGTATTTCCTAAATTTTCTACAAAGAAAGCATACACATAGAGGCAGGCATCTCATTTATACTCCTATGACATTATACACAAAGTCTGAGGTAAAACCAGTAAAATGAAGGAAATAGGGTGTTTTATGTAAGAACTGTGTTGCAGATTAGATTCTCCAGGAAGCAGATGCTAGACAGAATTCAGAATGGAAAAAGTTTAATGGGAAGTAACTTCTGGAAGAAGTGCAGAAGCAGCAGGATTGGGCAAGAGGAGCCATCAGACCACAATGCAGACCTGACAAAGCCTGTCCAACAGAGAGCTCGGGAGCAAAGACGGCCACTCAGGGGAATCTAGTACTGGGCAGAAAGGGCAAGGCTCTAAATCACTGCTTCGCTCAACCACTGGCAGAAGGCTCCAAAGCTGAGGCAGACCCTAAAGGAGCTAACAGCTTCAGCCAGCCTCCTTACAGATGGACAGTAAGTCCTTTTGAAGGGATAATTTTATTATTTTTTAATACATTTATTTCTCTTGCTCCACACACTCTACCCAGACCATTTACTATGCCACCCCACTTTACAAATTTCCAGCATTCCCTCTAGCACTGATGAAAGGAAGAATAAGAAGGGTCTTCCCAAAATTGGGAAAAGCTGGATTTGGCGGGGGGTGGGGAAGGAAACGAAGAGTAATCTCGAAATATACTTTGGGGCTTTGAGAAAGATCTGAAATGTTCCAAAAAGTGACAGACCGGGGAGAGCAGAGAACAGAAACCTCCTACCTCATCTCTACCACTGCAGTAATTCATGCACTAATTATGTGTAACATCTTTTAAAACTGGAAGAATCACATTAAGGAAAATGAAAACATGAACTCATAAAATTGCTTCCCAGATAATTTATCTACCAAACTGGCTGAAAGCTTATGATACTACAAATGTTTCCTAGCAAAGTGGCTATTAGAATCTTAGTGATAATCAGCAAATTGGTGGCTACTTGGAAGGACTGGAGTGGCTTAAGTCCACCTGGTGGTATGGGGGAAAGGCACTGACAGTGAGAAAGGAGCAATTCCCTTCATTCCCCAAAAGCAGAGAAGAGTATTATAATGGGTTTCCTGAAAACTGTATTAGAAAAAGGATCCTAGGCCAGGTGTGGTGGCTCACGCCTGTAATCCCAGCACTTTGGGAAGCTTAGGCAGGCGGATCACGAGCTCGGGAGTTCGAGACCAGCCTGGCCAATATGGTGAAACTCCGTCTCTACTAAAAATACAAAAATTAGCCGGGCATGGTGCCGTGCACCTGTAGTCCCAGCTACTCGGGAGGCTAAGGCAGGAGAATCACTTGAACCTGGGAGGCAGAGGTTGCAGTGAGCCGAGATTGCGCCACTGCCCTCTAGCCTGGGCAACAGAGTGAGACTCCATCTTAAAAAAAAAAAGAAAAAGAAAAAGAAAAAGGATCCTAGATAGTTATGCCTCTTTCCATGCTCACGTGGGTAAGGTGTTTTTCAACATGACTGACTCGCTAGAGGGAGGCCTTTCAAACAACAGAGACCTCCATTTCCAGCCCAAATTCCTATCCTAAAACGTACAGTCGCCGAGCATGGTGGCTCACGCGTGTAATCCCAGCACTCTGGAAGGCCAAGGCAGGCAGATCACCTGAGGTCAGGAGTTCAAGACCAGCCTGGCTAACATGGTGAAACCCCGTCTCTACTAAAAATACAAAAAACTAGCTGGGCGTGGTGGCACATGCCTGTAATCCCAGCTACTCGGGAGGCTGAGGCAGGAGAATCACTTGAACTGGAGAGGTGGAAGTTGCAGTAAGCCGAGATCATGCCACCGCACTCTAGCCTGGGCAACAAGAGCAAACTCCATGTCAAAAAAAAAAAAAAAAAAATCAAACCATGCCTTTTATTACTGGAAAAAATATCACTTCCCATAGTCCCTCTTACTTGTTCCCTTATATATTATCATTTCCTACTGGCTAACTTCACTGATTTATTAACTTTCATATATATTTTTTGTTTTATTATTTTTTTGAGATAGGGTCTCACTCTGTCACCCAGGCTGGAGTGAAGTGGCACGATCTGAGCTCACTGCAACCTCTGCCTCCCAGGTTCAAGTGATTCTCCCACCTCAGCCTCCCAAGTAGCTGGCGCACATCACTATGCCCAGCTAATTTTTTTTTTTTTTGAGATGGGAGTCTCGCTCTGTGCCCCAGACTGGAGTGCAGTGGCATGATCAAATTTTTGTATTTTTGGTAGAAACAGGGTTTCACCATGTTAGCCAGGCTGGTCTCAAACTCCCGACCTCAAGTAATCCACCGTGCCCAGCCTAACTTTCTTATATTTTTAACCTCCACTCAGCTCTAAATTCACCAAGGAAAAGAGCCCAAAGAAATGGATTCCTTGACTTTGGCTGCATGGTTGACATTTAAATTAAATAGTTGCTCCCTTGCACAACATTTTGACAGACTATAAGCCTAAGGTCTGTTGCAGAACAAAATGAATCAATGGAGGCTGCAAAAGTTTATTTACATTACTATTTTTCCCAATCAGAATAAATTTGATTCAATAAAACAACTCATTCTCTTTCCAAATTGTCTTAAAATACAATAGCAAGCCAACATAAAGAGACTCATACTGCTGTAATAGCCAATGTCAAGCAATTTCCACCATTCAACTGTTACACCCTCCACAAAAACATCAAACCCCATACCTTTGAGGGCATGTTTGCTAACTTGGCCCTAGCCACAGATGCCAAGGAGAACACACATGGGTGAGCTCAGATGCAATTCCTCTGTAATTACATGCCCAACACCAATTTGCATAGCCCTTCTTTTTCACTTCCATGATTAGGTAATAAAATCATCACTCATATTCCCCCAAGGATATAGAGGCATTTTGAAACTCTGAGTTTTTCTTGTTTTCATGCCAAAAGAAGCCCTACAAACTTTTCACACGTAAGCATACTAACTCAATGAATGTAATTTTCATGAAACTGTTTAAAAGAAGTCCTTCTCACCCTTCACATTTGTGTTACACCTTCTCAGCTTCCCCAACGTGACTGAATGAATGTACTGGAATCTGAACTCCCTGGAGGCAGGACCATTGGCCTAGGCATCTTTGTCTTCTTAGTACTAGGCATTCAAATGAGTGTAAGGTTTATTGACATGTCTACTCAGAACACCTTTGTGCTGAGCTCGCAAGGGTTTTTTTTTTTTTTTTAAAGATAGGGTTCTGCTCTGTCGCCCAGGCTAGAGTGCAGTGGCACAATTATAGTTCACTGCAGCCTTGAACTCCTAGGCTCAAGTGATCCTCCTGTCCCAATGTTCCAAAGTGCTGGGAATACAGGTATAAGTCACTGTGCCCAGTAGTTATTTTATAATAGAAATTACATCATTAGGCCAGGCGTGGTGGCTCACGCCTGTAATCCCAGCAATTTGGGAGTCCGAGGTGGGTGGATCACCTGAGGACGGGAGCTCAAGACCAGCCTAGCCAACATGGCGAAACCCTGTCTCTACTAAAAACACCAAAAATTAGTCAGGCGTGGTGGCAGGCGCCTGTAATCCCAGCTACCTGGGACATGTAAAAAAAATTACATCATTAGTATATCCAGAAAATGGTAGATCCTACCTTTATATGTTACTAGATGTTGTCAAAATATTTTATTGGTCAGAATTAATACAAATCTCTGGTTTATGGAATTTTGTACCTTTTAAGGTATATATACTGGCCTGAGAGTCTGCTGCCAGAGAGGAAACTATTTATTTGGCCCAGTAGTATCTTTTTCTTCCGAAAAACTACTATACTAGGCCAGGCGTGATGGCTCACACCTGTAATCCCAGCACTTTGGGAGGCTGAGGTGGGTGGATCATGAGGTCAGGAGTTCAAGACCAGCCTGACCAACATGGGGAAACCCCGTCTCTACTAAAAATACAAAAATTAGCTGGGCGTGCAGGCGCATGCCTGTAATCCCAGCTACTCAGGAGGCTGAGGCAGGAGAATTGCTTGAACCTGGGAGGCGGAGGTTGCAGTGAGCTGAGATCGCACCACTGTACTCCAGCCTGGGCAACAGAGCGAGACTCTGTCTCAAAATACAAAAAAAATTTTAAAAACTAAAAAAAAAACTATGCTACATATAACTAAACACAAATCAGTTTCTAAAGTCTGAATGCCTTACCCTTCTGAGGTATAAATTAAGGTTAAGATTTTGAGACTGGAAGATGTGGCCACTGTTTCTAGCTTTAATGCTGTGAAACCTAGCATAAGTCACACAGAGTAAGAAACAAAAACCTCCCTAAGTAATGAAAGTTCCCCACTTACTTCAGGAAGATTTTGTAAAGATAGTAGATATCAAGAAACTACTCTGAATTCATTGGAGAAAATCCGTAACCTAGAAAGAATCAACTCAAAAGAATTTCAACATGGGAATGAAACTGCTATGCATTTAAAAGCCATTGCCAGATTTGAGGGCAATATTTGATTAGTTTTTTGCCTTTGGTTTCTATTCAACTAGACATCTGACAATCCTCTTGTGGTAAACACATCTTTATTAAAGTTGGAATACACTTCATTTACCTAAAAGGAAGCTGAACATTTAAAATGCAATCAAACGTATTTGTCACAAATTCAAAAGGTTAAAAAATGTAATTGGCCAGGCACAGTGGCTCACGCCTGTAATCCCAGCACTTTGGGAGGCCAAGGCGGAGGAATCACAAGGTCAGGAGTTTGAGACCAGCCTGGCCAACATGGTGAAACCCCATCTCTACTAAAAATACAAAAAATTAGCTGGGCGTGGTGGTGGGCACCTGTAATCCCAGCTACTCGGGAGGCTGAGGCCAGAGAATCGCTTGAACCTGGGAGGCAGAGGTTGCAGTAAGCCAAGATCGTGCCACTGTACTCCAGCCCAGGTGACAGTGCGAGACTCCGTCTCAAAAACAAACAAACAAACAAAAAAAGTAATTAAGGGAACTTCTTACCGATAGATAATAAAATAAAGGACTGAGACCTAACTAAAGAATAAGGGACAGGGCCGGGCGCAGTGGCTCACGCCTGTAATCCCAGCACTTTGGGAGGCTGAGGTGCGCGGATCTTTTGAGGTCAGGAGTTCGAGACCAGCCTGGCCAATATGGTGAGACCCCTACTAAAAACAAAAATTAGCCAGGCGTGGTGGTGTGCACCTGTAATCCCAGCTACTTAGGAGGCTGAGGCAGGAGAATCCCTTGAACCCAGGAGGCGGAGATTGCAGTGAGCCGAGATCGTACCACTGCACTCCAAGGTGGGTGAGGTGACAAAGCAAGACTCTGTCTCAAAAAAAAAAAAAAAAAAAAAAAAGAATAAGGGACAAGAAGGAGGAGCAGAGAAAAATAAAAAGAAGAAGGGACTGGACTGAATGGAGGAACCCACAGTCATCCCACAGCATGAGGGCTTCTGAGGCTTTAGGGACAAAGCAGCAACCCTGAACAGATGTCATTATGAACTCATAAAGTGAACCACTTCAGCAGCACTAATGTAGGCTAAGTACTAAATGCTACTCTTGAAAATATACTGTTGAATGAGAGATTTAAAGAAGATCATAAAGTGATTCAATCTAAGACAATAAGCCTTCTTATGAATATACCACGGTTATCATTTTATCAACTCAAATGAAAAAGTTATAGAAAGTAGAAAAAGGATAAAATAAAAAATTCTACCTTACTCCGTGCATTCAACAAATATCAATGAAACATTTGCTATATGTAAAAATACCGTGCTTATTGCAAGCTTGACTGCTATCAAATATTAAAAACACAAAAAGAAAAAATATATTATGCTTAGATCCCACACAGGGTACAAAAAGAAGATATGTCACTATTTGCTGTCAAACAGATGGACCCACTAAGGGCCAAGGACACATAAATTAATAATACCAACACAGAACATTATATAATAAATGACCTATGAGACAAAACAAGAAGCCTTAACAGTTCAAGAAAGAAAGAGATGGCTTCTAACTAGTATAAGGAAGGTTCACAGACAAGCATTTCAGCTGAGCTCTAAAGACTAGGTAGAAGCCAAGTGTGGTGACTCATGCCTGTAATCCAAGCACTTTGGGAAGCCAAAGCAGGCAGAAAACTTGAGTCCAGGAATTTGAGACCAGCCTGGGCAACATGACAAAACCCTTCTCTACAAAAAATACAAAAATTAGTTGGCCATGGTGGCGCACACCTGTAGTCCCAGCTACAGGGGGTCTGAGGTGCGAGCATCGCTTGAGCCCAGGAGTTAGATGCTGCAGTGAGCCAAGATCGCGCAACTACACTCTAGCCTGGGTGACACAGCAAGACTCCGTTTCAAAAAATCAAAAAACAACAACAAAAATAAAGAAGAGGTAGAATTTCAGAGAATAAAATTGGGGAAGGTGAAGGGATTAAACATTGTCAAATTATTGTAACTTAAACTGATATCCTTTGCCACTTACAGAATTACCTTTAGAGCTGGGTGCAGTGGCTCACACCAGTAAACCCAACACTTTGAGAGGCCAAAACAGGCAGATTGCTTGAGCCCAGGAGTTCGTGACCAGCCAAAGCAACAAAGTGAGACCCTGTCTCTATAAAAAATACACAAGTTAGCCAGGCATGGTAGTGCAAACCTGTTGTCCCAGCTACTTGGGAGGCTGAGGTGGGAGGATCTCTTGAGCCCGAGAGGTGGAGGCTGCAGTGAGCCAATATCATGCCACTGCACTCCAGCTTGGGCAACAGAGCAAGACTCTGTCCCAAAACAACAACAACAAAACAGAATTACCTTTAAGACAAAACAAAACTAAACTAAAAAACACATTTTTTACCCAATTGTTTTTAAGTACACAGTTTAATATTTTAAATTCTACATTAACGAAGCATATAATCTAGAGACTCCTTATTATTGACAGTCTATGTTTTGACCAAAAAAAAAGCCTAGAAATAGAATAATTTGGCATAACCATTGTTGCTATTAGCAAACTGTGAGCTATTATGACAAATTCAGGAAGCTATTTTATAAAGCATACCAAATTTCATAACAGATACCAGCTGCAGTTTTTAAAAATGGTGAACTCATTAGTGTGCTACCCAATTAAGATTCCCTTAATAAAACAGAAAAAATTTAAAAATGGAAAAATAAAGTATTCCACAAACTACCCATCAATATACTTTCTTTTTTTTGTTGTTTTGTTTTTGAGAGAGTCTGGCTTTGTCACCTAGGCTGGAGTGCAGTGAACTCACTCGAGCGATTCTCCTACCTCAGCCTCCAGAGTAGCTGGGATTATAGGCATGCGTCACCACGCCCAACTAATTTTTGTATTTTTAGTAAAGACAGGGTTTCACCATGCTGGCCAGGGTGGTCTCAAACTCCTGACCTCAGGTGATCTGCCCACCTCGGTCTCCTAGAGTGCTGGGATTACAGGCGTGAGCCACCACACCTGGCCGAAAATTTCATATGGAGAACCATACGTTTTAAATTCAGCAAAATGCTTTATTTGGTAGAAAGGTAAAATGGAACTTCAGTGCCCAAATTTGTGTGTGTGTGTGTGTGTGTGTGTGTGTGTGTGTCTGTGTGTGTCTGTGTGTGTTTTGAGATGGAATTTCGCTCTTGTTGCCCAGGCTGGAGTGCAATGGCACGATCTCGGCTCACTGCAACCTCCACCTCCTGAGTTCAAGCGATTCTCCTGCCTCAGCCTCCCAAGTAGCTGGGATTACAGGCATGCACCAGCATGCCCGGCTAATTTTGTATTTTTTCGCAAAGACGGGGTTTCTCCATGTTGGTCAGGCTGGTCTCGAACTCCCGACCTCAGGTGATCCATCTGCCTGGGCCTCCCAAAGTGCTGGGATTACAGGCATGAGCCACCGTGCCCAGCCTCTTTATTGTTAATACAACTACTCGAGTTTTAAAATTTCTTCTTGAGGCCAGGTGCAGTAGTTCATGCCTGTAATCCCAGCACTTTGGGAGGCCAAGGCAAGTGGATCACTTGAGTTCAGGAGTTCAAGACCAGCCTGGGCAACATGGTCAAACTCCATCTCTACAAAAAATACAAAAATTAGTGGGGTGTGGTGGTGCACACTTGTAGTCTCAGCTACTCAGGAGGCCGAAGTGGGAGGATCACTTGAGCCCAGGAGGTAGAGGTTGCAGTGAGCCAAGATCACACCACTGTATTGCAACCTGGGCAACAGAACCAAACCCTGTCTCAAAAAAAAAAAAAAAAAGAAAAAAATTATTCTTGAGTTAATTCTGATAGGTGATGTTTTTTCTAGGATTTATAAGTCATCTAAAACACGTAAGCCAGAATCAACTACACCTTTCATTACTCACATAATTTAAACAAACAACTAATAAAACATGGAGATGAGCTACATAAATGTCATCTAAGTAATGGCTAAAGGCCCTTAAACAAGATAGGTCTGCTCTGAAAACATTCAGTTTACTATGAACCATTTAATCTTCCTAATCCCAAAAGGTGTCAACCAGGAAGCCTGCTCACTTACACAGCACCATCTCTCTCTCACCATCTCTCTCTATGACCCACTTCTAAATGTCATTTTAACTTCCTTTTTTCCCCATTAGAGTGTACACTACTTGAGAGCAGAGACTAAGCCATATTATCTTTGTACATCTGGCACATTAGTAGACACCTTAACAATATCGGTACTTTTTTGATGAAGATCATAAAGTACCTTACTGACGAGGGATGTTAATGACTCACTTACGGTTGCAAAGTATACTCTTGAGGTGTTCAGTGTTGAAAGACTTCACTGAACCGTACTTTCACATGGCCTTGCTTATGACCAAAAGCACAAAGCCATCTGTAAGACAGTTCATCTTAGTTGGGAGTAGAGCATAAAATGTATTTTTCTTCACTGACGAATTAACTGAAATAAAAACAAATCTTAAGCAAAGGCATAATTACACTTTTATGTAAATGTGCAATACTGTCAGAAGCCTAGCTGAAAAACCAAAAAGTAAAACAAAACAAAAATGCTAACTTTTAATCGTGGTAAGTCCCAGAAGAAAAACATTAAAAGGAGTTCAAAATTAGAAAGATAAATAGATTCAGAGTTAAAGATAGAGCCTAAACTATTTTGCCCAAACCATTCAATTCTTTAAAGCATTTTAAAATCCAAGTAACACAGAAAAGTGACCATCCTAAGAGTAGAGCTTGATGAATTACTGCAAAGTAAACACAATCTCATTTATTTTAAGATGGGAAAGTTTTTGTTTTGTTTTTTAAGACGGAGTCTCGCTCTGTTGCCCAGGCTGGAGTGCAATGGTGCAATCTCTGCTCACTGCAACCTCTGCCTCCAGGTTCAAGCGATTCTCTCACCTCTGCCTCCCAAGTAGCTGGGACTACAGGCACACACCACCACACCCAGCTAATTTTCGTATTTTAGTAGAGACTGGGTTTCACCATGTTGGCCAGGCTGGTCTCAAACTCCTGACCTCAAGTGATCCGCCCACCTTGGTCTCCCAAAGTGCTGGGATTACGTGTGTGACCCACTTTGCCCAGCCAGGACAGTCTGAAACAATCAAAATGATAGACATATCCAAGTCACGCAGCTTATACTGACAAGTGCCACTGTGAGAAATTCCAAGGTTTTCTATAAAACTGGTAAGACTCAAAGCTCACAACCCACATTTGTCAAAACCCACAGCATCAAAGAGTGAAATTTAATACATGTAAATTTTTAAAAAAAACCACTTACTCAGGAGGCTGGGGGATCCTAGATTATGATAAAACAATCCAACTATATTACAAATATATGAGACCACCTTGGGTGGAGGAAAAGGTGTAACCTAAGTAACTTTGGAAATAAGGGGCATCTATAAAACTAAAGGCAAAAGAAACTTCATATAAGCACTAGTCTCTACTTGACAAAGTTGTTTCTCACAAAAGCAGAGGCTAACAATACTAATCTAGCTATACATGTATATTGGCATTGAACGATTAAGTAAATAGTTGGCAGATGGCTAGACCAAATTTTCTTATTGGAGTGGGAATTTACAAATAGTCAAGGAAGGAAGATAGAATGATCCTGTGATAATGGATTAGAGTGGGAGACAGGATGAACTCATGTTTAAATAGATACAGATGGTTACATATAAATATTTACAATTGGTGCATAATATACACACACACACATATATACATGTGTTAGTATACACTCATCTACCACCTTGTTCTGTTAACTGCAAGGGCCTACAAGTAATAAGCATACCTAGCACCCAGAAGTTCTTTCTAATACCGTTCTCCAATAAAAGAAACCAGGGCTCCTTGGTGAAACGGCAGAATCTAGGAGGACAGGAAATATATAAGATGAGCCTGGAGAATCCAGTACTGCCACAAAGTAAGGAAGTGCCCTAAAAACAAAACAAAAGAAAATTGATGGGATTGGCCGGGTGCGGTGGCTCACGCCTGTAATCCCAGCACTTTGGGAGGCTGAGGCGGGTGAATCACAAGGTCAGGGGTTCGAGACAAGCCTGACCAACATGGTGAAACCCCATCTCTACTAAAAATACAAAAATTAGCTGGCCATGGTGGCGGGTGCCTGTAATCCCAGCTACTCAGGAGGCTGAGGCACGAGAATTGCTTGAACCCAGGAGGCGGAGGTTGCAGTGAGCTGAGATTGTGCCACTGCACTCCAGCCTGGGCAACAGAGTGAGACTCTGTCTCAAAAAAAAAAAAAAAAAAAAGAAAATTGATGGGATTGTGTAAAAGGGGCAAAGGAGGCAGATGAAAGAGCTCCTGATGGTCAAAACTGAAACAACTGGGCCATAAAATAAATTGGTATTGGATCAAAACCCCAAGTACAGGCCAGGTGCTGTGGTTCATGCCTGTAATCCTAGCACTTTGGGAGACTGAGGCGGGTGGAGTGCCTGAACTCAGGAGTTCGAGATCAGCCTGGGCAACAGGGTGAAACCCCGTTTCTACTAAAATACAAAAAATTAGCCAGGCGTGGCGGTGTGCGCCTGTAGTCCCAGCTACTTGGGAGGCTGAGGCAAGAGAACTGCTAGAACCAAAGAGGCAGAGGTTGCAGTGAGCCAAGATCGCACCACTGCACTCCAGCCTGGGAGACAGAGAGAGACTCCATCTATAAATCAATCAATCAATCAATCCCAAAGTACAAAATGAATATCCACAAATTCATATTGATATAACTGATTAAGAAAAAAAAAAAGGCTGGGTGCGGTGGCTTATGCCTGTAAACCCAGCATTTTGGGAGACCGAGGCAGGCAGATCACGAGGTCAGGAGTTTGAGACCAGCCTGGCCAACATAGTGAAACCCCATCTCTACTAAAAATACAAAAAATTAGCTGGGCATGGTGGTGCGCACCTGTAAGCCCAGCTACTCGGGAGGCTGAGGCAGGAGAATTACTTGAACCAAGGAGGCAGAGGTTGGAGTGAGCCAAGATCTTGCCATTGCACTCCAGCCTGGGAAACAGAGCAAGATACCATCTCAGGGCGGGGGAAACAAAAAGGGGGGAATCTCCCCTGCAGATTTCCAAATAATTCGTGTATGTACGTTTTCCTCTCACAGTAGTAGAGCATAATTTCCCCTACCTTCCTAACTTGTCTCCACCTAGGTGAAGTTATTATATTATTATCACACAATGTAGCTAGACACTAAGCTAGTTTTACAATGGACAGAAAGTAATTTCATTCCTGCATACCTTGGGCAAATAAAACTTTCTGTGTATCTATGTCAGAAAATTCATAATGGGGAAATGAAGATTAAAAAATTTAAAGTAGGCAGGGTGCAGGGGCTCATGCCTGTAATCCCAGCACTTTGAGACGCCAAGATGAGAGGATCACTTGAGCCCAGGAGTTCAAGACCAGCTGGGGCAACACAGACTAGGCCCTGTTTCCACAAAAAAAATTTAAAAATTAGCTGGGTGTGGTGGCAGCTACTTGGGGGCTGGGGTGGAAGGATGGCTTGAGCCCAAGAGGTGGAGGCTGCAGGGAGCTATGGTCTTACCACTGCACTCCAGCCTGTGTGACAGAGTGAGATCCTGTCCCCCACAAAAATTAATTTATTTGGCCAGGCACAGTGGTTCATACCTGTAATCCCAGCACTTTGGGAGGTTGAGGCAGGCAGATCACAAGGTCAACAGATTGAGACCATCCTGGCCAACATGGTGAAACCCTGTCTCTACTAAAAATACAAAAATTGGCCAGGTGCGGTGGCTCACGCCTGTAATCTCAGCACTTTGGGAGACCGAGGAGGTGAATCACCTGAGGTCAGGAGTTTGAGACCAGCCCGGCCAACACTGTGAAACCCCGTCTCTATTAAAGATACAAAAAATTAGCTGGGCATGGTGGTGGGCACCTGTAATCCCAGCTACTCAGGAGGCTGAGGCAGGAGAATCACTTTAACTCAAGAGGCGGAGGTTGCAGTGAGCCGAGATCCTGCCATTGCACTCCAGCCTGAGCAACAAGAGCAAGACTCTGTCTCAAAAATAAAATAAAATAAAAATACAAAAATTAGCTGGGCATGGTGGCGCGTGCCTGTAGTCCCAACTACTGGGGAGGCTGAGGCAGGAGAATCGCTTGAACCAGGAGGCGGAGGTTGCAGTGAGCCAAGACAGCGCCACTGTACTCTGGCCTAGTGACGGAGTGAAACTCCATCTCAAAAATAATAATAGGCTGGGCATGGTGGCTCACGCCTGTAATCCCAGCACTTTGGGAGGCCGAGGTGGGCGGATCACGAGGTCAGGAGTTCAAGACCATCCTGGCTAACACGGTGAAACCCCGTCTCTACTAAAAATACAAAAAATTAGCCGGGCATGGTGGCGGGCGCCTGTAGTCCCAGCTACTCAGGAGGCTGAGGCAGGAGAATGGCGTGAACCCGGGGGAGGCAGAGCTTGCAGTGAGCCGAGATCGTGCCACTGCACTCCAGCCTGGGCGACAGAGCGAGACTCTGTCTCAAAAAGAAAATAATAATAATAATAATAATAATAATAATTTAATTAAAAAGTAAAAACCGGCTTGGTGCGGTGGCTCATGCCTGTAATCCCAGCAATTTGGGAGGCCAAGGTGGGTGGATCACCTGAGCTCAGGGGTTCGAGACCAGCCTGGCCAACATGGTGAAACCCTGTCTCTGCTAAAAATACAAAAATTAGCCCAGCCTGGTGGTGGGCACCTATAATCCCAGCTATTCAGAGGCTGAGGCAGGATTTTCACTTGAACTAGGGAGGCGGAGGTTTCAGTGAGCCGAGATCGCACTACTGGGCAACAGAGCAAGACTCAGTCTCAAAATAAATAAATAAATAAATAAATGCAGCCAGGCGCGGTGGCTCATGCCTGTAATCCCAGCACTTTGGGAGGCTGAGGCGCGCAGATCACCTGAGGTCAGGAGTTCGAGACCAGCCTGACCAACATGGAGAAACCCTGTCTCTACTAAAAATACAAAATTAGCCAGGCATGGTGATACACGCCTGTAATCCCAGCACTCGGGAAGCTGAGGCAGGAGAATCGCTTGAACCTGTGAGGTGAAGGTTGTGTTGAGCCGAGATCGTGCCATTGCACTCCAGTCTGGGCAACAAGAGCAAAACTCCATCTCCAAAAAAAAAAAGAAAAAGAAAAAGTATATGATATCAGTTGCTGGTTATATCTCATTAGCTTTAATAGTTAGTCACTTCTGATACAGCATATGTTTTGTTCATTCTGGGATAACAGATTTAGGACAGGGAAAAACAAGTGAAATAAAAATGTAATCCCCTCTTTGCCACCTTTGATAAATTTAATCACATACACTGAGAGCTTTGCTTGCACTTAAAAATGACAGTAAATTTATAGGTTAAAATTTTAAAATTGTTCCAACAATGGGAGGCACATTGTTATTATTACCATTGCTATAGTTGAATGAAGGAAGATTAAATATATCTATTATTCTCCAAAAAAAATGCTTATGGAATTGATTAAAAGATTTAATAAATGACATTGCTATATTGTGATTTAGTAAGCAAATAAAGTTATCCTCCTGGAGGTTGGAAAATAAATCTTACTTGGTTTAACTACTCCTATTAACAATGTTTCAACTAATGAATTTCTTTTCCTTTTTTTTTTTTTTGAGACGGAGTTGTTCTGTCACTCAGGGCTGGAGTGCAGTGGCACAACCTCAGCTCACTGCAACCCCCGTCTCCAGAGTTCAAGTGATTCTCCTGCCTCAAGCTGCTGAACAGCTGGGATTACAGACATGTGCCACCATGCCCAGCTAATTTTTGTATTTTTAGTAGAGATACAGTTTCACCATGTTGGTCAGGCTGGTCTTGAACTCCCGACCTCAAGTCATATGCCTGCCTCGGCCTCCCAAAGTGCTGGGATTACAAGTGTGAGCCACTGCGCCTGGCCTCGACTAATGAATATTTTTGATAAAATGAATAAAATTATCAGGCAATAGTGACCAAAGCATGTCATGAATTTAACAATGAGAAGAGTAGTGGCTTTTTCCAACAGATTTCAATTCAGTCATCTGAAGTACTTGTTTGTGAAATACCTTAAACTCCTTTCTCATTTCTAGTCTCTGCTCTTGCTGGCCATCCCCTCTTGCAGAAATACCGTACTCCTACTTGCCAGTAGGACAAATTCCTACTCTGCCACGTAAGAGTTACCTCTTCTTGAGGTTCTATCCCCTCCAGCCAATTAAGTATTCCTCTGACCTTCTATTCATTTTGTACAGTATCTTCATTATCTCAAAGTTATATAAATATTTGTTGAGAGAGGTGGCCTACAAGACGTAAGCCAACATTAGATAAATACTAGAGATAGTTTCTACTTTTCACCACTTCATAAGTTACAATTTTGCTTATTAACCACTTGCCTAATTAAAACCCACATTAAGAGCCAGGAGTGGTGGCTTATGCCTATAATCACAGCAACTCAGGAGACTGCCACCAGAGGATCGCTTGAGGCCAGGAGTTCGAGACCAGCCTGGGCAAATAGTGAGACCCCCCCCCCCCATTTCCAAGAAGAAAAAAAAAATGCTAGGTATGGTGGTGTGCACCTGTAGTCCCAGCTATGTGGGAGGCTGAGGTGGGAAGATCACCTGATGATTGCACCACTGCACTCCAGCCTGTGACAGTGCAAGACGATCTCTTAAAAAATTAATTAAAATATGAAAAAATAAAATCCACATTTTACTTCTCATTGCTATGGCTTCCAATAAAGTCAAGACAAGGCAAGAGCACTAAAGCAATCAAGATGCAAAAATGCACAGCCACGAGTTTGCTTTAAGGAAAATATGCCTTAAGATGTGGTGTCCAGAAATGTGAAAATTGCCAATACCAATTGTCTTTTTATGTGTGTTGAATCATACTGTATTTCAGATGGGTAGTGTTATGGCTGAAAACTGTTAATACTAGTTCAATTTTAACAGTCAGCATTTAAAGGGATGGAATCCAGAAAACTAATTTCCATCTCTGACCTTCTATAAATTTGCTATGATCTCAGGAAAATTGATTTTGCATACTGTATCAACTGTACGGTAAAAATAATAATCCATCAGAAACTTCAAAAGGCTATATTCTGTACCATTTCTATGAAAATAAGTGATGACTGTGCAGAATACAAATATATTCAAAGATAGCTTATAATATGAAATTCAGCTACCAGACAGAAATATGGGGAGGACAGAAGTGTTCACTTCATTTAAGACTGATTCTAGGCCGGGCCCGGTGGCTCACGCCTGTAATCCCAGCACTTTGGGAGGCCAAGGCGGGCAGATCATGAGGTCAGGAGATCGAGACCATCCTGGTTAACACGGTGAAACCCCGTCTCTACTAAAAATACAAAAAATTAGCCAGGTGTGGTGGCGGGTGCCTGTAGTCCCAGCTACTCGGGAGGCTGAGGCAGGAGAATGGCGTGAACCCGGGAGGCGGAGCTTGCAGTGAGCGGAGATCGAGCCTGGGCGACAGAGTGAGACTCCGCCTCAAAAAAAAAAAAAAAAAAAAAACAGACTGATTCTACAGATAAGACTAATGACCTGAGAACACCTCCCTGGCACTTGGAGCAAAAGGCCAGTGATATGGTCTATGTTAAACAGTCCACTTTTCAATAATGTTTAAAATAACCCACAACTAACAACATAATTTCACTGCTTCATGTTTACTATTCTGTATCAGTTTACAAACTAAAATTAAACTGACACACACTTAACAGAATTCCCGACAACACAATAACATTACCATACAAAAGATAATACCAAGGTTGTTATGAGTTATCTAGTTCTCTGTTACTTCCTTAATGCTGTAAACTACAAATCAGAACCCCAAATAGGAGAAATGCTAAATAGAAAGTACATAAAGATGACTCATACAGGCAAACAGGTATGCAAAAACATTCAAAGTTCTCTCATTCTTAAACACTGAAATTCCTTAAAGCAAATACAAATTAAATGGAGTTCTAGAAGGGTAAACAGTGATCCTTAGTATCAGGAAGAAAAAACTATTTTAATAATGGCCACGCGCAGTGGTTCACACCCGTAATCCCAGCACTGTGGGAAGCCAAGGTGGGCGAATAGCTTGAGCCCAAGAGTTCAACACCAGCCCTGGCAACACAGCAAAACCTCGTCTGTACAAAAAAAAAAAAAAAAAAAAAAAAAAAATTAGCCAGGCTTGGTGGCTCTGTCTCAAAAAAAAGAGAAAAGAAAATAAATAAAATTACCAACATGGTGGCTTGTGTCTGTATCCCAGCGACTCAGGAGTCTGAGGTGGGAGGACTGTTTGAGGCCAGGAGTCCAGCTGGGGCAACATGGTGATTCTCCTGCCTCAACTTCCCAAGAAGCTGGGACTCCAGGTGCACACCATCAAGACCAGCTAATTTTTTTATTTTGTAGAGCCAGGATTTCGCCACATCGCCCAGGCTGGTCTCAAACTCCTGGGTTCAAGTGATCCTCCTGTATTGGCATCCAAAAGTGCTGGAATTACAGGTGTGAGACACCATGCCCCCGGCTCATATCACTTCCTAACTAATCTGCCACAATTAGAGAGAATTAGCTGGTTTCCCACTTCCTTCCTTCTTCCTTCTTCAATCTATTCTTTATTTCGCTGTAGTATTAAACTTCATGATGCAAATCTGGATCAAAAACTTTTGACTGGGCCAGGCACAGTGGCTCATACCTGTAATCCTACCACTTTGGGAGGCCGAGGCGGGTGGATCACCAGAGGTCAGGAGTTCGAGACCAGCCTGGCCAGCATGGTGAAACACCATCTCTACTAAAAATACAAAACATTAGCTGGGCGTGGTCGTGGGCACCTGTAATCCCAGCTACTAAGGAGGCTGAGGCAGGAGAATCGCTTGAACCTGAGAGGCAGAGGTTGCAGTGAGCTGAGATCACGCCATTGCATTCCAGCCTGGGTGACAGTGCGAGACTCCATCGCGCCAAAAAAAAAAAAAAAACCTTTTGACTGTTTTAAGGCCTATTCTTTAAAATTCAAGGTTTTTAAATTTTGTTTTGTTTTTGAGATGGAGTTTCGCTCTTGTTGCCCAGGCTGGAGTACAATGGCGCAATCTCGGCTCATTGCAACCTCACTGAACACCTCCTGGGTTCAAGCGATTCTCCTGCCTCAGCCTCCTAAGTTGCTGGGATTACAGGCGCCTGCCACCATGCCCGGCTAATTTTTCTGTTTTTAGTAGAGATGGGGTTTCACCATGTTGCCCAGGCTGATCTTGAACTCCTGACCTCAGGTGACCTGCCTACCTCAGCCTCCCGAAGTGTTGGGATTACAGGCATGAGCCACCGCGTCTGGCCTAATCTTACTTTTTGTGTGCCTCTCCTCACTCTGGTCTATTCCTCTCTCCTTCAGCCAAATGATCGTAATATTCTCTCTTCCCACCTCTATGATCCTTTATTCTTGCTGCCCTTTTTTGTTTGTTTTTGTTTTTTTTTTGAGATGTAGTCTAGCTCTGTCACCCAGGCTGGGGAGCAGTGGCGTGATCTTGGCTCATTGCAACCTCCACCTCCTGGGTTAAAGCAGCTCTTTGCCTCAGCCTCCTGAGTAGCTGGGATTACAGGCAGACACCATCACGCCTGGCTAAGTTTTGTATTTTTAGGGGAGAGGGGTTTCACCATGTTGGCCAGGCTGGTCTTGAACTCCTGACCTCAAGCAATCCACCTGCCTCGGCCTCCCAAAGTGCTGGGATTACAGGCATGAGCCACTGTCCCTAGCTGGGCCAAGGTTTAATTTGGACATATTCATAGAAGAAGGATGTCTGGGCTGGGTGCGGTGGCTCACGCCTATAATCCCAACACTTTGGGAGGCTAAGGCAGGTGAATCACCTAAGGTCAGGAGTTCAAGACCAGCCTGGCAAACATGGTGAAACCCCGTCTCTACTAAAAAATACAAAAAATAGCTGGGTGTGGTGGCAAACGCCCGTAATTCTAGCTACTTGGGAGGCTGAGGCAGGAGAATCACTTGAACCCGGGAGGTGGAGGTTGTGGTAAGCAGAGATCATGCCATTGCACTCTAGCCTGGGCAATAAGAGCGAAACTCTGTCTCAAAAATAATAATATAAACATTTCTGCAATTGGACTGTCTTTCCAAACACAAGTGCACATATTTTATCTAAAATAGTTTCAGCTAAGAGTGCACAGCAAAAACAACTGTCCAAAGATAAAAGAACAACCAAATCATTAGGTACTCAGAGGAAATCTCATTCAATATCTCCTAAGGTTCCAATGCTTCTCAAATTTTAATGTGAATCTAGTTTATAGATTCAGATTCAGTAAGCCTCGGGTGGAACTTGACACTGTATTCTCACCTTGATGATGCCAGCACTGCCAGTTTGGGGACCTTGAGTATCAAGGTCTTCAGTAACCATTAAAATGTAGCTGGTATCAACACTAGATGAGAAAATGGAATCAACAGGTATTGAGAACATGTGCCAGGTGCCTTATCTCATTTAATCTTTACGTCAACTCTGTGAGGAACATATTATCAATTCTAAGATGAGGATAAGATGAGGAAAATTGAGGCTGAGATAAATTAACTTGCCCATGATTACACAGAACCAGATTTGAACCCAATCATAGGACTCCATTTATTCTTTTTAAGAGATACTATAAATTGTCATTGAAATTAACTTCAAACCATCCTCAAAAGAATAATAGGCCAGGCCAGGCACAGTGGCTCACGCCTGTAATCCTAGCACTTTGGGAGGCCAAGGTGGGCGGATCACCTGAGGTCAGGAGTTCAAGACCAGCCTGCCCAACATGGTGAAACCCCCGCCTCTACAAAAAATACAAAAATTAGCTGGGCACGGCGACAGGCACCTGTAATTTCAGCTACTCGGGAGGCTGAGGCAGAAGAATTGCTTGAACCCAGGAGGCAGAGGTTGCAGTGAGTGGAGATCGCGCCACTGTACTCCAGCCTGGGAGAAAGAGCGAGACTCCGTCTCAAAAAAAAAAAAAAAAAAAAAAAAAAAAAAAAAGAATAATAGGCCAAACACAGTGGCTCACGCCTACACTTTGGGAGGCCAAGGAGGGAGGATTGGCCGGGCGCGGTGGCTCACACCTGTAATCCCAGCACTTTGGGAGGCCGAGGCAGGTGGATCATGAGGTCAGGAGATCAAGACCATCCTGGCTAACACAGTGAAACCCCGTCTCCACTAAAAATACAAAAAATTAGCCAGGTGTGGTGGCAGGCGCCTGTAGTCCCAGCTACTCGGGAGGCTGAGGCAGGAGAATGGTGTGAACCTGGGAGGCAGAGCTTGCAGTGAGCTGAGATCATGCTCCACTGCACTCCAGCCTGGACAACAGAGCGAGACTCCATCTCAAAAAAAAAGAGGGAGGATCGCTTGAGCACTGAAGTTGAGGCTGCAGTGAGCCTCTGCACTGTAGCCTGAGGAACAGAGTATGGCCCTATCTCCAAAAAAAAAAAAAAAAAAAAAAGAATAACAATGTTGCATGACATCTTGTCTTGGATACAGACTTTCACTTTCCTCTATTACCTGTTTCTTCAAAACGTCCTACCTTTTATTGTTATCCCCCTGCTTTGATGCTGGGCATTGTCATCCACACTTGAACCAAAATAGTAGACACCTACCTAACTGTTCTGACTCTAGCCTTTTGCCTCATCAATCTAGAGATTATTCTGCAGTCTCCAGGAATTTACTAAATGTGAGCAGACCAGTAGCATGGTAAAAACAGTGTTTCAAGAGGAATTCAAAGTACTTTACAATCCCACAATGCTCCTATCAAATCTCTCGGGTGGCATATAAACCTAGCTTCCCCACTGATAAACAAAAATATTCTGCAAAGAACATAATACATTTTAACAAGATGCTGTGATGGAATGGAACATTTTATTTCCATTTGTCTTTTTTTTTTTTTTTTTTTTTTTTGAGACGGTGTTTCGCCCTTTTCCCCAGGCTGGAGTGCAGTGGCACAATCGCGGCTCACTGCAACCTCCGCCTCCCAAATTCAAGCAATTCTCCTGCCTCAGCCTCCTGAGTAGCTGGGATTACAGGTGCACATCATCACCCCCGGCTAATTTCTGTATTTTTAGTAGAGATGGGGTTTCACCATGTTGGCCAGGTGGTCTCAAATTCCCAACCTCAAGCGATCCACCCATCTCAGCCTACCAAAGTGCTGGGATTACAGGCGTAAGCCACCCTGCCCAGCGGTCATTTATCTTTTTTCTAGTGGTGGTCAGGGCAAAGGAATGCCTTCCTGCTTCTGCCTCCTACTCACTTCTCTAGAGCAGAGGAGAGGACCTCCTTCCATCACAAGTCATTTCCTACTCCATTCCACATTAATCATTTCCAGAAGTCCATCTATACCATTACTTATCGACACAATGTCACACTATTTCATATTGTTATAGTTTTTTTGTTTTTGTTTTTTTGAGATGAAGTCTCACTGTGTTGCCAGGCTGGAATGCAGTGGCATGTTCTTGGCTCACTGCAACCTCCGCCACCTGGGTTCAAGTGATTCTCCTGCCTCAGCCTCCCGAGTAGCTGGGACTACAGGTGCGTGCCACCACGCCCAGCTAATTTTTGTATTTTCAGTAGAGACAGAGTTTCACCATGTTGGCCAGGATGGTCTTGATGTCTTGACCTCATGATCAGCCCGCCTCAGCCATCCAAAGTGCTGGGATTACAGGCATGAGCCACCACACCCAGCCATAGTTATGTTCTTATGTAAATTTTCTCAATAACCAGATTACACATTTTTGGTTAATACTTGCACAGCTGAACAGATTATGAATTTATGAAAGGTAGATAATGTCTTGATTACATCTTATCCCCAGGAAACCTAAAGGACAGTGGTGTATATGCACATGAAGTAAATCTTTGCTTCACCTGATCATAAAAATCACCTGGCCAAGCACGGTGGCTCACACCTGTAGTCCCAGCTACTTGTGAGTCTGAGGTAGAGGATCACTTAGCCTGGGAAATCCAGGCTGCAGTGAGCCATGATTGTACCACTGCGCTCCAGCCTGGGTGATAAAGCAAGACCCTGTCTCAAGAAAAAATTTAAAAAGTAAATTACCATCCTGGCTAACACAGTGAAACCCTGTCTCTACTAAAAATACAAAAAATTAGCCAGGCGTGGTGGCAGGCGCCTATAGTCCCAGCTCTTGGGAGGCTGAGGCAGAAGAATGGCGTGAACCCGGGATGCGGAGCTTGCAATGAGCCGTGATCGTGCCACTGCACTCCAGTCTGGGCGACAGAGCAAGACTCCAGTCTCAAAAAAAAAAAAGTAAATTAAAAAAATTAAAAATCACCTAGCAGGTAGATTTCCTGGAGACTGTTTCAGAAAAATAGGCATGAAAGCAGAAATCTTAATTCTATCAACAAGCACCACAGATCCAAATCCAGAAAACCTTTGGTAGTACTTTTTTTTTTTGAGACGGAGTTTCACTCTTGTTGCCTAGGCTAGAGTGAAATAGTGCCATCTCGGCTCACTGCAGCCTCCGCCTCTCCCAGGTTCATGCAATTCTCCTGCCTCAGCCTCCCGAGTAGCTGGAATTAAAGGCGCCCACCCCGCCCAGCTAATTTTTTGTATTTTTAGTAGAGACGGGGTTTCACCATGTTGGCCAGGCTGGTCTCAAACTCCTGACCTCAAGTGATCCACCCACCTTGGCCTCCCAAAGTGCTGGGATTACAGGCGTGAGCCACTGCGCCCGGCCAACCCTCTACTGAGGGTTAGGGTTTTGCCATGCCAAGGTTAAGTTACTTCTAAAACTTAACCTTATGTTCTCATTTATAATTTTCTTACAATGCTTTATACACTTTACTGAGCAATAGGCTTAAAATACGGTTAATAAAACTTGCAGAAAAATACAAAATAGTATAAGCAGGAGTAGATATTATAGAACAACTGAACCCTTATTTCACAAATGAGGAAAGTGAGGTCAGAAAACCTAAGTGGCTTTAAGGTCATACAGCCAATGAGTAGCAAAAATAGAAACTGTATCTTTTGTCTTTCAGCCCAGCACTTCTTCTATTGTACCATACCAAAATTTATTTATAAAAAATCAGCAGTAAAGCATTATTTACTAATGTCCATCAAAAACAGACCAGTTGAACAAACTCTGGTGCATCCTCACTGTGTAGGTGTGGAAATGAATAAGGACTACCTCTGTTCCAATATGGAATGATCTCCAAAATATACTAGGTGAAAAGACCAAGAGGCTGAGCAGCGTATATAGTAGGAAAACCTTTTGCATAAGAGAAAAAAAGAATATATGCAGATATTTGCTTATTATTGCAAAATCCAACATTTAAAGGATAAACCAAAACCAAATAAATATTAGAATGGTTCAAGCACCAACCATGAGACAACCCTTGGCAATTCCTCCTCAAAGTCCCAGCTATAAAAGTGGTAGTAGGCTGGAAGCCGTGGCTCATGCCTGTAATCCCAACACTTTGGGAGGCCGAGGCGGGCAGATCATGAGGTCAGGAGTTCGAGACCAGCCTGACCAACATGGTAAAACACCGTCTCTACTGAAAATGCAAAAATTATTTGGGAGTGGTGGTGCACGCCTGTAATCCCAGCTACTCAGGAGGCTGAGGCAGGAGAATCGCTTGAACCTGGGAGGTGGGGAGGCAGAGGTTGCAGTGAGCCAAGATTGCACCCCTGCACTCCAGCCTGGGCAACCAAGTGAGACTGCGTCTTTTAAAAAAAAAAAAAAAAAAAAAAAAAGTGGCAGTAAGTTTGAGTGGTGGTCCCTACTATTTGATATTCTTAAAAGTTCTGGGCCGGGTGCGGTGGCTCATGCCTGTAATCCCAGCGCTTTGGTAGGCCAAGGCGGGCGGATCACCTGAGGTCAGGAGTTCGAGACCAACCTGACCAACATGGAGAAAACCCCGTCTCTACTAAAAATACAAAATTAGCCAGGCATAGTGGCGTCTGCCTGTAATCCCAGCTACTCAGGAGGCTGAGGAAGGAGAATCGCTTGAACCTGGGAGGCGGAGGTCGCGATGAGCCAAGATCGCGTCATTGTACTCAAGCCTGGGCAACAAGAGAGAAATTCCGTCTCCAAAAAAAAAAAAAAAAGTTCTGGGCCAGGCGCAGTGGCTCATGTCTGTAATCCCAGCACTTTGGGAGTCTGAGGTGGGTGGATCACCTGAGCCCAGGGGTTCAGGACCACCCTGGACAACATGGCAAAACCCTAACTCTACAGGCCAGGTGCAGTGGCTCACGCCTGTAATCCCAGCACTTTGGGAGGCCAAGACGGGCGGATCACTTGAAGCTGGGAGTTCAAGACCAGCTTGACCAACATGGAGAAACCCCGTCTCTACTAAAAATACAAAATTAGCCGGGTGTGGTGGCACATGCCTGTAATCCCAGCTACTCAGGAGGCTGAGGCAGGAGAATTGCTTGAACCTGGGAGGCGGAGGTTGCGGTGAGCCGAGATCACGCCATTGCACTCCAGCCTGGGCAAGAAGAGCGAAACTCTGTCTCAAAAAAAAAAAAAAAAAAAAACCCTAACTCTACAGAAACAATGGACACGGTGGCACCTGCTTGTAGTCTCTGCTACTAGGGAGGCTGGGGTAGGAGGGTCACCTGAGCCTGGGGAGGTCAATGCTGGAGTAAACCGTGATCGCCCACTGCACTCCAGTCTGGGAGGCAGATTGAGATCCTGTCTCAAAAAAAAAAAAAAAAAGTTATAGTAATACCATCTCCTCCCTTTTGTTCCCCTGACCCTTAATAGTTTCACCCTACAGTAATTAATTTCTAAGTTACCTACTGCTATGGTTTAGATAAGGTTTGTCGCCACCAAAACTCATGTGGAAATTTGATCCCCAATGTGGTGGTGTTAGGAGGTGGGGCCTACTGGGTGGTGTTTAGGTAATGGGGGCAGATCTCTCATGAGTGACTTGGTGCTGTTCTCCTGGTAGTGAGTGAGTTCTGGCTCTCCGAAACTAGATTAGTTCCTGGGAGAGTAGGTTGTTATAAATCAGGCCATCCCCAACGTTTCCCCTATTCACATGTCAACTTCCCCTTTGACCTTTCCTGCCACACTGTGATACAGCTGGAAAGCCCTGCCAGAAGCCAGGGCCATGGACTTGAACTTCCTAGCCTGTAGAACCATGAGCTAAATAAACCTCTTTTCTTTATATAATAAATTACTTAATCTCAGGTATTCTTTACAGAAACACAAAATGGACTAAGACACCTACTCTACCATCTTTTGCCCTTCTGGTGTTATAACACATATGTAACCAATTCCCTATATTAAATTTCCTCTTTGAAATATTTAGTATATTTTCCAGTTTTTGGCTGGATCCTGATGGATAAAAAATTCTAAGGATTTAGAAGAACTGCAGGCTAGGCGCAGTGGCTCACGCCTGCAATGCCAACACTTTAGGTCAAGGCAGGTGGAGGATTGCTTGAAGACACGAATTCCAGACCAGCGTGGGCAACATGGCAAAACTCCATCTCTACAAAAAACACAAAAAAATTAGCCTGGCATGGTGGCATGTGACTGTAGTCCCAGCTACTCAGGAGGCTGAGATGGGACAGTAACTTGAGCCTGGGAGGGAGAGGTTGTAGTAAGCAGAGATTGCACCACTGCACTCCAGCCCAGGTGACAGAGCCAGACCCTGTGTCTAAAAAAATAAAAATCAAAAAAATTCCCAGCACTTTGGGAGGCCGAGGCAGGTACATCACGAGGTCAGGAGTTCAAGACCAGCCTCGCCAAGATGGTGAAACCCCATCTCTACTAAAAATACAAAAAATTAGCCAGGCGTGGTGGTGGGTGCCTATAATCCCAGCTACTTGGGAGGCTGAGGCAGGAGAATCGCTTGAACCCAGGAGGTGGAGGTTGCAGTGAGCCCAGATCGTGCCATTGTACTTCAGCCTGGGTGACAGAGACTACGTCTCAAAAAAAAATATTGGCCAGGTGTAGTGGTGCCCACCTGTAGTTCTAGCTACTCGGGAGGCTGAGGCAGGAGGATCGCTTGAGCCAGGAGATTGGGGCTGCATTGAGCCATAATCACACCACACTTTAGCATGGCAAAAAAAAAAAAAACAACAACAAAAAAAGAAAACTGCAAAGGGATCTTTTTTTTATTTTTTTGAAACAGAGTTTCACTCATGTTGCCAAGGCTGGAGTGCAATGGCGCAATCTTGGCTCACCGCAACCTCCACCTCCCAGGTTTAAGCGATTCTCCTGCCTCAGCCTCCCAAGTAGCTGGAATTACAGGCATGTGCCACCACACCCAGCTAATTTTGTATTTTTAGTAGAGATGGGGTTTCCCCATTGTTGGTCAGGCTGGTCTCGAACTCCTGACCTCAAGTGATCCACCCGTCTCAGCCTCCCAAAGTGCTGGGATTACTTTAAGTTAGCTTCAGGTATTTTATTAGTAGTAATATGGAATATATATAATTTTTTTTTTTTTTTTTGAGACAGAGACTCTACCGCCCAGGCTGGAGTACAGTGGCTTGATCTCAGCTCACTGCAACCTCGGCCTCCCAGGTACAAGTGATTCTCCTACCACAGCTTCCCAAGTAGCTGAGATTACAGGCACATACCACCACACCCAGCTAACTTTTTTTTTTTTTTTTTTTTGTATTTTTTAGTAGAGACGGGGTTTCCCCATGTTGGCCAGGCTGGTGTCAAACTCCCAACCTCAGGTGATCTGCCCACCTCAGCCTCCCAAAGTGCTGGGATTACAGGCGTGAGCCACAGCACCCATCCAGTTGTTACATTTTTAAACCTTCTTATACATACATAGGATAAAGCAAATAAATGTTAATATTATTAAAACCAAATATTTCAGTATGAGACAAATATAAAATCAAAAGAAAAAATCCCATAAATGTGTTAAATTCAGTTGTAAATATCAATATAAAGTTCTGATTTCTAATAATATTTTCTGGGCCGGGCGTGGTGGCTCACACCTGTTATCCCAACACTTTGGGAGGCCAAGGTGAGTGGATCATCTGAGGTCAGGAGTTTGAGACCAGCCTGGCCAACCTGGTGAAACCCCATCTCTACTAAAAATACAAATATTAGCTGGGTGTGGTGGTGGGCACCTGTAATCCTAGCTACTCCGGAGGCTGAGGCAGGAGAATCACTTGAACCTGGGAGGCGGAGGTTATAGTGACCCAAGATTATGCCATTGTACTCCAGCCTGAGAGACAGAGTGAGACTCCGTCTCAAAAAAACGACAACAACAAAAAAACATATATATATATTTTCTGAGCCAGGCGCGGCAGCTCACGCCTGTAATCCCAGCACTTTGGGAGACCAAGGCAGGCGGATCACGAGGCCAGGAGTTCGAGACCAGCCTGGCCAACATGGTGATACCCCATCTCTACTAAAAATACAAAAAATTAGCTGGGCGTGGTGGAGGACACCTGTAATCCCAGCTATTTGGGAGGCTGAGGCAGGAGAATTGCTTGAACCCAGGAGGCGGAGGTTGCAGTGAGCTGAGATCCTGCCACTGAACTCCAGCCTGGGTGATGGAGCGAGACTCTGTCTTAAAAATAAAATAGAATAAAATAAAATAAAATTTTCTAGTTGTGACTACTGAAAGGACCTAGAAACAATGAAGACCCTGTAGCAATGAGCATCCCTAGCACACAGATCCTGGTTTCTACTGGCATTCCCTGTAAAAGACACTGAGTCGCCAGGCGCGGTGGCTCACGCCTGTAATCCCAGCACTTTGGGAGGCCGAGGCAGGCGGATCACAAGGTCAGGAGATCGAGACCATCCTGGCTAACAAGGTGAAACCCTGTCTCTACTAAAAATATAAAAATTAGCTGGGCATGGTGGCGGGCGCCTGTAGTCCCAGCTACTCGGGAGGCTGAGGCAGGAGAATGGCATGAACCGGGGAGGCAGAGCTTGCAGTGAGCCGAGATCAAGCCACTGCACTCCCGCCTGGGCGACAGAGCGAGACTCCGTCTCAAAAAAAAAAAAAAAAAAGACACCAGGTCTTCTTAGAAAAACGACTAATTTCACTTCAATGACAGGTAGATACAAGGTGAATCCGGGATAGCTTGTTGTGACAAAAAATAAGGAAGCACTCCAAGACCAAAGGTGACATATCAGAAGGACACACTACCAACTTAAGGAGGCTTATGCTGGCCAAATTTCAGGGTCAGAACGACTAATGGTGAGAACGAAGTGTAAAATAATGAATAAATTAAAATCCATGTACAATATAGTGATACAGAAAGTAGCAAGGAAACTTATTTGCTACCACTGAGGTGACCACTTCACCAATTCTTTACGAAGAAATTTATAATGAAAAGCAAAAAAGTAAACACCCTACCTTATTAGAGATCAATAAAGGAAACATTTGAAAGTGCGTTTACCCCCATACTAGTGAATTCCTTAAAACAACTGAAAGTATCCTAAATAGAAAATATTCTAAGGGAACATTACCAGCTAAAACCAAAACACGCTTGCCTTTATAGAAATTAAATGAACTACTTCAAATCTATTTATTACTAGAAAAGAAGAGAGCGAGGCGTAGTGGCTCACACCTGTAATCACAGCACTTTGGGAGTCCGAGGCGGGCGGATCATGAGGTCAGGAGATCGAGACCATCCTGGCTAACACAGTGAAACCCCGTCTCCACCAAAAATACAAAAAATTAGCTGGGCGTGGTGGTGGGCGCATGTAGTCCCAGCTACTGAGGAGGCTGAGGCAGGAGAATGGTGTGAACCCGGGAAGCAGAGCTTGCAGTGAGCCGAGATTGCGCCACTGCACTCCAGCCTGGGCGACAGAGCTAGACTCCGTCTCGGGGAAAAAAAAAAAAAAACAAGAGAAAATAAGTTACTAAGCTAAATTACTGTACTGAACAGTACATTTTTTTTTTTTTTTTTCTGAGACAGAGTCTCACTCTGTCGCCCAGGCTGGAGGGCAGTGGAGGGACATCAACTCACTGCAACCTCTGCCTCCTGGGTTCAAGTGATTCTCCTGGCTCAGCCTCCTAGGTAACTGGGATTACAGGCACACACTAATTTTTGTATTTTTAGTAGTAGAGATGGGGTTTCACCATGTTGGCCAAGCTGGTCTTGAACTCCTGACCTCAAGTGATCCACCCACCTCAGCCTCCCACAGTGCTGGGATTATAGGCATGAGCCACCGCACCCGGCCTGTCAGAATAGTACAATTTTAAAAGTGACTATTGCCATATATAATAACTATACATTTATCAGATTTATATAGTGTACATATATAAATACACTTATCTGTGTGTGTGTGTGCGCATCAAAGCATCACAAGATACATCCACCTTTGAAGCAAAACACTGGAAAAAATTAAAAACTCAGAAAAAAACTTTACAGGCCAGCACAGTAGCTCATGCCTGTAATCCTAGCACTTTGGGAGGCTGAGGCAGGTGGATCACTTGAAGACAGGAGTTCGAGAGTAGCCTGGCCAACATGGTGAAACCCCGTGTCTACTAAAAATACAAAATTAGCCAGGCATGGTGGTGTGCACCTGTAATACCAGTTACTCAGGAGGCTGAGGCAGGAGAATCACTTGAACCCAGAAGCAAAGGTTGCAGTGAGCCAAGATGGCGCCACTGCCCTCCAGCCTAGGCAACAGAGAGAGACTTCCTCTCAAAACAAACAAACAAACAAACAAACAAACAACTTTACAAATTAAAAAGTAGAAATTTCAGGCAGGGCACTGTGGCTCACGCCTGTAATCCCAGCACTTTGGGAGGCCAAGGCCAGCGGATCACCTGAGATCAGGAGCTCCAGACCAGCTTGGCCAACATGTTGAAACCCCATCTTTACTAAAAATACAAAAATTAGGCAGGCACAGTGGCTCACGCCTGTAATCCCCACACTTTGGGAGGCCGAGGCGGGCAGATCACGAGGTCTGGAAATCGAGACAATCCTGGCTAACACAGTGAAACCCTGTCTTTACTAAAAATACAAAAAATTAGCCAGCTGTGGTAGTGGGCGCCTGTAGTCTCAGCTACTCAGGAGGCTGAGGCAGGAGAATGGCGTGAACCTGGGAGGTGGAGCTTGCAGTGAGCCGAGATCGCGCCACTGCACTCTATCTAGCCTGGCGACAGACCCGAGACTCCGTCTCAAAAAAAAAAAAAAAAAGAAAAAAAGAAAAGAAAGACTTGCCTATAAGTCATAAGCTATATTATAAGCTTAATGCTGGACAATTTTTAAATGACTTGTCTGTAAGTCATATCCTTGTACATGTAGCAAGCTGTCACATTATAGAAAACTGAACACATCACCTTCACTTTTCCATCAGCCGCAACTTTAGATCACTCATTTTCAGTTAAGATACAGATGGTATATGTTCAATAATACAGTGCCACATAAAAATTTCACTCAATCCAAAAATTCGAAGTTTTTGCAATATAGGCAACAACACGCTAAATTAATTGTACAACAACTACAGCACTAAGGTAAATAACTTGTACTGGGATACAGAAGTTCAATATCAAAGCTACTAGCAACACCAATCCACATAGATTCTATAAAAGTTTAGTGTAATTCGTCGGGAGCGGTGGCTGAAGCCTGTAATCCCAGCACTTTGGGAGGCAAAGGTGGGCGGATCACATGGTCAGGAGTTCGAGACCAGCCTGGCCAATATGGTGAAATCCCACCTCTACTAAAAAAAAACTACAAAAATTAGCCGGGCGTGGGGCGGGTGCCTGTACTCCCAGCTACTCGGGAGGCTGAGGCAGGAGAATCGCTGGAACCCGGGAGGTAGAGGTTACAGTGAGCAGAGATTGCGCCACTGCACTCCAGCCTAGGCGATAGAGCAAGACTTGGTCTCAAAAAAATAAAAAAGAAAAAGAAAGTTTAGTGTAATTCTCACTTAAGCGGTCAGCTTCAATCAAAAAGGAATTAAGATCTTCTCATTTTATTTATTGTTGGGAAAAAGGAGACAGTACTAATAACCACCTATAATCAACATTGTAAGGAATAACAATTAAATATTTACTGTATTAATTGTCATCAAATTAAAAACACAGTGCCTCTTGTACTAGTTTACAAAACAAAAACAAAAAAGCATCATCACTCTAAAGTTGTCACCACTTAGTAATCTGAGATATTTTAATTGCAGCTGCAATGTTTGTGTTTGTTGCCTGTGTATATGACTCATATAGAAAGGTTTTCCCAAGACTGCTGGATTTTTGAGAATGCAGAAGCCATAACTGGGGCATACTGTGTGGGAACTGTCATGACAGTGAATGAATAAAAGGGGAAAAGAACCCATGACAGAATTTTTTTTCAAGTTTTTATAAAAAGCAAGTCACTCACTAAAGGCAGACTCTGCAGAATAATAGGAAAGGTTGGGGAAAAGCCATCCCTGCTCCAAGAAGCCTTCCTTGACTCTCTTGGTTGGATTCAGTGCACTTCTTAACACTACATAGCACTTAACGGGTTTCCTTGTCTGGCTCCCCAGCCATACTATATGCAACTTCAGACCAAAAGCTGTCTTAAATTAGTACCTACTTCCCAAAACACCCGCCATATGGAGGGCCCTCAGTAGGTGGTTCATAAATAGGAATAATCAATTTTACATTTACCTTTTATTTTACATTTTACAAAGCACTTTCACGAACACTATCTTTTCTGATCCACATTAACAATCGTGGGAAGGGCTTTATTTAATCAAATGGCTTCTGGTTTTATAAAGAGTTAATTCAGGGCCGGGCGCAGTGGCTCAAGCCTGTAATCCCAGCACTTTGGGAGGCCAAGGCAGGTGGATCGCCTGCGGTCAGGAGTTCAAGACCAGCCTGGCCAACATAGTGAAACCTTGTCTCTACTAAAAATACAAAAAATTAGCTGGGCATGATGGCAGGCACCTGCAATCCCAGTTACTCAGGAAGCTGAGGCAGGAGAATCGCCTGAACCGGAGAGGTGGAGGTTGCAGTGAGCCGAGATCATTGCACTCCAGCCTGGGAAACAAGAGCAAAACTATGTCTCAAAAAACAAACAAAAAGAGTTAATTCATTGACTAAAACAATTCTGAAATCACAAAGATAATTACGTATTTGTTCATCTTTGAGATAGCTTCTCCCTGGGACCTCAGTGTTCTCATAAAACTCAGACGTTTTGTTAGCATTTTCTTTGCTTGCTCTCCATAATAGGTAGGACTCACCCTGCTCTGAATCTTACTCAGGGTTTAAACCACATAAAGCTGTTATTAAAGACCCCTCTAGAAATCAGACAAGAAGAAGCATCCTAAGCTATTTTTTTTCTGATCCTGTTCTTTTTGTAACTAAGGTAAGGAATTGCAAAGGTCAAAATCTGGAGAGCAAATGATGTCATGGATGTCATGAAGTTGCATCAATACCTGATGATGATTTAGCATAACAGTGCAACATATTATGCCAAGAAGCATAATGATGAGCCACCAGGATGTTTTACTGCATTAATTTCATGACTCTTTATTAGCAAATTGATATGCAAAGTAGCTCTCCAATTTTCTACCACAGAGAAGCTGCTGGTTCAGATTTACATCTTTAGCAAAGACACTAAGAAAATCGACAAATTTCTATGGAAAAGTCTTTGATTTAAAAATAGAAAAGGAGGCTGGGCACGGTGGCTCAAGCCTGGGGTGGGGCAGGGTATCGCTTGAGACCAGGAGTTTGAGATCAGCCTGGGCAACATGGTGAAACCCCGTCTCTACTAAAATTACAAAAAAAAAAAAAAAAAAAAAAAAATTAGCGGGCGTGGTGGCGCACACCTGTAATCCCAGCTACTCAGGAAGCTGAGGCAGGAGAATCGCTTAAACCCAGGGGATGGAGATTGCAGAGAGCCGAGACTGTGCTACTGCACTCCAGCCTGGATGACAGAGTGAGAAACTGCAAAAAAAAAAAAAAAAGAAAGAAAGAAAGAAAGAAAGAAAGAAAGAAAGAAAGAAAGAAAATGGTCAAATAATAACCTAAACAGTTGTCATTTTAACAATGAAAAGCTTTTTAAGATACGCAACATGCCTATGGATCAATGTAGATTGAATCATCTATTTATACTGGCTTGTCAAAAGCAAACAGTTACTGGGTATAAAATGACAACATACAATAGAAAAGACACCCAATCAGATTACACACGTGAATACACTCAAAGTTAGCAATTTAACACAGCATCACTAATGGCCATAAGATATACAGACTTAATTCTAAATATTCAATTCTAAATGATGGTACTTCCCCCAAATTTTCCTTGCCTCTTTAAATCCATGATGTCATCATTCTTAAGCAGAAGTAAAGCCAATTTGTTACAAAAGATATTTTGGTGTGTCCAAGCAAAAGCAATCGCCTCAACAATTCTGCATAGCACAAGTTCAGTGAAGCCATCATTCCTCAAGAAAGAGACCACAAGGCTTCAAACCGACTTCCCTACATGACAGAAACACAATCGAAGTCTCCCAATTAGCATTTAAACAGCAATAAAAGTTGTTCTCAAAAAGGAACAACATAGTTTCAACGTCGGGGCCAGCAACTGCCAGCAAGTAAAACTGGTAATGTGTCAGAATCTTCATCTAGATCGATCAGAATCCCACCACAGAAAAATCCAGACTCTGGCAATTAAGAAATGAGGCTTTTATTTTCCTAACAGAAATCGGGAGATTTAACAGACAAAGCAATTGGTTATTCTGAATCTTAACAAACCGAAGGTTTCAAACGAACTCAGCGCTGAAGTTACTCTGCAGCGACCATCAAGATCTCACAATCGTTTTCTCTTCGCTTACAAATTCGTTCCCACCCTCCACCGTTCCCTTTGCACACACAATTCTCGCCAAGAGAAGCCTTCCACAGTCACAGCATGGATTGCTGTCTCAAGCAAGGAGATCCGCAGTTCCCATTTCTCTAAGGGAACACTCAACAAGCTAGGGGATAGGAAAGGCCTTTTGTGTTTTATTTAACGTAAACCAATTCCAAAATTATCCCTTTGCAGCTGCAGGTTCAGAGATGCTAGCCCCCAGCCGCAGCCCCAATTTTGATGGGCACCCGACCCCCGACTCCTCTCTCGCAAAGGAGTGAAATGTTCGGAGGAGCGATGAAAGATTACCTGACACCCTAAAGCCATCCTTGCCCGGGCCACACACCCCTTCACTGCCCGGGTGAGGGGACGAGAACCACCCTGCTGAGGAGAGGGGGTGGGTTCGCTCCCAACCCAAGGGCTGGCTGGAAAGGAGCTGTCCTCCTCCTCGCCTCACTCGAGGACGGCGATAGCAAGTCACCCTGCCCAACCAGGACCGACCCCCGCGTGGGATACGGGGCCTGCGTCAGACCCCGGGCGCCCGCTGCCCCTTGCCAGTCCCGGGCATAAAGGGCAGAAGGCGCCGGCTCCCCTCTGCGGCCCGGGGAGGAGGAGAGGCCTCACCTGGCCCAGCCCGCTCCACGCTCTCGGGTTCGCTCCGCTGGCGACGGTAATGAGGGAGCCAGGGACAGGGCCAGAGCAGAGGCGCTCTGCCTCAGGCCGCGACAGCCGTGCTCGGGGCTCCTCACAGCTGGCGGGACCCCGAGCCGCCCGGAGCCGCCATCTTCCTCCACTCAAACGCCGCCGCCGCCGCAGCTGCTGCTGCTCAGGCCGGGAGAAGACAGCGCAGAGCGCGCATGCGCCGGGGCGGGCGCGGCGGACGCGCGCGCACTCACGTCAGCGCGGCGGGATGGCGAGGGGCGGCCAGGGGGCGGCGCAGTGTTGAGAAAGGCCGTGGTCACAGGCCGAGGTTCTGTGGAGGGTGGAATGCGCTCGGGGGAGTTAGGCCTCCGCACCCGCCTTCGCCGCGTCTCTAGCGTCGACCTGATAGCCGCACCCACCCTCCGCTGCACTGTCTGGGGCAACTGGGTGGTTTTCCCGGTGGTTTGAGACTAACATTTAGCCAGGAATTAACTCACTTCTACCCCGAGGGCCCGATGAGCAGAGAGGGCTGTGGCGGATGTGAGTGCTCTTGGATATCGCCAAGGGGAGGGAAACTGTGCTTGAGGTGTGCAGGAGAAGTCTTCCCTTAACCGTAGCCTCGTAGCAACCACTGTGAGTTCTTACTAGCTCCACTTTTCAGATGAGGAAACTGAGGCACAGAAAACGATCACTTATTTGCCCGGAGTCACACACCTATCAGTGGAGGTGGGGCGGCGCGGGAAAGAGGATTTAAACTCAGGCTTGTCTGGTTCCCAAGCTCCTTTACTTCCTACTAGCTAGGTTATAGGATCCAGCAAAGTCCCCCTTCTCAAGGGAGCAACCTGGTGTGTAGGTGAGAACCTTCATGAGCCCAGCCCTACAGCATGTGGTCTAAGGAAATGCCAGATACAGAGTCAAAGGCTTCAGTCTAAACTCTGTAAGCCAAAAAAACAAAACAAAACAAAACAAAAAACTAAGCCCCCACCCCCCCCCCAACACCAAACCATCTGAACGGACTTCCTCCTAGGCCAGGGCAGTCTAAAATGTAACCAACCTGAGAGACTGGTTCAGGCCATGACGGGAAGCAGGACATGAGACATGCCTCATTACATCCTTCAGCATTGACATCAACACAACAGACCTTAAGACTGGTAAGAAACATTTACAATCTGTTCTCTCTGGAGCCCACCTGCCACTTGGAGGCTTCACGTGCGTGATAAAACTTTGGTGTCCACAATCCCTTATCATAACCCAGACATTCATTTCTATTGATAATAACTTTTTTTTTTTTGAGACAGGGTCTAACTCTGTTGCCCAGGCTGGAGTCCAGTGATGAGTTCTTGGTTCGCTGCAACCTCTGTCTTTCAGGCTCAAGCTATCCTCCTACCTTAGCCTCCTGAGTAACTGGGACTACAGGCGGGCACCACCATGCCTGGCTAATTTTTCCATTTTTTTTGTAGACACAGGGTTTCGCCATGTTGTCCACTCTCATCTCAAACTCCTGAGCTCAAGTAATCCACTTGCCTCGGCCTCCCAAAATGCTTGGATTACAGGCGTGTGCCACCGCACCAGGCCTATTGATAATAACTATTTCAACTCATTGCCAATCAGAAAATGTTTAAATCTGCCTATAATGTGGAAGCCCCCACTTCAAGTTTCCGGTCTTTCTGCACCGAACCAATGTAGTTTTTATTTATTTATTTACTTATTTTTATTTATTTGTTTATTTTTTTGAGACTGAGTCTTGCTCTGTCGCCCAGACTAGAGTGCAGTGGCACCATCTCCGCTCACTGCAACTTCCGCCTCCTGGGTTCAACCGATTCTCCTGCCTCAGCCTCCCGAGTAGCTGGGATTACAGGCGCCCGCCACCGTGCCCAGCTAATTTTTGTATTTTCAGTAGAAAATACAAAATTCAGTAGAAAATACGGGGTTTCACCATCTTGGACAGGCTGGTCTCAAACTCCTGAACTCGTGATCCACTCACCTCGGCCTTCCAAAGTTCTGGGATTACAGGTGTGAGCCACGGCGCCTGGCCTTTTTATGTATTTATTGAGACAGGGTCTCACTCTTCGCCCAGGCTGGAGTGCAGTGGTGTGATCTCCACTCACTGCAACCTCTGCCTCCCAGGTCCAAACGATTCTCGTGCCTCAACCTCCTGAGTAGCTGGGATTACAGACATGTGCCACCACACCCAGCTAATTTTTGTATTTTTAGTAAAGACGGGGTTTCACCATGTTGGCCAGGCTGGTCTCGAACTCTTGCCTCAGTTGATCCACCCGCCTCGGCCTCCCAAAGTGCTGGGATTACAGGCATACGCCCCTGCACCTGGCCCTGTATTAATATATCTTAAATGTATTTGATTGATGTCTCATGTCTCTCTAAAATGTATAAAACCAAGCTGCTTCCCAACCACCTTGGGCACATGTTCTCAGGATCTCCCAAGGGCTGTGTCATGGGCCATGGTCACTCATATTTGGCTTAGAATAAATCTCTTCAAATATTTTACAAAGTTTCCTCCTAGGAAATCTCATGGGGCATAGGGCTGGGCCAGAAGCCAAGTTCCCCTCAAGTTGGAGGGCAAGGCCTCTTTGAGCAGACTTGGGTCACCCTTACCCATAGAGAGCTGTATGAGCCAGAGGCGGTGGTGCATACTTGTCAGCCCAGCACTTTGGGAAGCCAAGAGGGGAGGATCGCTTGAGCTCAGGAATGCAAAACCATCCTGGGCACCATAGCAAGACCCCATCCCTACAAAAAGTTGAAAAATTAGCTGGACATGGTGGCATGTGTACCTGTAGTTCTAGCTACTTGGGAGACAGAGGCAGAGGGTTGCTTGAGCTCAGGAGTTGGAGGTTGCAGTGAGCTATCATCACCTCACTGCACGCCAGCCTGGGTGATAGAGGGAACCCATCTCAAATAAATAAATAGAAAGCAGTATATTCTTACGTTCTTCAAACCTGAATAATGCAAAGTCCCCTAGGGATACACTCAGGGAATCCCAGTGGGAGAAACATTGATTTAAGAAAATCATGTTTTGGCCAGGCGCGGCGGCTCACGCCTATAATCCCAGCACTTTGGGAGGACGAGGCAGGCGGATCACCTGAGGTCGGGAGTTCGAGACCAGCCTGACCAACATTGAGAAACCCTATCACTACTAAAAAAAAAAATACAAAATTAACCAGGCGTGGTGGCACATGCCTGTAATCCCAGCTACTCGGGAGGCTAAGGCAGGAGAATTGCTTGAACCCGGGAGGTGGAGGTTGTGGTGAGCCGAGATCGCATCATTGCACTCCAGCCTGGGCAACAAGAGCGATACTCCCTCTCAAAAAAAAAAAAAGAAAGAAAAGAAAAGATAAAGAAAATCAAGTCTTTCAACTAGGAAATTTTACTGCAAAAGAGAAATTGGGCAATTATAACTGGTAAAGGAAATATTTTTAAATCTGGTTTTTAAATCTAGTTTTTAAATCATGTCATTAAAAACCTCAAGCTTAAAAATTACTAGAACTGAGCCGGGTACGGTGGCTCACACCTGTAATCTTAGCACTTTGGGAGGCCGAGGCAGGCAGATTGTCTGAGCTCAGGAGTTCGAGACCACCATGGGAACAACATGCTGAAACCCTGTCTCTACTAAAGTACAAAAAATTAGCCAGGCTTGGTGGTACACACCTGTAATCCCAGCTACTCGGGAGGTGGAGGCAGGAGAATTGCTTGAACCCAGGAGGTGAAGGTTGCAGTGAGCTGAGATTGTGCCACTGCACTCCAGCCTGGGCCACGGAGCGAGACTGTCTCAAAAAAAAAAAAAAAAAAATTACTAGAACTTGTGACCAACTCCACTCTTCCCCCTCCAAATATCCTGTAGAGCTCAATATTGGAAACACTGGACCAGCTATTAAATGCTACTTTTTTTTTTTTTTTGAGGAAGGAAGTTTCCAACCGGGCTCAATCAATTCTTCCACCTCAGCCTCCAGAGTAGCTTGCATAGTCCCAGATACTTGGGAGGCTGAGGTAGGAGGATTGATTGAGCCAGGGTGTTTGAGGTTGCAGTGAGCTATAATCACTCCACTCCAGCCTGGTGTGACAGAGCGAGACTCTGTCTCAAAAAAAAAGTAAAAGTAACAAAAAAAAGTAAAAAAAAAATCCTAGCACTTTCGTAGGCCAAGACAGGTGGATCACTTGAGGTCAGGCGTTCAAGACCAGCCTGGCCAACATGGTAAGACCCCGTCTCTACTAAAAATACAAAAATTAGCCAGGAATGGTGGCATGTGCCTGTAATCCCAGCTACTCGGGAGGCTGAGGCACAAGAATCACTTGAAACTGGAAGGTGGAGGTTGCAGTGAGCTGAGATCATGCCACTGCACTCCAGCGTGGGTGACAGAGTGAGACTCTGTCTCCAAAAAAAAAAAAATAAGTAAAAGTAAAAATGCAGGTTCCATGGCCAGTTGCAGTGTTGCACGCTGGTAATCCCAACCCTTTCAGTGGCTGACATGGGAGGCTGACTTGAGGCCAGGAGTTGAGATCAACCTGAGCGAGATAGCAAGACCCCATCTCTACAAAAATAAATTAAAATGCAGGTTCCAGGGCCCACCTCAAACAATGGCCTCAGACTTTTCTGAAAGCTCCTCAGGGATTCTGTTGAGCAGTCAGGGTTGGAACTGCTGGACCATGTTAGAATACGTTCAAATACAGAATCACTTCACCCTGAATCTTCTTACTCAAGGACAGCAGGGATTTTTGTCTGTTTTCCACCAGCACCTGACATAGAGATGCACATAGTAGGGACTCACTAAATATTTGTTGAATGAATGAACTTGGAATTTGGCAACTAAGAGGGCATTTGGGAAACAAATATTTAGTGAGCACCTACTATGTGCCAGACCATGTGATACGTATGGTCATATATATATACAATATTAATATATATATTTATAAATATATACAAATTTTTTTTTTTTGAGACGGAGTCTCACTGTGTCTCCCAGGCTGGAGTGCAGTGGCATGATCTCGGCTCACTGCAAGCTCCGCCTCCGGGGTTCACGCCATTCTCCTGCCTCAGCCTCCCGAGTAGCTGGGACTACAGGTGCCTGCCACCACGCCCAGCTAATTTTTTGTATTTTTAGTAGAGACATGGTTTAACCGTGTTAGCCAGGATGGTCTCGATCTCCTGACCTCATGATCCACCCACCTTGGCCTCCCAAAGTGCTGGGATTACAGGCATGAGCCACTGCACCTGGCCATAATTTTTTTTTTTTTTTTTTTGAGGCAGAGTCTTGCTTCTGTTGCCTAGGCTAGAGTGCAGTGGCACAATCTCTGCTCACTGCAACCTCCGCTTCCTGGGTTCAAGTGATTCTCGTGCCTCAGCCTCTTGCGTAGCTGGAATTACTGGTGCGTGCCACCATACCCAGCTAATTTTTGTATTTTTAGTAGAGATGGGGTTTTGCCATGTTGCCCTGGCTGGTCTTGAACTCCTGACCTCAGGTGATCCACCCACTTCGGCCTCTCAAAGTGCTGGGATTACAGGCATGAGCCACTGTGCCCGGCCATGGTCATATATATTTTTTAATGAAACATAAGGTCTCTGCCCTTGTGGAGGGCCCTACTATCTACTGAGAGAGATAACCAATACACAAAGACTGTAGACAAGATAGAAGTATAAATTGTGATAAGGACAAAAGTATTAAACTCTAATAATAATCACAATTGCTATTTATTGTTTACATTTATTATGTACCGAACTCTGCTAAGTAGGCGTCATTATTGTGCCTATTTTAAAGATGACGAAACTGAGCTACATAGTGGCTGGAATATCGGGGGAAGACTGGAGATTACATTATAGGTCATGAAGAACTGGGAACGGGGAGGTTATACTCTATAATTAAAATGGTTTTTCAGAATAGTCTCTCTGCAGTGTGAAGGCTGATTGGGACATGATTAAAGACAGGGGATAAGGCTAGAATGAAAGGGGTGGTTGGAGTCTCTCTAATACGTTTAAATAAGGTACTTTCCTCCAGAGTCTGTCCCAATAATCAATCACAGTCACGCACCACATAACAGTGGTCAATGGCAAACCACATGTACAATGGTGGTCACATAAGATTATAATACCATATTTTTACCGTACCTTTTCTATCTATATGTTTTGTTTTGTTTTTCTCAAGACAGAGTCTTGCTCTGTCGCCATGCTGGAGTGCTATGGCGTGATCTCGGCTCACTGCAACCTCCCCCTCCCGGGTTCAAGCGATTCTCCTGCCTCAGCCTCCCAAGTAGCTGGGATTACAGGTGTGTGCCACCACGCCCAGCTAATTTTTTGTATTTTTTGGTTTTTTATTTTATTTATTTATTTATTTATTTATTTATTTATTTATCTGAGACAGAGTCTTGCCCTATCAGCCAGGCTGGAGTGCAATGGCACAATCTCGGCTCACTGCAACCTCTGCCTCCTGGGTTCAAGCGATTCTACTGCCTTAGCCTCCCAAGTAGCTGGGGTTACAGGCACGCATCACCATGCCCAGCTAATGTTTTGTGTCTTTAGTAGAGACAGGGTTTCACCACGTTGGTCAGGCTGATCTCCAACTTCTGACCTCAGGTGATCCACCCGCCTCAGCCTCCCAAAGTGCTGGGATTACAGGCGTGAGCCACTGCGCCCAGCCAATTACTGTATTTTTAGTAGAGACAGGATTTCTCCATGTTGGCCAGGCTGGTCTTGAACTCCTGACCTCAGGTGATCCGCCCACCTTGCCTTGGCCTCCCAAGGTGCTGAAATTGTGCTGGGATTACAGGTGTGAGCCACTGTGTACAGCCCAGAACATAATTTATTCTTTTGTTTTCTTTTTTTTTTTGAGATGGAGTCTCCCTCTGTCGCCCAGGCTGGAGTGCAGTGGCACAATCTCGGCTCACTGCAAGCTCCACCTCCTGGGTTCATGCCATTCTCCTGCCTCAGCCTCCTGAGGGACTACAGGTGCGTGCCACCACGACTGGCTGTTTTTGTATTTTGAGTAGAGATGGGGTTTCACCATGTTAGCCAGGATGGTCTCGATCTCCTGACCTCGTGATCCGCCCGCCTCAGCCTCCCAAAGTGCTAGGATTACAGACATGAGCCACCACGCCCGGCCCAATTTATTGTTTTTTTGAGACAGAGTCTCGCTCTGTCTTTCAGGCTGGAGTGCAGTGGCATGATCTCGGCTCACTACAACCTCAGCCTCCCAGGTTCCGGCCATTCTCCTACCTCAGCCTCCAAGTAGCTGGGATTTACAGGTATGCGCCACCACGCCTGGCTAATTTTTGTATTTTTAGTAGAGACAGGGTTTCACGGCGTTGGCCAGGCTGGTCTCGAACTCTTGACATCAGGTGATCTGCCTGCCTCGGCCTCCCAGAGTGGTGGGATTAAAGGCATGAGCCACCACACCTGGCCAGAACATAGTTTATTCTTAAAGGGTTGGGGTGCATGACTTAACCCTTGCTTGGTATGACCTTATGTCCTGTTTATAATTGGCATCTTGGTCGCACGCGGTGGCTCACGTCTGTAATCCCAGCATTTTGGGAGGTTGAGGCAGGAGGATCACTAGCTCAGGAGTTTGAGACCAGCATGGCCAACATGGTGAAACCCCATCTCTACTCAAAATACAAAAATTAGCCGGGCGTGGTGTTGCCAGCCTGTAATCCCAACTACTCAGGAGGCTGAGGCAGGAGCATCTCTTGAACCTGGGAAGTGGAGGTTGCAGTGAGCCGAGATCGAGCCACTGCACTCCAGCCTGGGCAACAGAGAGAGACTGTGTCTCAAAAAAAAAAAAAAAAAAGCATCTTATTACCACAAAGCATTTGTTGTGTCAGTCTTATGATCTCTATTTTAGCATTAATGCTGGTCAATTGTTGTGTCTAAACTGTGAAAGGGATAGGGTATAACCAAGTGTGTCTGACTTCCTGTTCCATCATGGCTTCTCTGGGGTCCCCTGTACCAAAAGGGTGTCCATTTAGTCCGTTGGAAGGTTTAGGATTTTATTTTTAGTTCTCATGTGAGATCACTCAGTATCAGTGCATTTAGGACAATATAAATGTTATTAACAGTTGCATTCTATTCTTTTATAGGAATGTACCATAGTCTTTTAAAACAAATTCTCTAGCGATGAACATTTAATTTGTTTCCAGTCTTTTTTGATTATAGACAAAATAGCAATGGATATCCTTAGGTATGCACATTTTCTTTTTGTTTGTTTGTTTGTTTGTTTTGAGACTGAGTCTGGCTCTATCACCCGGGCTGGAGTTCAGTGGCATGATCTCGGCTCACTGCAACCTCTGTCTCCAGGCTTTATGCGATTCTCCTGCCTCGGCCTCCTGTGTACCTGGGATTACAGGTGCGTGCCACCACGCCCAGCTAATTTTTGTATTTTTATTTTTATTTATTTATTTATTTTTGAGATGGTGTTTCGCTCTTGTTGCCCAGGCTGGAGTGCAATGGAGCGATCTTGGCTCACTGCAACCTCCATCTCCAGGGTTCAAGCAATTCTCCTGCCCCAGCCTCCCGAGTAGCTGGGGTTACAGGCGCCTGCTGCCACGCCCAGCTAATTTTATGTATTTTTAGTAGAGATAGGGTTTCACTATGTTGGCCAGGCTGGTCACCAACTCCTGGCCTCAGGCAATCCACCCGCCTCGGCCTCCCAAAGTGCTGGGATTACAGGCATGAGCCACCGTGCCCGGCCTTATTTTTATTTTTTTATTTTTTATTTTTTTTATTTTTATTTTTTGAGATGGAGTCTGTTACCCAGGCTAGCGCAGTGGCTTTATCTTGGCTCACTGCAACCTCCACCTGCCAGGTTCAAGCAGTTCTCCTGCCTCAGCCTCCTGAGTAGCTGGGATTACAGGTGCGTATCACCATGCCCGGCTAACTTTTTGTATTTTTAGTAGAGATGAGGTTTCACCATGCTGGCCAGGCTGATCTTGAACTCCTGACCTCATGATCTGCCTGCCTCAGCCTTCCAAAGTGCTGGGATTACAGACATGAGCCACTGCACCAGACCTAATTTTTGTATTTTTAGTAGGGGTGGGATTTCACCATGTTGGCCAGGCTGGTCTCGAACTCTTGACCTCAGGTGATCCACCTGCCTTGGCCTCCCAAAGTGCCGGGATTACAGGTGTGAGCCACCATGCCCAGCCTGCACATTTTCAATATTGGTAAGTTGCCATTTACTCATCACAACTATCTACCTAGCTTCAGCTTGTGCGTCAGATAGAAAGTTATCTCGGCCGGGCGAGGTGGCTCACGCCTGTAATCCCAGCACTTTGGGAGGCCAAGGCGGGCAGATCACCTGAGGTCGGGAGTTCGAGACCAGCCTGACCAACATGGAGAAACTCCATTTCTACTAAAAATACAAAATTAGCCGGGTATGGTGGCGCATGCCTGTAATCCCAGCTACTCGGGAGGCTGAGGCAGGAGAATCGCTTGAACCCGCGAGGCGGAGGTTGTGGTGAGCTGAGATCATGCCATTGCACTCCAACCTGGGCAACAAGAGCGAAAATTTGTCAAAAAAAAAAAAAAAAAAAAAAAGCTGGGCGCAGTGGCTCATGGCTGTAATCCTAGCACTTTGGGAGGCTGACGCGGGCAGATCACAAGGTCAGGACTTTGAGACCAGCCTGGCCAATATGGTGAAATCCCGTCTTTACTAAAAATACAAAAATTAGCCAGGCGTGGTGGCACGTGCCTGTAGTCCCAGCTACTCAGGAGGCTGAGGCAGAAGAATTGCTTGAACCTGGGAGGCAGAGGTTGCAGTGAGCTGAGATCACGCCATTGCACTCCAGCGTGGGCAACAGAGCAAGACAAGACACCGTCTCAAAAAAAAAAAAAAAAAAAAAGTGGACTCTCTGTCTCAGGAAAAAAAAAAGTCACCTGAGGTCAGGAGTTTGAGACCAGCCTGGCCAACATGGAGAAACTGTCTCCACTAATAATACAATACACCGGGCTGGGCACGGTGGCTCAAACCTGTAATCCCAGCACTTTGGGAGGCCGAGGCGGGTGGATCACCTGAGGTTAGGAATTTGAGACCAGCCTGGCCAGCATGGTGATACCCGGTCTCTACTAAAAATACAAAAATTAGCCAGGCTTGGTGGCAGGCGCCTGTAATCCTAGCTACTTGGGAAGCTGAGGCAGGAGAATCGCTTGAACCCGGGAGGCAGAGCTTGTGGTGAGCCGAGATCACACCATTGCACTCCAGCCTGGGCAACAAAGCAAGATTCTGTCAAAAAAAAAAAATTAGCTGGGTATGGTGGCCCAGGCCTCTAATCTCAGCTACTCAGAAGGCTGAGGCAGGAGAATCGCTTGAATCCGGAGGATACAGTGAGCCAAGATCACGCCATTGCACTCCAACCTGGGTGACAAGAGAGAATCTCCATCTCCAAAAAAAAAAAAAAAATGCAAAAACTTAGCTGGGTGTGGTGGCACACACCTATAGTCCCAGCTACTCAGTACTCAGGAGGCTGAAGCAGGAGGGTCACTTGTGCTTGGAAGGTGGAGGTTGCAGTGAGCCATGATTGTGCCACTGTACTCCAGCCTGGTGACCGAGTGAGAGCAGAAAGAGTGAGAGAGAGAGAGAAAGACTCATGCTTTAGGGCCTCTGACAATACCTGTGTATTGTGTGCCTCAACTTTTTTTTTTTTTTTGAGACAAAGTCTCACCCTATCGGCCAGGGTGGAGTGCAATGGCATGATCTCAGCTCACTGCAACCTCCGCCTCCCAGGTTCAAGCGATTCTCCTGCCTCAGCCTCCCTAGTAGCTGAGACTACAGGCGCGTGCCATCACGCCCAGCTAATTTTTGAATTTTTAGTAGAGAAGGGGTTTCACCACGTTCAGGATGGTCTTGATCTTTTGACCTCATCTTCCACCTGCCTCGGCCTCTCAAAGTGCTGGGATTACAGGCGTGAGTCACGGTGCCAGGCCGCCACTGCCTCAACTTTTTGGGCTTATCCCTGGAAGAAGAAACTGCCACTACTTTTTCAATTTTAGAGCTAATTTGGTTCCATCCCTGATTTTACAGATGAGGAATCAGACTGAGAGAGAAGAGACTTGCCCAAGGTCACAAGGGGTCTATGTGATTAACTAAGACTGACCTCCTGGTTACCCATTTTGTGGAACAAAAACTATTTCATTTGCAGCATTTTCAGATGATTTCCAAGGTCTCCATCTTTCTTGTCTCCTTGAAAATGCAGTCCCAGAAATGCACAACTAATGCTTTTGTTAAGGGTCGTTGCCCAATATGCTAAATTGTAAGAAACCATCTCCCTCTGCTGGTAATATGGCATAACGACAAAGCTTAAATATAGGAGTCACTTGCATTTAGGAAAAACTATTGCTCCAGAACGAGGTTATGTCTGACAGTTTCTGTATACTTTTTTTTTTTTTAGACGGACTCTTGCTCTGTCGCCCAGGCTGGAGTGCAGTGGTGCGATCTCGGCTCACTGCAAGCTCTGCCTCCCAGGTTCACACCATTCTCCTGCCTCAGCCTCCCGAGTAGCTGGGACTACAGGCGCCCACCACCACACACGGCTAATTTTTTTTTTTTTTTGTATTTTTAGTAGAGACGGGGTTTCACCGTGTTAGCCAGGATGGTCTCAATCTCCTGACCTCGTGATCTGCCCGCCTTGGCCTCCCAAAGTGCTGGGATTTACAGGCGTGAGCCACCGCGCCCAGCCCCGTCTGACAGTTTCAACCACTTTGCTGTTGCCAAGACTCAGTCAGGATAATTTACTTCAACGAATGGGTTCACAGTAGAATGTATTCCAAGTAAATATAATCTCACAGAGTGAATAAGCCAAAAATCCATGAAATTGGTGAACTCAACAGAATTACTGAGTTTTTGTGTGGTTTTTTTTTTTGGTTTTTGTTTGTTTGTTTGTTTTTTGAGATGGAATCTCACTGTCACCCAGGCTGGAGTGCAGTGGCATGATCTCGGCTCACTGGAACCTCCACCTCCCGGGTTCAAGCGATTCTCCTGCCTCTGCCTCCTGAGTAGCTGGGATTACAGGCATGCGCCACCACGCCTGGCTAATTTTTGTATTTTTAGTAGAGACGGGGTTTCACCATGTTGGTCGGGCTGGTCTACGAACTCCTGACCTCGTGATCCGCCTGCCTTGGCCTCCCAAAGTGCTGGGATTACAGGCGTGAGCCACTGCGCTCGGCCGAGAATTACTTGAGTTTTAGAGACTTAAAAGCTGCTAGTGGAATATCCATGTGGAGATGGCAATAAGAAGCCTAGCTGTAAAAATCAGAATCAGAAACACCAGGTCAGTTCACAGCTAGAAGTCAACTTTGGCAGTCTTCAGCATACAGTGGGTGGCTTATACCATGAACATCTAGGTAAGAACAGTGGACTGAGGACAGACCCTGGAAATGAACAATATTTCAGAGTCAGGAAGTTGTGAAACCAGAGAATTAGTAAGCATATCACTTAAGCTTCTAAATAAAGACCAGTAACATTTAACACATGGTTGCAGTTTATGATGATAATCATTAAGAATACAAATAACAGGACGGGCAGAGTGGTTCACACCTGTAATCCCAACACTTTGGGAGATTGAGGCAGGCAGATCATCTGAGGTTAGGGGTTCCAGACCAGTCTGGCCAACATGGTGAAACCTGGCCTCTACTAAAAATACAAAAATTAGCTGGGCATAGTGGCAAGCACCTATAGTCTCAGCTACTCGGGAGGCTGAGGCAGGAGAATCACATGAACCCAGGAGGCAGAGGCTGCAATGAGCCAAGATTGCGCCACTGCACTCCAGCCTGGGCGACAGTGAGACTATGTCTAAAAAAAAAAAAAAAAGAATACAAATTATGAAATTTCACAGCAGGAAGGTTTTACTTCAGAAAGATTAATGGCATACTAAAAATACAAGAAAAAACACATTCCAAGTCAGATAACTTGGTTATAGCAGCCAAATGCAACACTACTGAATGACATGTATTTAAAACTGAGAGAAAAACAGGAACATGTCAGTAAGAATATAAACACATGGTGTTTGCTTATCTCCCTGCCTTTTTTTTTTTTTTTGAGACAGAGTCTCGCTTTGTTGCCCAGGCTGGAGTGCAATGGCGCAATCTTGGCTCACTGCAACCTCTGCCTCCTGGGTTCAAGCAACTCTCCTGCCTCAGCTTCCCAAGTAGCTGGGATTACAGGTGCTTGCCACCACATCCGGCTAATTTTTGTATCTTTAGTAGAGATGGGGTTTCACCATGTTGACCAGGCTAGTCTTGAACTCCTGACCTCAACTGATTCGCCCACCTCAGCCTCCCACAGTGTTGGGATTATAGGCGTGAGCCACCGCGCCTGGCATCTCCCTGTCCTTATATTTTAAGAAAGGATGATTACAGAAGTGACAATTATAAATCTTCCTCGGGCAGACAAGACACTCCCATAATGATAATAGCTAACCCTTAGGACTCTTACTATGGGTCAGGCACTGTTCTAGGCATTTCAGCATAGTAACTGGTTAAATTCTTACAATCTACTTTTGAAGTAGCTATCTCTAATGTATACACTTGGGGAACTGAGACATAGAATCCTTATGTAACTTGCGTTAAGATCACACAGCTTTTTTTTTTTTTTTTAGTAGAGATGGGCTTTTGCCTCGTTGCCCAGGCTGGTCTCAAACTGCAGGGCTCAAGCGATCCCCCCGCCTCACCCTTCCAAAGTGCTGGGATTATAGGCGTGAGCCACCATGCCCGGCCACATAAATAACTTTTTTTTGAGATAGAGTTTTGCTCTTGTTGTCCAGGCTGGAGTGCAATGGCGCAATCTTGGCTCACTGCAACCTCCGCCTCCCAGGCTCAAGCGATCTTCCCGCCTCAGCCTCCCGAGTAGGTGGGATTACAGGCATGTGCCACCATGCCCAGCTAATTTTGCATTTTAAGTAGAGACGGGGTTTCTCCGTGTTGGTCAGGCTGGTCTCGAACTCTTGACCTCAGGTGATCTGCCCACCTTGGCCTCCCAAAGTGGGATTACAGGTGTGAGCCACTACGCCTGCCCTGACATAAATAATTTTTTTTTTTTTTGAGACAGAGCCTCACTCTGTCGGCCAGGCTGGAGTGCAGTGGCATGATCTCGGCTCACTGCAACCTCCACCTCCCTGGCTCAAGCAGTTCTCCTGCCTCAGCCTCCGGAGTAGCTGGGATTATAGGCGTGTGCCACCATGCCCAGCTAATTTTTGTATTTGTAGTAGAGACGGGGTTTCACCATGTTGGCCAGGCTGGTCTTGAACTCCTGACCTCAGGTAATCCGCCTGTCTCGGCCTCCCAAAGTGCTGGGATTACAGGCGTGAGCCACCGCGCCTGGCCAGTAATTTTTAGAGGTAATACTAACGTATTTATCTACCATTAAAGACCCAGGAGAACTTAGTAGCTGGGAATCCCACTGGTTCTCCCAACTGAGGTGCAATATTATCTTTACCGTCTTTACCTTACGGTAGCGGATATAGTGTTAATAAATGATTAGAATACTGCTTTATGAGCAGGAAATACTGTAATGATTTTCACCCTATCAGAAATAATAAAATGTTTTCTGCATCAGCAGATATTTTTCATCATTTGTTGGTGTTTAAAAATGTTTTCAGAATTCTGAAGATACCATTATCTGTAGTTTAGGAAAACTACGACTCACTTTAAAAGAAAAAAAGTTTTCTTTAATTGCCTGCCCTTAGAAAAGATGGTTCCACAGAACACACTTCCGGTACTCGAGATGAGGACTTCCCTTGAACGCCCATTCTGTAAGACAGATAACGCGTTGGCCCTTAAGAAAGATGGCATCTTTCCGCCTTCTCTGCCCCCTTCCAAGATGGCTGCCCTAATGTACACTTGGGACCTTGCCTGGCGCCTCTTCCGGGCTTGGCAGCGGGCGGGGTCCATTGAGTAAAGCCTTGCGTGCCTGCGCCCGCGACGGAGGCGCGCTTCAAAGCGCAGGCGCGGGGAGGGGGTGGGGGAGGAGGGAAAGCGGCGAGTAAGATGGAAGATGAGGAGGTCGCTGAGAGCTGGGAAGAGGCGGCAGACAGCGGGGTAAGGAGGAGCCGCCGTCCCATGGCAGGGCCGGGCGAGACCTGGCGTGAGGGGAGCCTCCGGGGAGCGGGTCTGGAGATAGTTCTCCCCAAGGAAGGGCCCCATACGCCGGGCTGGGGGTGGTGGAGAGGCCCCCAGTTCCTGAGCGCCGTGAAGGCCTCTTAAAGGGGCCGCGATCCATTTCTCTCCTTTCCTTTGCCTGGTGCGCCTCCCTCCGCCCACTAACGCGCGCGTCACCCGGGGCGCCCCACCCGCCACCCGGGGCCTCCTTTCCTGACCCCCCGCGCCCACTTGCTGGCCGTGGGCCTCTGTGACTCTTTCCGATGAGCCTTGTGGCCCGAGGCACCATTTTAAAGTTCTTGTGCTCTGACCGGGACGGACACACCATGTGGGTGGTGGTGGGGCTTGCGCGGACCAAGGAGGCATGTCCGGCTTCGCAGGAAAGCGGGAGGAGGCAGCCGAGGGCGGGGGGAAATTGAATCCTCTTTGGGCTACTCAACTCTGCTAAAATCCCCCACCATCCGTCACGGTGGACGAGTCGGGTTTTTTTTCTCTTTCACTTTTACTCCAAGAAGAGTTTGTGGGCAGGCAGGCAGGTCTCACGGGGACTCTGCCAAAGCAACCGAAAGCTCTGCGGGGCAGCTCCTCTGCCACTCAGCGATCCGAGGCCCCGGGAAGGTCTAGGAGTTCGCTTGTCGGAGTCCAGGGTGTGATATGTAAAACAGCCACATTCTTGGGAGAGGAGTGGGGAGATGGACCGTTCGACTTGTTTTTGGAGTTTTTGTTTGCCTCCAGAAACTGTAGGAAAATAGTTTATCTCAAAGAGGATCTGTCAATTCTCTTAGATTTGTGAATAATTTGGTCTTTTCAGAGTTTGTCTGTGGTGACCCTTGTGAATATGGGGAGATGCTTTTTTTGTCTCCCCGTGTTCGCGTCTGTTCAATGCTGGCTGCACTGACATCCACCTTAAAGGTTTACGTGTGCGAGGAGTCGAGCGTACCAGGGTAGAGTAGGCGCTGGGTTTTTTTTCCTAAGCGCTTTTTGGGGGTGCTTATGAGCTCTGGAAGAGGCCGGGAAATTGACCCTGGCAGCAGTCAGTGGGTGTATCTAGCTCTACGGGAATGTTGAAACTTGGCTTTGAAGTTTTTTCCGCTGGTTCAGCATTTCTCTCAACGGTTGTTTATGTTTTTCCATTTAGCATAATTGAGAATTTGAAGGATTCGTTCGTTCAGAGGATATTTAGTAGAGTTCTTAATGTGACAACCATCTTTCTTGAGTTTTGGCTTAAGAAAGTTAAAGATTTTATAGGGAGTAACAGGTGTCAGTTGGCTCCTTGTTCATTCAACCAGCATTTTTGAGTGTCTGCTATATGCTAGGCAGTGTGCTTATCAGTGACTTTGTGCCAGAAAATGCAACATTTTCGGTACAGGCGTTTATTGCCTACCACTAATCTGAGTGAATCATCCAGACATCCCTATAAAAAAGCTTGGCTTACAACTTTAATATCATGCAAATGATACGTTTCTTGGGCATCTTGGCCTTTCTTTGGTTTTCCTCACCTGTTTCAAAGGGTCATAAATCCCTCATGTTAGAGAAGTTGGAGGCAAATGAACAAAAATGAATAGGATTCAGCAGAAATTGGGGCTTACTTTAGTTTTTCAGAATGGGTAAGTCAATTAGAAATAGCTAGTACAGTCCCCCATTTAACAGCTGAATAAGCCTAGAGATGTGAGATTTAGAGACTTAGGTCTTTCTGACGCTTGTCGCGTGTTCTTTCTTTTTTCTTTTGGTTCCCAAGTTTTATTGAAAAACTTATACAAAATATTCCAGATAAATGAAATTTAATCCTCATCTTCCTCCTCTTTGTCCTGGTTAATCTGGAAGTAACATAATTTGTAGCTATCTTTGCTGTTAGTAACTAGGAGCAACCAATCACGTAAATTATTCTTCATATATGTTTTGGTGAGATATTTGAAATACCTTTTGGAGAAAGGCACCTCGGATGTCACGTTGATCTTGCTCTTACTCCTTTCAATGGTCGCCATCCCTCCACCAAGGTTCTCAGCTTTTCCGTTCACTTTGATCCTTTCTTGCAAAAACTGCTCAAAATTGGCAGCATCCATGATTCCATCTTCTACGGGGTGAGTGCATTCAAGAGTGAACTTCAGAACCTGCTTCTTTTTTTTGCCCCCCTTCACCACAGGCTTTTTCACAGAAGCCATGGCAGCAGCGGAGGCAGAAAGCCAGAGTTCTTTCTGCTATCCCTTACTTTAGTAATATCCTTTAAAAATGTACCGCGGCCAGGTGCTGTGGCTCACGCCTGTAATCCCAGCACTGTGGGAGGCTGAGGTGGGTGGATAACCTGAGGTTAGGAGTTCCAGACCAGCCTGGCCAACATGGTGAAACCCCATCTCTACTAAAAATACAAAAATTAGCTGGACCCTATGGTACATACCTGTAATCCTAGCTACTTGGGAGGCTGAGCCAGGAGAATTGCTTGAACCTAGGAGGCGGAGGTTGCAGTGAGCCGAGATCATGCCATTGCACTCCAGCCTGGGCAACAAGAGTGAAACTCCATCAAAAAAAAAAACAAAAAAAAAAAACTACAGAGGTGGAACACAAACCTTGCCTTATTGACATCATGAACACTTCTGCCAAAATGCAGGTTCTCTAATATATTTTATTTAATTGAATCCTTGAAACAACCTGTTGAGGCATTGTCCCCCTTTTATAGACAAGGAAACGGAGGTTTCGAGAGTAACCTGTTTTGCGCAAGATCACACAGCTGGGGGAAGCTGGGATTTGATCCCAAGCATGTCTGACTTCAAGGCTGGGCTTTTTTTCTCTAGCATTTTGCTGCTACCTCTCTACCTGGGGACATGTGGAAAATTTGGGAATTGGGTGTTCTTTCTTTTCCTTTTTTTTTTTTTTGTTTGAGAGAAGGTCTTACTCCATTGCCCAGGCTGGAGTGCAGTGGCTCAATCTCATCTCACTGCAACCTCTACCTCCCAGGTTCAAGCGATTCTCGTGCCTCAGCCTCCCGAGTAGCTGGGATTACAAGGCGCATGCTACCACGCCCAGCTAATTTTTGTATTTTTAGTAGAGACGGGGTTTCACCATGTTGGCCACGCTGATCTCGAACTCCTGGCCTCAAGTGATCCTCCTGCCTTAGGCTCCCAAAGTGCTGGGATTACAGGCATGAGCCGCTGCACCTGGCCTTTTTTTTTTTAATTTTTTTTTTATTTTTTGAGATGAGATTGCCCAGGCTGGGCCTCCCAGTAGATTATAGGCATGTGCCACTATGCCTGGCAGCTTTCATTAAAAAAAAAAATATTTATTTATTTTAGATACAGGGTCTCATTTGGTTTCCCAGGCTGAAGTGCAGTGGCATAATCATAGCTTACTGCAACCTTGAATTCTTGGGCTCTAGCAGTCCTCCTGCCTCAGCCTCCCAGAGTTCTGGGATTATAGGCATGAGCCACTGCCCTCAGCCAGCTTTCATTTTTAATAGTTTGTCTGGGCTTATATTTGAACGCTGTCTTGAATTTGATTCCCTTTTCAAATTTCACAAAGGTTCTTGTAAATATGCACTTTTGAAAGAGGGGAGCCAGGGAGATGTTATGTCCACATCACTGGGAAACCAATGGACTGCAGGCTATACATGTCTTTCATATATAGGCAATTGCGTAAAAGTCTTGGCTTCAGGTTATCCCCTCTTCCTACTGGTAATGAGCTTTGAATACCCTACTCCAAAACAGCAAAAACTGGGTGAAGACTAATAACCTAAATGGGAAAATTGAAACTACACAAAAATCCAGCGGCAGTTCTAATCCTTGGAAGTAAAGGATTTTGGAGATCCCTGCCCTCCAACACCACAAGAAAATTTTTGTCTTTTTTCTTTGAGACAGGGTCTTGCTCTGTTGCCCAGGCTGGGGTGCAGTGGGGAACACTCACTGCAGTCTCAGGCAATTTCTGTCTCAGGCAATCTCCACCCGCCTCAGCCTCCCAAGGTGCTGGGATTACAGGCATGAGCCATCATGCCCAGCCAAAAATTTTTTGACATCATGTAGAATTTCTCCCCTCCCCTCCCCTCCCTCTGCTCCCATCCCTCTGCTCCCCCCTCTCCCTTCCTTTTTTTTCCTTTTTTTTTTTCCCCTTTTTTTTTTTTCCCGAGATGGAGTCTTGCTCTGTCGCCCAGGCTGGAGTGCAGTGGCGCAATCTCGGCTCATTGCAAGCTCCGCCTCCCGGGTTCACACCATTCTCCTGCCTCAGCCTCCCGAGTAGCTGGGACTACAGGCACCCACCACCACGCCTGGCTAATTTTTTGTATTTTTAGTAGAGATGGGGTTTCACTGTGTTAGCCAGGATGGTCTCGATCTCCTGACCTCGTGATCCGCCCGCCTCGGCCTCCCAAAGTGCTGGGATTACAGGCGTGAGCTGCTGCGCCTGGCCCCTTTCTTAAGACAGAAGGGTCTTGCTCTGTTGCCAAGGTTGGAGTGCAGTGGTCGGAATACAGCTCACTGCAGCCTCAGCCTCCTGAGTAGCTGGGCCCACAGGCGTGTACCACTATGTGCCTGGCTAATTTAAAAAGAAAATTTTTTTGTAGAGACAGGGTCTTGCCATATTGCCCAGACTGGAAGAATTTTTGTGTGTGTGAGTCATCTGAGGTCATTGTTTCCTGTATAGCTTCCGAATTCTTAGTATCAAGTCCTATTGTGTCATTTGGAGAAAGACTGACTTTGAGAAGTCCCTCACATATTCTGTGAATAGACTTTTTGCTTTTAGTTAGTATGGCAAACACTTTTTTCTTTTTCTTTTTCTTTTTTTTTTGAGACAGGGTTTCGTCCTATATCCCCAATTGTTTAAGACAATCAATAAAATATGCCAGGCGTGGTGGCTCACGCCTGTAATCCCAACACTTTGGGAGGCTGAGGCGGGCAGATCACCTGAGGTCACGAGTTCAAGACCAGCGTGGCCAACATGGTGAAACCCCGTCTCTATTAAAAATACAAAAATGAGCTTGGCATGGTGGCAGGTGCCTGTAATCCCAGCTACTCCGGAGGCTGAGGCAGGAGAATCTCTTGAACCTGGGAGGCAGAGGTTGCAGTGAGCAGAGATCGCACCACTGCATTCCAGCCTGGGTGACAGAGTGAGACTCTGTCTCAAAAAAAAAGAGTTCATAGTGTTGGTAATGAGCTAACCCAGCTAGGGGAAGGCAGCAGATGATATAAAAATGTAATTGGACCAGTGGTTATTATAAAGCACTGACAACCTCTCTGATTTCCCTGTATCTTGCAAGTTTCCTTTTATTCTTTTTCTCCAGGTCAAGGCATGCAGCTAGTGGGAAGAAAATGCATCTTGAATAAGTTAAAGGATGACTGGTGTTCTGGATTAAGAATTGAAATTTATGTTTACTTTCTACCCCCATGAGCCAGTTATCCAAACATTGCCCCATCAGTGATGCTGGATGGTGTATGAGTCCATAGGAAGGTGTCATTAAACATTAAATAACTATTGCATACCAGGCATGGAGGCCCTGTTTAGTGGGGGAGTCAGACAGGTCCGGCAGCACCTTCAGGAAGAGGCATAAGTGGGGTACCATGGCTGGATCAGAGAAAGTCTTGTAAAGAAGACGATGCCTAAGTTAAGATTTGAAAGATCAGTTGAATTAAGCAGTGGTAAGTCTGGGAGAGGCAGGTAGAGTGTAGGGCCAAAGCAGGCATGGATGAGGAGGCCGAGAGACAAATACACAGCATTGGGAGGGCTACAAGTATTTCCTTCTGGCTGAAGGGGAGAGGGTTGGCAGGGTTGAGTGGAAAGAGATGAGACCACAGAGGTATGTAGGGGCCAGATTGGGAAAGGCTTCCTTGTACTTGGTTCTGGAAGCTTGAACTTTGTCCTGAAAGTGCAAGGAGCTTTGAAGTTTTTTTTTTTTTTTAAGCAGAAGAGTGATATAGCTAGATTTATTTATTTATGTTTTAAATTTTTTGCCGGACACGATGGCTCATGCCTGTAATGCCAGCACTTTGGGAGGCTGAGGCAGGTGGATCACCTGAGGTCAGGAGTTCGAGACCAGCTTGACCAACATGGAGAAACCCTGTCTCTACTAAAAATACAAAATTAGCCAGGTGTGGTGGTGCCTGCTTGTAATCCCAGCTACCTCGGGAGGCCAAGGCAGGAGAATCGCTTGAACCTGGGAGGTGGAGGTTGCGGTGAGCCGAGATTGCACCATTGCACTCCAGCCTGGGCAACAAGAGTGGAACTCCGTCTCAAAAAAAAAAAAAAAACAAAACACGTTTTTTTTTTTTGAGACAGGGTCTCACTCTGTCACCCAGGCTGAGCGCAGTGGTGCAATGATGACTTACTGCTGTCTCGACCTCCCAGGCTCAAGTGATCCTCCCACTTCAGCCTCAACCTCCCGAGTAGCTGGGACTACAGGCATGCGCCACCACACCTGACTATTTTTGATTTTTTTGTAGAGACAGGGTCTCACCATGTTGCCCATGTTGGTCTCGAATGCCTGAACATAAGTGATCCTCCCGTTTCAGCCTCCCGGAGTGCTGGGATTGCAGGCGTGAGCCACCACACCCGGCCCATAGTTAGATTAAATTCAGGAGATCAGAACTTTGATTTTCTTCTCTTTCTTTGGAGAAGAGGCCATTCTCCCCAAAGTGTGACTGCCGCTTCACTCTGGGGTCCCCAATGCTTTGTGTAGCTGCTGTCATTTTGGAACATGTACAACAAAACAACAAAAAAAGGCTATGGGTAGTGGGAAAAAAGAGATCAATTAGTTTGGGGCTATCTGGTGCTGATTTCTTTATGTCTGTCCCTGCAGTAAAAAGAAGGCATTTAAGATTTGTGGTATCACAGAAAGCACAGTTCCAGATACACCATGCCTAAAGGGGCCACCTCTCAGTTGGTGCTAGTCTTTCTGGAAAGGTTGAGCCTTATGGACTGTGATGTCCTCAGAAGGGGCTTTCTGTGAAGCAATTGGGCAGTTTAGGCATGATTCTGCTGAGCAGTCTGTCCCTGGGACTCTGGAAAAAGGTTGGTTTCACTGTGGCTTCAAAGAAAGGAGGATAATGAGCTTTTCACTAGTAACTTCTCAGCCCTTTTTTCATTGGCTGCATGGGAGGGCCTGTTCCCAGCGTGCTCTGGGTATCAAGAGAGCTGCCATGGTTGCCGTGGGCTAGAAATTCCAGCAATCACAGGCCTTCTTGTTTTTACTTCTATGACAGGAGAGGATTTAGTGCGTCTTTCTAAAACTGTTGGTGCAGTCCTGCAGAGAAAAGTCACAGTTGTCTAGGTCTGATGACTGAAAACATTCCAGGGGCCAGCCCTTTCCAGTTTCCACCTCTCCACTGCTGTTGGCCCCGACAGCTAGCATCAGTTTCTGGCTGTATCAGGTAGCTAGCCTCTACAAGGTGTGTTCTGTCAGGAAAACTACTGACCTGTTGGTTTCCTAGGAGAAGGTTGAGTTTAGCTACTTAAATCTGTGGCCAAAGTATAAAATAAAATAAAAAAATTTTAATGTAGTATCCATAGAGATTTCTCTTCTTGAGTGTTTTTGTTTTGTTTTGTTTTTTTGAGACGGAGTCTAGCTCTGTCGCCGAGGCTGGAGTGCAGTGGCGCAATCTCAGCTCGCTGCAACCTCTGCCTCCCGGGTTCGAGCGATTCTCCTGCCTCAGCCTCCCAAGTAGCTGGGATTACAGGTGCTCGCCACTACACCCAGCCAATTTTTGTATTTTTAGTAGAGATGGGGTTTCACTGTGTTGGCTAGGCCGGTCTCAAACTCGTGACCTCGTGATCCGCCCGCCTCGGCCTCCCAAAATGCTGGGATTACAAGCGTGAGCCACCACGCCTGGCCTTTGAGTGTTTTTCTTAAAACCGTTTGCTCCTACCAAGCATCCTTCTCTTTAACATCTAGCTCTGTGCAGGATATTAAGGTAAAACCATGCCCCACAGAAATTAGCAACAAACCCCAATAGTCTGTATGGAGACAGATAATTTTTTTTTCTTTTTTTTGAGAAGGAGTTTCTCTCTGTCACCCAGGCTAGAGTGCAGTGGCGCAATTTCTGCTCACTGAACCTCTGCCTTCCGGGTTCAAGCAATTCTCATGCCTCACCCTCCCAAGTAGCTGGGACTACAGGCTCATGTCACCATGCCCGACTCATGTTTTGTATTTTAGTAGAGACGGGTTCACCATGTTGCCCAAGCTGGTCTGGAACTCCTGAGCTCAGGCAGTCTGCCCACATCGGCCTCCCAAAGTGTTAGGATTACAGGCGTGAGCCACCGCGCCCGGTCCGAGACAGAGAATCTTGTCCTTGACGGTGAGACATTTCAAAATGCCCATCACAGTAAGCCAGCCCCTCCCCCCAACAAACTCGTTCCCTTATAAAAGGAACACAGGAAATAACAGTCATTCCTTTCTAAAAGGAATAATAAATATGTACAGCTAAAATTGCATTCTTCAGGGGCCATGGCGATTAGATGAGATTGTATAGAAGGAAAGTATGACTTGAGTCTGGAAAGGTCAGGACTGTCACCACTCTTCACTGACCTTGAGAACAATTCCCAGCCCAGCCCTTCCTAGCTTATAAAAACATTTGTGACCTTCCATATGTCAGTAGTGTTTCTGCTATCTAGTTGTTCATCTCACTGGCGAACAAGCGCGCAGCCTGTGGGAAGCTCCCAAGTTCCTCGGGCCCTTTTTGGAAGAGCTTCTAAGATATATGTTGTATGGCTGCCTACAGCCCAGGGGGAGTGCATTTTTACAATCATTAGCAGTGACCTTGTGAGGTGTAGGTGCTATTATTCCTGGTCCGGGGAGGAAATCATGTGGTCGGTCCAGCCCTGGCTGTTAGGCCTGAGCCCACACTCTGAGGGACCTTTTTTGGAGCAATTTGTTTACATTTGCTTCTCACCAGATAATTAACTAGTTAAGTGCTTTAGGATGCTTAGTTACTAGCTCCTTTGAAGCATTTCATTTGTTTTCACCTGGGATTGACCTCCTGCCTCTGTAGCCTGCATGAGCTCATAAACTGCATCTGAGAAATTTGAACTCAGTGCTGAAGAGCCAAGCGATAATCCTGCTCTCAGTTATAATGCTAAGAACAGTGACTACAAGTGAGATGCTGGTCGAAATCTTGATCATAAATGAGAAATAACTTTTTAACATTTGGCCAAGTGGAAAAAGATAACATAAATAATTATTGGGCAGGGCGCATTGGGTCACGCCTGTAATCCCAGCACTTTGGGGGGCCGAGGCAGGCGGATCACTTGAGGTCAGGAGTTCCAGATCAGCCTGGCCAACATGGTGAAACCTTGTCTCTACTGAAAATACAAAAATTAGCCAGGTGTGGTGGCAGGTGCCTGTAACCCAAGCTACCTGGGAGGCTGAGGCAGGAGAATCGCTTGAACTTGGGAGGCAGAGGTTGCAATGAGCTGAGATTGTGTCACTGCACTCCAGCCTGGGCGACACAGCGAGACTCTGTCTCAAAAAAAAAAAAAAAAAAAAACGTTGCTCAGGATTTTTAAATGGAGGGGGCGGTGGTCTTGCCTTGTTACCCAGACTGATCTGAACTCAGATCGCTTCAAGTGATACTCCCACCTCAGCCTCCTCCTGAGTAGCTCAGAGTACAGGTGCATGAGCCACTGCACCTAGCCGGCAGGATTTTTAAATATTGAACTTGAATGCCTTTACCGGCTGTTGGCTGCTCTCTGCTGTCCTCTCCTCTGCTCTCCCCTGCAATCCTCCTTTACCTGTTGTTACCTCTTGTGTTCCATTCTGCCTGCTTTAGCCATTTGGGCTTGGAGGCATTGTGTTTGCCACCCCTGCTGAGTGCTGGCGATTCTAACTGGGATTTGATGAGGGCACCCTTGGGTGTTAAAGTGAAATCTGGTGGATGAGGGTTAATAGTGTCTTTGTTTCATCCTCCAAAGTCAGTAATGCCTGGTATTTCCTTTGGGAGAGGAGCCTTGCAGTCATTATAAAAGGTAGCAAGAGTGGCTTACACCTGTAATCCCAGCACTTTGGGAAGTCAAGGCGGGTGGATTGCCTGAGGTCAAGAGTTCAAGACCAGTCTGGCCAACATGGTGAAACCCTGTCACTACTAAAAATACAAAAAAATGAGCGGGACGTGGTCGTGTGCACCTGTAATCCCAGCTACTCAGGAGGCTGAGGCAGGGGAATTGCTTGAACTAGGGAGGTGGAGGTTGCAGTTAGCCAAGATCATGACAGAGACAGACTCTGTCTCAAAAAAAAAAAAAAAAAAAGCAAGAAAGGATAGGTTCTCTCTGCCAGTTAACGGCCTACTTTTCTCCATTAATGGCAATAGGTCAGAAGACTGGGATTTAAATGCCTGGTCTGATTTTTGGACAAATCACTACCTACCCTTCTGTCCACATCAATCTCTTAATTTGTAAAACTGAATTAATAGAATTTGCCTTGCCTGGTAGTGAGAGTTAAAACACTTAGTAAAGCGTCATTCACAGGTGGATGTGGGAGCCGAGAGTGCCATTGCTCTGAGTGTGAAGGCATTGTTCCCGGCTCTCCAGCCACTCACAGTGTAGCCTCTATCTGGTTTGGGTTCAGGATTCCTAAGACTGGCTGAAGGGTCACTTTCTTGCTGCCCCTGAGGACTAATATACTCTCCTCCGAGAATTGTATTGCTTAGTGTTGTACGAAAATCAACAGGGAGAAGCAGTTACAGAAACACAGAGAAAGCAGGAGCCCCATTAGATTCGACCCCATTTTATTTCCAGGGCAAGACTCTTCACCATTACATCTGCCTATCCCGTTACTTTCAGGTATAGGGCTGAGTGTATCCCTCCGGCATGGAGACCCTTTGAGGAGGCACTCAAAACAATACATTGTCTCAAGATGGCATCTACAAAGTTTTTGAGGCTTTCTAGCCTGGGATACATCTAAACTGCTAGGCCTGGTTGCTGCTGAAGAATTATTTCTGTTTGGCAACTTCTTTTTTTTTTTTTTTTTTTGAGATGGAGTCTTGCTCTGTCGCCCAGGCTGGAGTGCAGTGGTGTGATCAGCTCACTGCAACCTCCGCCTCCCAGGTTTGAGCAAATTCTCCTGCCTCAGCCTCCCGAGTAGCTGGAATTACAGGCACCTGCCACCGTGACACCTGGCTAATTTTTGTATTTTTATTAGAGACAGGGTTTCACCATGTTGGCCGGTCTGGTCTTGAACTCTTGACCTCAGGTGATCCACCCACATCGGCCTCGCAAAGTGTTGGGATTACAGGTTTGAGCCACCGTGCTTTTGGCAACTTATTTATAGCTTTAAGATCGGGGCCTTGGGAGTCAGCTGTTTTTGTCTGTTACTGCTATAGGCCTTAGGAAACCTGGGCTTGCACTGACCTGGCCTGAGGTGTAGCAGCAGGCTGGGATGTTGTTATCTGTCAGCCCTTATCCTACTTTATTTATTTATTTTGAGACGGAGTCTTGCAGGCTGGAGTGCAGTGGTGCAGTCTCGGCTCATTACAACCTCCACCCTCTGGGTTCAAGTGATTCTCCTGCCTGAGCCTCCCGAGTAGCTGGGATTACAGGCACGTGCCACCACGCCCGGCTAATTTTTGTATTTTTGGTGGAGAGGAGGTTTTGCCATTTTGACCAGGCTGGTCTCGAGCTCCTGACCTCAGGGGATCCACCCGCCTCGGCCTCCCAAAGTGCTGGGGTTACAGGTGTGAGCCACTGTGCCCGACCTCCTTATATCCTACTTTATTAGCTCCTGATGCCACCTGCCTGCCAGTGTCCTGAACATTTTTGCTTCCCCTTCTTGAGATTTAGGGTTCAGTTGTGTTTTGTTTTGTTTTTGAGATGGAGTCTCGCTCTGTCGCCCAGGCTGGAGTGCAGTGGCACGATCTTGGCTCACTGCAAGCTCCGCCTCTGGGATTCACGCCATTCTCCTGCCTCAGCCTCCCAAGTAGCTGGGACTACATGTGCCTGCCACCACGCCCGGCTAATTTTTTGTTTTTAGTAGAGACGGGGTTTTACCATGTTAGCCAGAATGGCCTCGTGATCCGCCCGCCTCGTCCTCCCAAAGTGCTGGGATTACAGGCGTGAGCCACTACGCCCTGCCTTAGGGTTCAGTTCTGTCACTTACTAGTTGTGCATAGTTGTGCAGTCAGAGGCAAATCACTTAACTTCCGGGTATGCAGCAAGGCTGCTGGACGCTCCACAGGTTGTAGCGAAGATAAGAGGTGGTAAAGGGAGGACGTAATACCTGTTTTTTGCCAAGAAATGCCTAAGGCAGCCTTAGCTCTTATTTTGAATATGGATAGTGTCATTTGTCAACTGGATCCAGATAGATCCAGTTCAAATTCTGGCTCCACTTCATACTAGCTGTGGAACCATGGTCAAATTATATAACCTATCTGAATTGATTCCTCTTCATTTGTAAAATCAAGATATATCTATAAAATCCTGTTGATTTGGGGTTTTTTTTTTTTTTTTTTTGAGACGAAGTCTCGCTCTGTTGCCCAGGCTGGAGTGCAGTGGCGCAGTCTTGGCTCACTGCAACCTTTGCCTCTCGGGTTCAAGCAATTCTCCTGCCTCAGCCTCCCAAGTAGGTGGGATTACAGGCGCCAGCCACCACACCCCGCTAATTTTTTGTATTTTTAGTAGAGACAGGGCTTCACCATGTTGGCCAGGCTGGTGATTGTTCTTTAATTCGTGTGTTGGGTACTATTTTAGACATTGGACAAATGCAGTGAATGAAGTTTCTGCTCTCATAAGGCTTACTTTCTACTGGGGAAAGATGGACAATAAACAGTAAGTGTTTTATATACCACTCAGTAAAGAAAAGTAAAACAGATTAAGGGTTTTAGAAAGTGACTGTGGTGGAATTGCCATCTTACAAAAAATGGTCAGAGGCAGGCAAGGTGGTGCGCGGCTGTATTCCCATCTACTTGGGAGGCTGAGGCAGGAGGATCGCTTGAGGGCAGGAGTTTGAGACCAGCCTGAGCAACATAGAGAGACGCTCGTCTCTTTATTTATTTTTGAGCTGGAGTCTCACCCTGTCTCCCAGGCTGGAGTGCAGTGGCATGATCTCAGCTCACTGCTGAGATCCTCCCAGGTTCAAGCAATCCTCCTGCCTCAGCCTCCCAAGCAGCTGGAATTACAAGCATGTGCCACCATGCCTGGCTTTTATTTTTTTTTTTGAGATGGAGTTTCTCTCTTGCTGCCCAGGCTACTGGAGTGCAGTGGCGTGATCGCGGTTCACCACAGCCTCCACCTCCCGGGTTCAAGCGATTCTCCCACCTCAGCCTCCCGAGTAGCTGGAATTACAGGCATGTGCCATCACGCCTGGCTAATTTTGTATTTTCCGTAGAGACGGGGTTTCTCCATGTTGGTCAGGCTGGTCTCAAACTCCTGACCTCAGGTGATCTGCCTGCCTCGGGCTCCCAAAGTGCTGGGATTACAGACGTGAGCCACCGTGCGTGGCCACCTGATAATTTTTGTATTTGTAGAGATGGGATTTTGCCATTTTGGCCAGGCTGGTCTCGAACTCCTGAGCTCAAGCAATCCACTTGCCTTGGCCTTCCAAAGTGCTGAGATTACAGATGTGAGCCACTGCACCCAGCCCCTCATCTTTTTTTTTTTTTTAAAGAAAAAAATAGCTGGGCATAGTGGCATGTGCTTGTAATCCCAGCTGCTCAGGAGGCTGAGGCAGATCGCTTGAGTCCAGGAAATCAAGGCTACAGTGAGCTATGATTGCATCACTGCACTCCAGCCTGGGCAACAGAGCAAGACCCTGGCTCGTTAAAAAAAAAAAAAAAAAAAACTAGCCAGGTGTGGTGGCACATGCCTATAATCCCAGCTGCTCAGGAGGCCGAGGCCGAAGGATCACTTGAGTCCAGGAGTGTGAGGCTGCAGTGAGCTGTGATTGTACCATTGCACTGTAGTTTGAACAACAGAGCAAGAACTTGTTTCTTAAAAAAATAAATAAAAAATAATGTTGGGCATGGTGGCTCACACCTGTAATCCCAGCACTTTGGAAGGCCGAGGTGGGTGGATCACTTGAAGTCAGGAGTTTGACAGCCTGGCCAGCATGGTGAAACCCCATCTCTGTAGAAATACAAAAAAATTAGCCAGGTGTGGTGGCACACGCCTGTAATCCCAGCTACTTGGGAGGCTGAGACAGGAGAATCGCTTGAACCCCTGAGGTGGAGGTTGCAGTGAGCTGAGATCGTGCCATTGCACTCCAGCCTGGGCGACAGCGAGACTTCATCTCAAAAAAAAAAAAAAAAAGATCAGAGAAGGTCTCTTAAAGATAGGTAGAGAGATTTAAAAGAAGTGCAGCAACAAGCTGCTTAGAAGCTCGTTGAAGGCCGAGTGCGGTGGCTCACCCATGTAATCTCAGCACTTTGGGAGGCTGAAGCAGGCGGATCACCTAAGGTCAGGAGTTCAAGACCAGCCTGGGCAACATGGTGAAGCTCTGTCTCTACTAAAAATACAAAAATTAGCCGGGTGTGGTGGCAGGCGCCTGTAATCCCAGCTACTCAGAAGGTTGAGGCAGGTTTGAACCCAGGAGGTGGAGGTTGCAGTGAGCTGAGATCGTGCCACTGCACTCCAGCCTGGGCGACAGAGCAAGACTCCATTGCAAAACAAAACCAAAAAGAAAGAAGCTGGTTGAAGTGCGTTCTAGGCAGAGGGAACAGCAAATGCTAAGGCCCAGAGGCTGGAGCATGATTGTTTTGTCTTGAACAGTGGGGCCAATGTGGTGGCCATGCTTGATAGGGGAGAGTGGTAGGAGATGAGGTCAGAGGTAGTGGACAGCCAGATTTAGTAGAGACCCGTAGGCCAAGATGGATATCACCTCAAAATAGCACCAGGAGAGGGTGCTGAGCAGGGGCTAGCATGGGTGGGTTTTTTTTTTCTTTTTTGAGATGGAGTCTTGTCTGTCGCCCAGGCTGGAGTGCAGTGGCCCGATCTCAGCTCACTGCAGCCTCCGCCTCCCGGGTTCAAGCGATTCTCCTGCCTCAGCCTCCTGAGTAGCTGGGACTACAGGTGCACGCCACTGTGCCCAGCTGATTTTTATGTTTTTAGTAGAAATAGGGTTTCACCATGTTGGCCAGGCTGGTCTGGAACTCCTGATCTCAGGTGATCCGCCCACTTCGGCCTCCCAAAATGCTGGGATTACAGGCATGAACCACTGCGCCTGGCCACATGGTTTTTTTTTTTGTTTTTTTTTAATGGAGTCTCACTCTGTCACCCAGGCTGGAGTGCAGTGACACAATCTCAGCTCACCGCAACCTCCCCCTCCCGAGTTCAAGCGATTCTCCTGCCTCAGTCTCCCGAGCAGCTGGGATTACAGGCATGCGCCATCACACCTGGCTAATTTTTGCACTTTTGGTGGAGACAGGGTTTCACCATGTTGGCTATGCTGGTCTTAAACTCCTGACCTCAGGTGATCCGCCAGCCTCGGCACTCCCAGAGTTCTGGGATTACAGGCGTGAGCCACTGTGCCGAGTCGGGACCCATCTTCTAAGGTTAGACTCTAAAGCAGTGTTGTCCAACAGAAGGTACAATGTGAGCCACATGGATAATTTTTTTTTTTTTTGAGACGGAGTCTCACTCTCTCCCCCCTGCTAGAGTACAATGGTGCAATCTCAGCTCACTGCAACCTCCGCCTCCCGGGTTCTAGCGATTCTCCTGCCTCAGCCTCCTGAGTAGCTGGAATTACAGGTGCCCGCCACCACGTCCGGCTAATTTTTGTATTTTTAGAAGGGACAGGGTTTCACCATATTGCTCAGGCTGGTCTGGAACTCCTGACCTCAGGTGATGCACCCACCTCGGCCTCCCAAAGACACATGGGTAATTTTATATTTTCTTTTTCTTTTCTTTCTTTCTTTCTCTCCTTCCTTCCTTCCTTCCTTCTTGCTTGCTTCTTTCCTTTTTTTTTTCTTTTCTTTCGAGGTGGGGCCCCACTCTGTCATGCACCTGGAGTGCAATGGCACAATCATAGCTCACTGCTGCCTCAAACTCTTGGACTTAAGCAATCCTCCCACTTCAGCAGCCTCCCAAGTAGCTGGGACTACAGGTGTGTGCCACCATGCCCAGCTAATTTTTTATTTTTTGTAGAGTTGAGGTCTTACTTTCTTGTCCAGGCTGGTCTTGAACTCCTGGTTTCAAGCAATTCTCCTCTTTCAGCCTCCCAAAGTGTTGGGATTACAGGCATGAGCCACTGCCTCAGCCTTAATTTTATATTTTCTAGAAGCAACATTTTAAAAGTACAAAGAAACAGATGAAATTAATTTTAATTTTTTTCTTTTTTTTTCTTTTCTTTCTTTCTTTTTTTCCTTTTTTTTTTTTTTTAGACAGAGTCTTGCTCTGTTGCCCAGGCTGGAGTGCAGTGGTGCAATCTCAGCTCACTGCAACCTCTGCCTCCTGGGTTCAAGCGATTCTCCTGCCTCAGCCTCCTGAGTAGCTGGGATTACAGGCATGCGCCACCACGCCTGGCTAATTTTTGTATTTTTAGTAGAGATAGGGTTTCACCATGTTGGCCAGGCTGGTCTGGAACTCCTGACCTCGTGATCCGCCCGCCTGGGCCTCTCAAAGTGCTGGGATTACAGGCGTGAGCCACCGCGGCTGGCCAGTTTTAATATTTTTAATTTAACTCAGTATGTCCAAAATAGTATAATTGTAACATGATTATTATTTTAAAATACGTGAATTGTTTAAAAATATGTGAAGCATCCCTGTAAAATCAAACCTGGGGTGATAGGACTTGGGGTGTGTCCCTCTCTGGGATTAGTCAGGGGAAGTAGAATAATTACAGGAGCATTGGAGGTGGCCAGTCCTAGTCATACCAGGCCAGGACACTGTCACTGCTATGCTACTGATGGAAACAAGGCAGAGACGAAACAGAATTAAATCAACATGGAGGTTGTTTGGAGAAGTCCATGGATTGTACATCTGAACTTGAAATGGCCAGTGGCCAGGCACAGTGGCTCACACATAATCCCAGTACTTTGGGAGAGTGAGGTGGGAGGATCACTTGAGCCCACAGTTCAAGAGCAGCCTGGAGAACATAGCAAGACCCCGTCTCCACCAAAAAAAAAAAAAAAAGGGAAAAAGAAATGGCTAATGATGCGGGAGACATTTTTATCTGATAGTTTTAGACCAGATTTTGCTGTTGTAGATTGCTTCTACCTGTGAATTCTTTGACTGTATTCCCAAGTGAAATTGGGAATTCTGATTCCCAAGGAATCAGAATCCCATCCATATTTGTGGTATGGGAAACAAGACCCCTTGCAGGGGAGACTGGTCCACCAGGAGACCCTGTAGCCCAGGGACCTGGGCGCCAGTGTCCCTCCCAAGGCCTGAAGACATAAGGCTAGCATGGGCCGTGGCTGGCTGTGTGGGAGTTCAGGGCCGGAACAGGTTGGAAGGTAGTCTCGCCTGCTATCCCTTATTTCTTCTCTTTGCTTTTTTCTTTGCCCTTTGCTTTTTGTGTTACTCAGGGCCTGTGGGACCCTGATTCTGGGAGAAATCTGTTGTGCTCTCCAGGTTCCTGTCTCTTCTTCAGATCTCCCCGGGTCCACTTGTAGACTTGTGCACCCTGATTCAGGATGAGACCAGAGGACCCTGTGGGGCAGCGATTCATAGGGAGCTCAAGGCCAGTTGTTATTCTTTGAATTTGAGAGAAACATTGGAAATGTCATCTTCTGAAATGAAAACTAACAGAGAAAGGCAAATCATTTGGGAAAAGTTACTTAAATGGTAACCTTGTTGCCAATAAAAGAGTATTTTCTAATTCAAAGTCCAAAGCAAGGGTCCCTCTTAGATCTCTGTTCAATATAAGATTGCTCTATTTCTTGGGAGTCGTGTTGGTGACACTGGAGACCAGAGGATTCCGGTTCTCAGAGAGAGGGATGCTGTGATGGAGTAGGACAGTACAGTCTTTTGGCTTGTATACTGAGGCACAGAGTGCGGAGGCCTGCTGTCCTTGGGGAGTGGGTAGCAGCAGATCAGGCACCAGAAAGGGTGAGACACCCCCTCTGACCCTTGTAGTGTAACAGGTGTGAGTTTGTTCACTTTGTCTCTTGTGAGCTTGGCTAGTTCGAATCAGTCCCCCAGGGCATCATCACCCCAGGCTGTTGTGTAAACATTCGTACCTGAGAAGGTACAACTGTAATGGTGCTTATACTTGCTGTGCTTTACACTAAGACCCAGAATAGCCTATTTCTTCCTCTCCTCTGCCTTTCTCACCTTTCTTTTTTCCTTGTCATCGACCTCTTAACGTTACAGGAGTAAACCTACCACTGTAATCTGCTTCACCTTACAGACACATCCCTATCTTTTGTCACCTTTGTTCCTTTTGTAGCTTGTGACAGTAACAAACTGGGTTGTTTGAGGTGACCCCTTCCCTGCTCTCCTCCTTGGGAATGATCTTATCCGCATTGTACTCCTAGGTCCCATACCCTAACTTTTCAGCCAGAGGCACATTTATAGCAAGGTTAAGGGCATCAGCAGCCAGTGAAGCTGAGCTTCCTCCTCTGGTGAGTTAAAATTGCAAATGTTGACATCTGATCCCATTCACCTTGTGGTTGTGGCTCTCCTTTACCTCCCATAAAGGACCAGCCCTGTCGAGAACCACCTTCCTCCCCACTGTGCTTCTTCATGATTTCCTGCCTCCGCTCTTTCCTTCTGGCTTTGCTTGTTCTCTGAGACCGAGAAGCTTGTGTCCCATTTCTGTAGATGTGTAGCCTCATAGGACAAGTGATGTCAAGGTTTGGCAACAGTAGATCTTTTGCTTAGGATTTGGACCCGGAACACAGAATGTCACCTTCTGTGGGCTGCTTGGTGCTACTTGGCTGAAGAGCCTTTCCAGGAGCAGGAGCCATAGGAGATCACTTTCCTGGCCACCGCCCTGTGTGGTATGCTTGTGCCCTAGCACTTGCCTTGTGCCCACTCACAGCAGTCACAGCGATGGTTTTCTTTGACTAGCGATGGAGGTCAGGCCTCTAACACAGGAGCCTAGACCTTGGGCAGGACTCTGCATCCTTGTCTAAAGAGAGGGTTCCCTTAGGTAGTACGATTCCTTATTTCAGGCCTGCATCTAGATGCTTCCCCACACAAGTTCTGAGGCCTGTTTAATTCCATTGGGCTATTGCATCTCTGGGGGAGATGCACATTTTCCTTGTAATACACCCTGTAGGAAAGTTTTGACTTGGTCCAGCTTTTCAGAGCATGAGTCTGAGAGCAGATTGATTGCAAGGCCTTGTCTGAGAAGAGAATAGACTGACTCATGATACCTGGACAGACTCCAGAGGGAGATGCGATGCCCTCTCCAGCTGCTGGCAGAGCATTCCTTCTCCTGCTTGGGCGCCTCTGAGCATGCTGGCGTCCAGCTGGCCATCTAAAGATGACCAGGATCCACTTTCCACCAAAGCTGCTTGGGTTTCCATCCCATTCTGTAATCTTATGGAAGAATCCCTCTCCAGCTCTGATAAAGCTCTTCTGCCTTTCACAGTGGAGTTGGATGAGAGTTGTAGTTCTTGGCATGCCAGGGAGCAGTGTGGAATTGGGGGAGATGACCAATATCTAATGGTTTATACTGGCATTTCCAGGGGATTTGAGCAATTGTCGGGGGAGGGTGGTATGTCAGCATAGGGGCCTCAAAAGGCGAATTCTAGGGCTGTCTCTGTGGTTTACTACCTTGTGACCTTGGGTAAGTTCCCTAACCCTCATCTGACAGAAGGATAAAAGCTACTTTGTCTGCCAAACAGGGCTGGTGTGAGCAGAAAATGAATGTCTGGGGAAGAATGTTGACAGCCATAATACATTATATCGATATAAGGTATTATTTTAAAAGCTATTAGTATTATATTACATGCCAAGTATGTTAATCATGTTCTAGTTTGGGGACAGAGGCGCATTTACTCAGACATGGCCTACGATGTCCTCTTGAAGCGCTTTTCTTCCACCCAGGCTCCTTGTGCTGGAACTGGGCAGATGGTCCATCTTCCTTAAACCCTAGAGGAAGAAGGAAGCAGTTTGCTTTCCTCAGAGGAGACCTGGATGGGACTTCTCAAATTCACTCTAATGTGTGAGGCCCATTTCTCTCTCTGTCTTATTTGGCTCTCGCAGCGATATGAAAGTGAAAGTTCACATAGTGAAGTTGGAAAATTCAGTGCATTGCCATAAAAATACTGATTTGGTTTCTTCTGCGCTAGATCTGGCCCTGTCTGCCAAAGCTTGTTGGCCGTCATTAGGCAGGGCAAGTGCTCTTTGGTGCCCTGCAGCCCCTTCACTTCCCCAGGTATGCTCCGTGCGAGTGGAGTTTGGCTGCTTGCCTGGTCTATGAAGGCATTTGGTCTCAACCCTCAAAGGCTTCTAAATTCTACAGCTGTCAAGGCTCTGTTTATGATGGAGAAACTCGAATAGGCAGTCTTGTATTTAGAGTGGAGCGAAATGATACAGTATGAAACTTTAAAACAAGAAGTTACTTGTGAGAAGCCCTTAAAAGGTAATAGGCAATAGACTAATATGAGCTGTAGTACTTACTCAGGTAATAACACTGGTATTAATAGAATTAATACAATTCCATCAATACAGTCATTTTCAGGACAGAGTACGTAGTGGACATAGATTCTGTGTGAGTGTCTGTGTTTGTCAGTTCACAGAAAACATCCAGGTCGTTCTCTTATTATTGGTGTACCTTTTCCATTCAGTCATTCAGCATTCTTTGGCACCAACTGTGTTCCAAGCTGGAGCGAGAGGTTTCCATTTTAGTGCCTTTCTGGCCCCTCCAGAGATTTGATGGTGCCTCAGAATACAATAAATTACATATATATATATATTTTGAGACAGAGTCATGCTCTATTGCCCAGGCAGGAGTGCAGTGGCATAATCTCGGCTCACTGCAACCTCCGTCTCCCAGGTTCAAGAGATTCTCCTGCCTCAGCCTCCTGAGTAGCTGGGATACCACGCCCAGCTAATTTTTGTATTTTTAGTAGAGACGGGGTTTCACCTTGTTGACCAGGCTGGTCTTGAACTCCTGACCTCAAGTGATTCACCCACCTCGGCCTCCCAAAGTCAAAGTGCTAGGATTGTAGGCGTGAGCTACCATGCCCAGCCAAATATATAAATATATTTTAAACACAAGTTAGTACCAATCAGGATAGGTGTCAGTGTTAGACTAGATTTAAATCTAGTTTCATATGGTTAATCTAGTTCATACTGTTTACAAGAGATGCAAATAAGGACATGGAAAGGTGAGAAAAACTATGTTCTAGGAAATACTGACCAAAAGAAAGCTGGCCAACTTTATTAATATGAAACAATACATTATAAGGCAAAAAAGATCACATCATAATGATACACTGTTTAACTTACTAGAAAGAATAAGTCTTTTTTTTTTTTTTTTTTTTTTTTTGAGACAGAGTCTTGCCCTGTCGCCCAGGCTGGAGTGCAGTGGTGTGATCTCCACTCACTGCAGCCTCCCTAGTAGCTGGGATTACATGTGCGCACCACCACGCCTGGATAATTGTTGAATTTTTAAATAGAAACAGGTTTTCACCCTGTTGCCAAACTGGTCACAAACTCCTGACCCCAAGTGATCCGCCTGCCTCAGCCTCCCAAAATGTTGGGATTACAGGCATAAGCCACTGTCACTGTGCCTGGCCAATAATTCTTAATTCTTTACCTGGTCAGTAGATCAAATGAGTCAGTAAGAATTTACAAGATTAGAACAATATAGCTAACCAGCTTGAACTTTGAACTGCACCCATCAACTGGAGAATAGTTATTTCCTTTTTTTTTTTTTTTTTTTTTGAGACAGAGTCTCGCTCTGTCGCCCAGGCTGGAGTGCAGTGGCACGATCTCAGCTCACTGCAAGCTCCACCTCCCAGGTTCACGCCATCCTCCTGCCTCAGCCTCCCGAGTAGCTGGGACTACAGGCACCCACCACCACGCCCGGCTAATTTTTTGTATTTTTTTGAGGGGGGGTGGGGGGGGGGCAGAGTCTTGCTCTGTCGCCCAGGCTGGAGTGCAGTGGCGCCATCTCGGCTCACTGCAAGCTTCGCCTCCCGGGTTCACGCCATTCTCCTGCCTCAGCCTTCTGAGTAGCTGGGACTACAGGCGTCCTGCCTCAGCCTTCTGAGTAGCTGGGACTACAGGCGCCCGCCACAACGCCTGGCTAATTTTTTTTTTTTTTTGTATGTTTAGTAGAGATGGGGTTTCCACTGTGTTAGCCAGGATGGTCTCGATCTCCTGACCTCGTGATCCGCCCACCTCGGCCTCCCAAAGTGCTGGCATTGCAGGCGTGAGCCACCGTGCCTGGCCAATTTTTTGTATTTTTATTAGAGACGGGGTTTCACCGCGTTAGCCAGGATGGTCTCAATCTCCTGCCCTCGTGATCCGCCCGCCTCGGCCTCCCAAAGTGCTGGGATTATAGGCGTGAGCCACCGCGCTGGGCTGAGAATAGTTATTTTCAGAACATACAGAGCACTTACGAAAATGGCCTACATGCTGAGCCATGGGGCAGATCTCACCAAATTTCAAAGTCTCCACACTACGGCTGTGGTTCTTCACATTTTGCAAGTGATGGACTCCTTTGAAAATCCCAGTCTAATAAATTAAGGTTGCCCAGACTTAGCACTGTTGACTTTTGGGGTTAAATAGTTCTTTGTGTGGGGCTGTCCTGTACACTGTAGGACATTTAGCATTTCCCCAATAGTGGCAACCAAAAATGGCTTGACATTGTCCAGTGTCCCCTGAGGGACAGAATCTTATCTGGTTGAGAACCACCATTAGAGATCTTGTCTCTAGAAAAACACAGAATTTTGCATACAGTTTCTTCCATCTCCATTAGAGCTAGTTGATCTTGTCCTCACTGAGGATGGCTGAGGGAGTGGGACTTTTTCTAAGAAAGGCCGTAGGGCAGCCAAGCAGCCTGGGGGTTTGGTCTTTGTTCTGTGCACGGCCTCTCCCCACACCCCTGTCCTGGATATAGATGCTCACACGCGTGTGTGGAGGTGTCATAGGCATGCTGGTGCTGATGGGCTGAGGGCTCAGACTGCCATGAGCCCAATGTCCTGCTCAGGGCTTGAAGAGATGAGGCCAGGGCGTGTTGGAAGGCAGTCCTGCCTGCTCCTCCTTCTCAGCCTCTTTCTTCTCTCTGCTTTTCTCTAAAATGGTGGTGTTGTTTTAATCAAGACCTGTCAGGCTCTGGTTCTGAGAGAAATACTTGCTGCACTCTCAGGTGTCTTGTCTCTTCCTCAGGTTCCCCATGTTCACTTGTAGACCATGGACCTCCAAAGCCACAAACATAAGGCATAGGTTTTACTCTAAGCCTTTCGGTAGGTGCCAGTCACAGAGAGTTCAAGTCCGTAACAGTAAAAAATACATTATTAAAATATTAGATATGACCATAAAGGAATGTAAAAGGGAGAGTTTATTCTGAGGACCAGGTGATGCACCATGCTGGTGGGATCAGAGGAGACTTTATAAAGGAGAGGTAGACATCCAGGCTGGGTTGTGCAGGATCAATGGGAGTTTGCAAGGGGAGGGGACATTGCAGGCAGGTGGAACAGCATGCTGAGTTCTGGGGGCTAGTGATAGCAAAACAGAGACAGAAGGTAAAAGAAGGTATGGGTGAGGCATGCTCAGAAGCTTTGACTAGGTCTGCAAGCAGTTGAAGGGTTTAAAGTAGGGAAGTGACATGATCAGATTTATGTTTAATTTTTTTTCCAACTCTTTATTTCATAAAATAGAGTAAGTGTTCCTAAGTTTAGGTTTAGAAGTTGATATGAGTGGCTCTGTGAAAGACAGATTACAGGTCAGAAAACTGGTTGGAGGCTATGCAAAGAACCCAGCTGAACAATGAGGTTTAGAACTGTCATGGCGGCCATGGGGCTAGAAGGGAGATGGACCTGCAGAGGGTATCAGGTCCCCAAACCCCAAAATCTAGTCCACATTTGTTATGTTGAAGGACACAGTCATGTCCCTGGCTAGAGAAAGGACACTGCCCTTAGCTCCAAAAATAAAGACTAAGTTTTTATTTGAGAGAGATTTTTTCCTCTTTTTATATACATTTTTTTCCTCTAGGAAATAGACAGACGGTTGGAAAAAAAACTGAAGATCACACAAAAAGAGAGGTAAGGCTGCTGTCTGGTCTGAGGGCTCATGCTCTCTGTGGTTTGAGAGCCGGGCAGTCAGTGGTGTTCTCCAGCTGGCCATTAGGATTAGCAGGTCCTAGCAGGTCAGGCTCTGGGGCAGCAAACCCTTCCCTCCAAATTGGAGACCAGGACGTGGTGGCTTGAGGCTTTAGGGTTGAGGCTGGGGTGTTGCACCTGCCTCTGACCTTCGTGGGCTCCCTGTGTGAGGTCATCTGATGCAATGTGAGGAAGTGACAAGTTGGAAGACTTGAGTTTTAGGCCTGGCAGTGCCCCAGTTGCTCTGAGGTCTGGGGCAAGTCATTTCCCAGATCTGGACATCAGTTTCTTTCTCTGTGGCATGAGGAGTGTGGGCAGATGATTTCTCTGGGTCCCCAGTGACTTGGTGGTCTAGGGTATTATGAGGGTATCCTGGAAGAAAACATTCTAGGAAATTCTTGAAAAAACCTTTAAAAATAGCTTTGTTTTCCACCTAGACGACAGAGGAGGGTGTTTCCAGAGTAGGTGAAAGTTGACTTCGGCTTTCTGCTTTTGGGCTTAGGGAACCTGTTGGTTTTCCATAGGTACAAGGGACAGGAAGGAGGATAGGGCCCCTCTGGATTTGCTCACGGGGCTGCACAGTCATTCCCCAGGAAACTCTGGGTGCTCTGCCCGCCCGCTAGTTTTCCTGGCTCCCTGCCTCTTTGATCAGATTGCTGGCTCCTTGTCTGTCTGCTCATCTCAGCAACCACGCTAACCCTGGGTTACAGTCCTCGTTCCATACCATTTGTGTCCTACCCGAGACTTGTTTCCATCCACCCTGGCTCAGTTCCTCCAATCCCGACTCCTCCTGACAGCCAAGGCTCTGGAAGCAGGCTTGTTTGGTTCTGAAGAGAAGCTGGTTGACTGCTCTGGGTAGGGTCCTGGTGGCTGTTGTCGGGTGGTCATTCCTGCCTGGGTTCCTGTCTCCTCCTGTGGCTTTTGTTTCTTTCCCTTCCTGTGTTGTTGTCCCTCTTTGTTTTTTGTCATTCCACCTCTCCCTGTGGACACATCGCCTTGATGTACGCGTCCACCAGCCTTGGACAATGCTTTTCTTTTGAGCATTGCCAAGCACTGTTTCTAGGAGCATCCTTCACTCCAGCCCCGCCGCTGTCCAAAAGACCAGGGAGCCCTGGCAAGGGAGGTTTCTCTGTTCAGAAGCTTTTTGAAGAGGATTCAGTTGTCTGGTGTAGCTTGTCTCTGGGAGGCACAGGTCACTCTCACTAGAAGGTGGCTTGGTAAATCTTGATGCCAGGCAGGGATGGCGTAGTGGGCTCCTTTGTAGTGTTTGTCTGGTTTGAGCATGTGATGGAAGATTTGGCTGAGTGAACACTGCTGACCCCCAAGTTCAAAGGCTCCCACCCCACCAGCCAGTCCTACTCTGATCTGCGTAGAGAAGCTGGGATCTTAACTGACGTCATTCAATTCTGGACATAAACTGTTTTGCTGCAGGGCCAAATAGTGGTTGATGTGGCTGTGGTGAACATGGGGATAGAAGTGCCAGAATGAGGTGGCGTTCCAGCCCCTGTGGCCAGGGGTTAGGGCTGAGGAGCAGTTCCTGTGGCCTGTCAGAGCTGGTCGCAAGCTTACTTTTTTGGGACACCCTTCTTGAGGAGTGGAAATTTTGCTGTCTGGTCAGAGGCCAGAGAATCATGCATGGGTAGAATTAGGGAGGGAGAGGAAAGTGATGAGAGGTGGGTGTGGGACATGGACAGGGCCTCCTTAGTCAGGAGCATGATTTGTGAAGCTGTGTTTGCTCTTTGTCAGCAGGAAATCCAAATCTCCTCCCAAAGTGCCCATTGTGATTCAGGACGATAGCCTTCCCGCGGGGCCCCCTCCACAGATCCGCATCCTCAAGAGGCCCACCAGCAACGGTGTGGTCAGCAGCCCCAACTCCACCAGCAGGCCCACCCTTCCAGTCAAGTCCCTAGCACAGCGAGAGGCCGAGTACGCCGAGGCCCGGAAGCGGATCCTGGGCAGCGCCAGCCCCGAGGAGGAGCAGGAGAAACCCATCCTCGACAGGTGAGTGTGGCTGGCAGGGCCGGCCAGTGATGGCTGTCCCAGTCCACCCGGGAAGAGGAGAGCATCCTGGCTGCGTGTAGAGTAGTGAGAAGCAAGCAGAGTCAGGGTAGGAACCATGCAGCTCCACTTGCTGATCCCAGCCTGCTGGCACTAGTTCACTGTGCCGCATTGGCTGGAGAGGGCTCTGAAAGCCTTGCCAGGGAGGAGGTGGCAGTTTGCTGGCATGCTCCCTCTGCGGTTGGTAGTCACCGGGGGCACTGTTGTGTAGAGAGTGAAGGCACAGATGAGCTTGTGTCAAAATCTGCCTCTTACCTCTTCTTTAGAACGACTTGACCTCTCTGGGCCTTAGTTTTCTCATCTGAAAAAATGGGATAATAATAGTACCAACCTTATCAAGGTGTTGTGCAATTCAGTGAGTAAAGGAGCATAGGATGTGGAGAGCCTGGGCTGGCAGAGTGGAAAGTACCCCAGATAAGTGCTTTGATGATATTTTCTGGGTCTCCAGTATGCCCACTGTGATGTTTTTGTGAATTTTCTAAATTCCTTTTTACTCTTAACATTTTTTTCTCTGCAGTATTAAAGGTTGCATCATATAAGTTTATCACTTTCGAATCAAACAGTATTCATTAAGATGGCCTCCTTCTAACTTTGAGGGGCTGCTATGGTTTGGTATTCTGGGACTTGAAGAAAAAATCTGCGTACCTTCTTTCTAGCTCTTCATAATTTTGAAGAGATACCTGTTCTTTTTGTTGTTTCTCCTCTAAGTCTTCACCTTTCCAGGGTGGAAAAATAGTCATATGAGTCAACCGTTAACCGCAGAGTTTGGAGAGGAGTGGGAGGGAAGAATTGGGGGGCGGGGGATGTGTCCCTCTGCTGAGCTCTTGATTCCAGTTCTTTACTTTGGCCTAACACTCTGGAGATTCCAAATGGTTCTGCGGAGCATGTGCTATCCATGGTCACTGCCTCTGGGCAGAGTGGGCCCTCAAGCACTCCCCCTGCCTACAAGTGCATGATGGCAGCTGAGCAGGGGGAAAGGATGCTGTAGCTGCTAGAGGTGAATGTGCACCACCGACCCTGCCTGCTCACAGGGGCCTCTCAACTTGGAGGTGCCCTGAGTCAGCTTCCCAAAGAAGCAGGCTTGCGGAGCCAGAGTGACGTGGGCCCAGCTATATGGACAGTTGATTTTAAGATGGGGGACATCTAGGCCAGGTGCAGTAATCCCAGTACTTTGAGAGGCCGAGGTGGACGGATCACTTGAGGTCAGGAGTTCAAGACCAGCCTGGCCGACATGGTGAAACCCCATCTCTACTAAAATTACAAAAATTAGCTGGGTGTGGTAGCATATGCCTGTAGTCCCAGCTACTCGGTAGGCTGAGGTAGGAGGATCACTTGAACTCAGGAGGTGGGGGTTGCAGTGAGCGGAGATCGTGCCACTGCACTCCAATCTAGGTGACAGAATGAGACTCCGTCTCAAAAATAAATAAAAAATAAAGAAATGATGGGGGACATCTATTATATCCTTCTTCAGGCCTTCCTCTGCTTTTCTTCCTTTCAGGCCAACCAGGATCTCCCAACCCGAAGACAGCAGGCAGCCCAATAATGTGATCAGACAGCCTTTGGGTCCTGATGGGTCTCAAGGCTTCAAACAGCGCAGATAAATGCAGGCAAGAAAAGATGCCGCCGTTGCTGCCGTCACCGCCTCCTGGGTCGTCCGCCACGGGTTGCACTGCCGTGGCAGACAGCTGGACTTGAGCAGAGGGAACGACCTGACTTACTTGCACTGTGATCCCCCTTGCTCCGCCCACTGTGACCTTGAACCCCATGCACTGTGACCTCCCCCCTTCTCCCCCTTCCCACTGTGATTGGCACATCGACAAGGGCTGTCCCAAGTCAATGGAAAGGGAAAGGGTGGGGGTTAGGGGAAGGTTGGGGGGACCCAGCAAGGACTCAGAGAGTCAGACAGTGCCACTTGGCCACTTGGGGTAAAGCCAGTGCCAGCAATAACAGTTTATCATGCTCATTAATTTGGGATTTCAAAACACAAATGAAAACTCACACCCACCCACCCCCAAGTGCATGTCTCCATCACTTAAAAAGTAAGTTCCATTTGAAAATATCCTTTCTTTTTTTTTTCTTCCTATTTTTGTTTGTTTATACAAATATCTGATTTGCAAGAAAAAGTGCATGGGAGGGGTTTTAGTGGTTTAATGAATTTTTAATTAAGAAAGGGTAGTTTGGTAGTCTACTTAAAAATGTTTCTGGGAAATTCACTAGAAACATTAACCAATAGGATTTTGGTGAGCTTAGCTTCTGTATTCCTACTGCCGCCCAGAAAAGGGGCAGGGCTCTGCAGCCGCCAGGACAGACGAGCACCCCATGCCTATACCTCCCTCCCCGAGCTAAGTCCCAGGGCATCTGGGCCTTGCCTGGAGACTGGGCTAGCTCTGTAGGCTCGGAGAGCCTGGGGAGGGTGCCAACCCCACCTCTAGTATTTTGGGAGATAGGGAAAGTGAACCGACTTCCCCTTCCCATACCCCTCAGGGTGGTTCCCTACCAGCCAGGCTTACTACTTCTAGAAGAAAGCAGAGTGCCAGGGAGTGAGATTGCATCCCTGGGCTTAGAAGTGACGGAGAGAAGACTTGTTTAGTATTTTGCCATCAGCACAAGGAAAACCAGGAGAGAGTCTGCCTCCAGGACTCTGAGCCTTCTGCCTCGTATGTTCAGAAGGTGGATAGGTCTTCCCACTCCAGCATGGCTTGAACTCTTAGGGGTCTGCAGTGCTCCATCTCCATTGGTGGCCCCAGCTCAGTAACTATACCTGGTACATTTCCTGTGTGCAATCAGTACCTTGAAGGCAGAACATTCTGAATAAAGTTGGAAAAAGAACAGCTTTGCTTTGCAAAGATTGATGACAGACTGGTTCCTCAGAGGCCTAGGCTACCCGTCACCCCTTTTTCCAGAGCGAGGGCCTGGAATGAAGGCAGTTTATCCTCTGTCCCTGGAGCCTGGGGTTTGCTTTGGCTCCTTGAGGTGGAAGAGACTAAGAGGGCAGCTGCCCAGAGCAGCTGTGTGTACCTGGCTCCTCTCAGGCTTCCTGATCCCTTCCATTGCACTGCGCCTTATCCCTCAGCCAGCCAGACAGCCTCCCTGCTCCTGACCAGCAGATACGTTTCGGAGTGGTTGGTGTGGTTTTTGTGATGAGGGCAGCACGTGGTGGCCAAGGTGGCAAGCTGAGTCTCACAGGCTCACTCCCTCGTTGGTTCCCTGTGGGAATGGTAGGCCAGGCCCAGTAAGCCATGCCCCAACACGTCCTCTCCTCCGGAGGAAGGGCCAGCTGCCAGCTGAGTCAGCAGCTAGTCCATAGCACAGCCTTATAACTGTAAAGCCAGGCATTGCCCATGAGCAGAGCTGGAACCAGAGCTTCAGTCAGTAAGAGGGAGGATTACCTTCAGGAGAAGGCAAGGAAGAAAACTGGCTGCTATCTTTATAGTTCCACTGCCCTAACCAAGTGTCCACATTCTAAATGTGTAGTGTCCATCCCTTATGTAATAGTGGTTTCCCGCCCAAAGTGAGACTTTCCTTTTAATTGGAGAAGGGTATAGAGGTAGTCCAGGTGGGAACGCCAGAAGTGCTGATTGCCCAGCCATTGGGACCACCTGTTCTTGCCCCACTACCCTCTAGTGGGAGGCCAAAGTAAAGGCTGGCTGGTGGGTGTCTGTGGATTGAGGATGTGGCAGGGACTGGTCCTCCCACCTCCCTCTGGCCAAAGATGGGCTTTGCCCGCTGTGTGCCTGTCACCACCCACCAGCAGTCATGCCCTGGGCTTCCCAAATGGAGAGGTAGCAGGCAACGTTTTTAAAAAGAAAGAAAACAGGAAACTGTATTGTGTCGGGGGAGGCGGGAGGGAGATGAGGAAACGGTTTGGATTTTGTGTGTGGGAGGGTATTTTTTGGGGGTAGTTGTCTGTAACTTTCCTAAGTGCTTTTTTTCCTTTTCTTTTTTAAAGTAAGTTGCAGGCTTTGGCTTGGAAAACCCCAGGGGGATGGGGGGCAGAAACCTGAGGCTGCTGCCCCTTTATCTGCCTTCACGGTACTGTCCCCTTCCCCCAGCTCCTCCCTGACCCCATGGGCCAGGCCTCAGACCTTCCAGCTAACCGCTTCCCATGAGCCACTACTCTGATGTCAGCCTATAACCAAAGGAGCTGGGGGGTCCAGGCCTGGTGACCAACCTTTCTCAGCCCACTCAATCAGGGTGCTCCCCACCTGCAGGCAGGAGGCAACACCCTATCTGCTACCATCAGCCCCTTCCAGAGCCCATCTGCCCCGCCCAGCCCTGCCCTGCCCAGCCATACCCTGCTCTGCCCCATCTGGGGGTGCCCTGCTCAGGGATGGGCTGGCAGGGCTGTACCCAGCCTCCCTGGTAAGCAGAGACTCAAGAAACCTCTGGGGTCCTGTTTTCTGGTCGTGTGATCCCAGGGGTGCACATGGGCCCCTTGGGTGTCTGAACAGAAGGGCATGGGAGGGAGGGCTGCACCCCTGCAGTCTTACTCTGCTGGTGTAGCGGGCAGCTGCCCACTCCCACCCCACCCTGCACCGCGGGCTCCTGAGTCGGCAGATTAAGCATTTTATAAATTGTATTTTAAATACATGTTTTAAACTTGTCAGATCTTTGTCCTCATTTCAGTCCCTGCCCTCTACCTCTTGCTGTGGCCGCTTATTTAACCCTGGGGGATTTCCCTCTGCCCAGTCCCAGGGAAAGACTGTCTTTGGTAAAACACGAGGCCGGGTGGTATGTGGGTTGAGGGGAAAGGACCCACCCCTCTTGGGGCTCCCAGAGAATGAGAGCCCTGGGTCCTGGGGCTCTGTCGGGGGAGCATGCAGAGGCCACCTCCTGCTCTTCCACAGGGCCTGTCTTAGAGCCAGTGGAGAGAGAGAATGGCTGCTTTTGTGGGGCTCCCAGTCCAGAGGGGGATGTGCTCACCTGAGGAGAGGCCTAGCCCTGTGCTTTGAGAAGGCACAGAAGGTCAAGACTGCACGCAGGGGCACCTGTAGCAGAAATCCCAACCCCGCGCAGGGCTTTGAGGTGGAACCCTGCACTCTGAGAGCCCAGTGGTGGCTGGGTGACAACTTGAGGGCCTTTCTTGGCAAGAGGCACAGAGGCTGAAGTTATTGGTGTTTATTAGCTCACCAGGCCACAAAAGCAAATCCCAGCAGCAGCTCCTGCCTGGTGGCCCATCTGTCTACAGGCCTTGAGCAGCTGCCTAGAGTCAGGCCTCCAGAGGGTCAGTGGGTTCGAGCTGGCACAGAGCTGAGCCACTTTCTGCTGTCAGAGTTGTGTTCCCTGGGGAGAGGAGTAGGGCAGAAGGGTGGGAGACATGTGGCCCTTTCCCTATCTGCCAGTATATGAGCCATCTGTGCGTGCCCAAGTGAGGAGAGAGAGGAGGCCTCCCCTCAGAAATGGTGGAACCAGCAGTTGTGCTTAGGGGCCTGATTCCAAGTCCAGAGCTCCCTTCCCCAGCGGCCTGGAGGGGGACTGCTGCAGGAGACGTTCCCCTCTGCCCAGGTGCACAGTCTGCTAGTCCTAATATGGAACCATAGGGAACTCAGAGTACTCAGTTAGGTGCCACTGAGTCCTGGACACAGGAAAGCAGAAGCACTCTGGCTTCAGTGGAACAATCTGCTGGGTACACAGGCCCTCAACAAAGGTTTGTCTTCTTCGCCTTTTACCCTTTCTCCTCCCTGGAGCAAGCAGCCTCTCAGGTATGATCTCTTAGAAAGATGGATTCCCAGGCATTAGGCCAGGGGCCTCTTAAGGAAGAATCTGGAAGGGCCTGGGCTGGGACCCTTTCTCTGGGCACCCACCTGTTTCCTTGAGATCCTGACTGGAAGAAGGGGCTGCGGATGTCAGGATCCAGGCCAGGGGGTGTGCACTGGTCTAGTGCATAGTGGTTGCTCGGCTGCCTACGGACCATCTTCTTGTCCAGCTGTGGGCAGAGCAGGATGCAGGGCACCTGGGCATAGGGGCTCTGCAGGTTGGGAGCTGGTGAAGAAGGAGGCAGAAGGAGGAATGCTTCACAGCATGCCCAGCCTTGGGAAGCAGGCAGATTCAAGTGAAATCCTGGCGTTGCTACATAATGACCTGAGTGGTTTGGGGCAAGTCACTTAACCTCTCTAAGCTTCTGAGCTGGAGGTGATAGTGGTACCCACCTCACAAAAGTTGATGATGAGGATTAAAGGAGAAATATATGCAAAGCACTCAGCTCAGTGCTGCACACAGAATAAGAGCTGGTAACAGCTTAACAAGGAGCAGAGGACTTTGTGATGGGTGTTGGCAAAGTCTAGTAGGCATGCTCTAGAAAGACTGCAAAGCTCCTATCCTGTTACTTGGCACATAGTAGGAGTCTAATAAATGGTACCTGGGGGAAGGGAGGCAGGCTTGCCCAGTGGAAAGAGCATAGATTTTGGGGTCAGACCTGGATATAAACTCCCCTTTCCAAAACACTAGTTAGGGGCATTGGGCAAATTGCTGAACTTTATCAGTTTCATTTTTGTTTTTTTTTTTGAGACAGAGTTTTGCTCTTGTCCCCCAGGCTGGAGTGCAATGGCGTGATCTCGGCTCACTGCAACCTCCATCTCCCGGGTTCAAGCGATTCTCCAGCCTCAGCCTCCAGAGTAGCTGGGATTACCGGTGCTCGCCACCACACCTGGCTAATTTTTTAGAGATGGGGTTTCACCATGTTGGCCAGGATGGTCTCGAACTTCTGACCTCAGGTGATCCGCCCACCTCGGCCTCCCAAAGTGCTGGGATTACAGATGTGAGCCACTGTGCCTGGGTCAGTTTCATTTTTCTAATCTGTAAAATGGGGTAAATACATGATTATGAGTATTAAATTCTAGAGCATCTGCAAAGGGCCTAGCACAGTGGGCACTCAATAAACAGTGAGCTGGGATTGCTAATCTCTACAGCTGTTCTTTCTCAGTCCTGGCTCATGGGACCAACCTGTGCTCAGGCTAAGGCAGGAGGGGAGGAGTCCAACGCAGGAGGCCATTGTCATAGGCCTGGATGGAAAATAGTGATTATCAGCCTGTTTTCTGATGTACACAGTTAAGCCCGAAGTGGGAAACTGGCCTCTCAGCTCCCTTGGCCTGGCTGCCTGAGGGTCCAAGGAAAGGAGACCAGATGGGCAAGAGAGCAAAGCCCCAACCCTAGCCCATCCCACCCTGCCCAGGGCCCTCACCATAGTTCTGCTGCTTCAGCCGGCTCAGGATACTGAGGACCTTTCGTTCTGGAACTTCTGAGCTCTCTTCTTGCTGGGGGTTGTAGGGAAGCTTCTGCAACCGCAGCCGGCCTACGGCCGCTTCCATCTCCTGGGCCTTGCAGGTGCCTTCCTTCAGCTTTTTCTGGTAGTAGCTGGGGAGGCAGTGCCCACCCATCTCAGCCTGGCTGTGTTTAATTCACCCTTCTCCTCCTCAGCCCCTATCTCTCTGGCCAGCTCTGGAGCAGGAACACAAGCCTAGGAGTCAGGAAACCTGGCTTCTAGTCTCAGCTCAGCCCTTTCTGTGACCATGAGCAAGTCACTGCCCTGCTCTGGGCCTCAGTCACCCTGTGTAAAATGGAGGGAAGGGGTTCTCTCTACCCTGTCAATGCAAGTGACTTGACTTCTCTGAGCTTCAAGTTTCCGTTGGGTAAAACAGATCAGACAGTTCACATGCCGTAGGATTAAATAACAAGGATGAATTAACAAGGCCCATCAAGCACGCAGCATGGTGTCTGGCACACGGAAAATGCTTTGTACATGTTACCTATTATTTTGGGGAGGGGCGTGGCGGGGAGACAGAGTCTCACTCTGTTACCCAGGCAGGAGTGCAGTGGCGTGAACATGGCCTCACTACAGCCTTAAACTCCTGGGCTCAACTGATCGTCCTGCCCTAGCCTCTTGAGTAGTTGGGACCATAGGCACCAACCACCACACCCAGCTGATTTTTTTATTTTGTGTAGAGACGTGGTCTCGCTGTGTTGCCCAGGCTGGTCACAAACTCCTTGCCTCAAGCAATCCTTACACCTTGGCCTCCCAAAGTGTTGGGATTACAGGCGTGAGCCACTGCATTACCTATGATTACCTATGATTTTATCACTGATACATTTACTTAGATGTGCAAGTACTTATCTGTGCAATTAACTCCTGCTCATCTTCCAGATTTCAAGTTAAGGACTCTGCTCCAGAAAATCTTCTCTGTCCTATCCCCACCCCTACCCTACAGAGTAGCTAGGCTCCCGCTGGAGGCCCCCTGCAACCTGTAGTTACCCAATTATAGCCCGCAACCCACTTGATTTTCTTAACTCACTGCTTGCCTTTTCCCCCGCTAGACTACAACATCATTCATTTAGTAAGTATTCACTGAATGTTCACTGTGTCCTGGCCACTCTTCTAAGTGATTGGAAAAGAGTAGTGAAAGAGACATCTACACAGGGTCCCTGTATCATAGCCTCAGCCGCACCTCTTACTCCAGCCGTCTACTAACACCGTGGGCCAAGGGTGCTGCAGTGGCCACTTTCACACAGGCTTCAACTAGCTTTGCACAGGGACAACCCTACGGGTCTCACCTCAGGCCTGAGCCTCTTGCTTCCTGCCCCAGGGATTCTCTGACACACGTGCAACCCAGAAGTGTCGGGGAGTTAAGCACCTGTGGGGCACCCTTGCCAAAGGTGTTAGTAGATGAGCTATACAGGCTTTTCCCTTTCTTCTGGCAGTTCTGAGCTGCCATTCTTTTTTTTTTTTTTTTTTTTTTTTTTTTGAGATGGAGTTTCGCTCTTGTTGCCCAGGCTGGAGTGCAGTGGTGGCATCTCAGCTCACTGCAACCTCCGCCTCCTGGGTTCACGTCATTCTCCTGCCTCAGCCTCCCGAGTAGCTGGGATTACAGGCACCCGCCACCACGCCCAGCTAATTTTTTGTATTTTCAGTAGAGACGAGGTTTCACCATGTTAGCCAGGATGCTCTCGATCTCCTGACCTTGTGATCCGCCCACCGCGGCCTCCCAAAGTGCTGGGATTACAGGCATGAGCCACCATGCCTGGCTTTTCTTTTTTTTAAGAGATGGACTTTCGTTCTGTCACCAAGGCTGGAGTGCAGTGGTGCCACATGGCTCACTGCAGCCTCGAACTCCCGGGCTCAAGCAGCCCTTCCCCTTGAGCCTCCTGAGTAGCTAGACTATAGGCACACACCATGTTGCCCAGCAACAAAGTGCCTTTTGGCTGGATGTGGTGGCTCATGCCTGTAATCCCAGCACTTTGGGAAGCCGGGCATGGTGGCACGCGCCTGTAATCCCAGCTACTCGGGAAACTGAGGTGGGAGGATTGATTGAGCCCAGGAGGTCAAGGCTGCAGTGAGTCGTAATTGTATCACTACACTCCAGCCTGGGCGACAGAGCGAGACCCGGCCACCTCTCCTGAAAGCTAGCATTTATTGAGCAACAAGCATTAAAATATGTTCATTTCAAAGACAGGAAATGGAGGCTCGGGCTCCTCTGAGGCATGAGGGCCTGAAATTGCTATTTGAAGGTCAGCTGGACTGTTCTGCCTTCGCCTTTGCTTCTAGCCCTGGAATGTTCATGTTGTTTCACCTATGGCTGTCTCTTCCTTAGATGAACCACTACCTACCCACCCACCTGCCCTGGAGACACGTGGAGGCTTTTGTGTCTTCTGACCCAGATAGGGTCCATCAAATTCCTTTCCTGGGACTGCTCAGTGCATGCTGCAGGAAAGAATTCCTCTTGCTGCACTAGGAGGGTGTAAGCATGGGGCCGCCAGCTACCATCCCTCCCTCTGTAGGGAGAGCCTAGCTGAGCTCAAAGCCAGTGCGCACAGACATGGATAGGTGGAGAGAGAAAGCCTTACTGGTATCATTTGGTCTCTGGGATCCCACTAGACCTGAGGACCCAACCAGTGATTTGAGCCATACATTCCCCTTTTGCTTAAGCTAGTTTTATTCTAGTTTTTTTCTTTTTTTTTTTTTTTTTTTTTTGAGACAGAGTCTCACTCTGTCACCCAGGCTGGAGTGCAGTGGCTCAATCTCAGCTCACTGCAACCTCCACCTCCTGGGTTCAAGCGATTCTCGTGCCTCAGCCTCCAGTTTCTTTCACTTGTGACTAAAAGTCGTAACTACCAAAAGTTCTCAGTGCCAAAATGCTAGATGCCACCTCTGTGTCCACAACCCTTCACCCCCAACAACCGGCCCCACTCACTTTGTGATTTCCTCTAAGACTGCCTCTGGTAAGGCCAGCATCTCTACCAGCAGGGACAGGATCTCAAAGAGTAGAGTGTGGGGGTTGTGGGGAGCCATGTCCGACAGGGCGTTCTGTTCTGGAGACATGGGATAGTGGCTGCCGTTACCACTGGGCAGTCCTGAATGCCCTCTTCTCTCCCCGCAACCAACCTCCCAGCCCCTCCTCCAGTTCTGACTACGCTGGGCTCATCCCTGCTCACCCACAGAGCAGAAGAAGCGCCTGGTGTCTGTCATCACAGCCAAGAAGTCTTTGAAGTCCACACGACCATCTCCTGTGGAGGCCAGAGGAGTAGGGTGGGCAGGGACCTTCGGAGCAGGTGCATGCCTTGCAGCCCAGGCGTGGTTATTAGAAGTCACTGTCTGGGTCTGATTATCAAGCAGTGCATACTCAATGCAGAAAACATGGGGCACACAGGAAAGTACAAGCTGAAAGTGCTCAGACCTGTAATCCCAGCACTTTGGGAGGCCGAGGTGCGTGGATCACCTGAGGTCAGGAGTTCGAGACCTACATGGCCAACATGGTGAAATCCCGTCTCTACTAAAAATACAAAAATTAGCTAGGAGTGTTGGCACACACCTGTAATCCCAGCTACTTGGGAGGCTGAGGCAGGAGAATCGCTTGAACCTGGGACGTGGAGGTTGCAGTGAGCCAAGATCGTGCCACTGCCCTCCAGCCTGGGCGACAGAGCAAGACTCTGTTGCAAAAACAAACAAAAAAACAAAACCAAAAAAAGGAAAAAAAGAAAAATTGTTAAGAATTTCTATGATGTTGGGTGCGGTGGCTCACGCCTGTGATCCCAGCACTTTGAGAGGCTGAGGCAGGCAGATTCCTTGAGTCCAGGAGTTTGAGACCAGCCCGGGCAACAAAGACTCCATCTCTACAAAAAATAAAAAGTTAGCTGGGCATGGTAGTGCGCCTATAGCCCCAATTACTCAGGAGGCTGAGGTGGCAGGATTGCTTGAGCCTAGGAGGTCGAGGCTGTGGTGAGCAGGGATCACAGCATTATACTCAGCCTGAGCAACAGAACCAGACCTCGTCTCAAACAACAAGAACAACAAAGGCATTTCTAGACTGTGACAGTAGAGCATTAAACCAAGCACAGGATCCTTTAGGTGCAGAGCCTCATGCAACTGCACAGGTTTCAAGCCAGTGAAGCAGGCCCTGCCTGGGATGCAGAGTGGAGCCCTCTGCCACTCACCATTGACATCAGCACTCATCAGGGCGTCCTCCACCTGGGCCAGCGTCACAGAGAAGCCCATTAGGAGCAGGATATTCTTCAGGCTCTGTGCATCCACCTCACCAGGACCATTGAAGATCTCAAAGTAGCTGCGGAAGGCTGTGGGGAGGGCAGGGTTATGTGGAGTGGGGGCATTTCTTGTTTCCCTCATTTATCCCATCACCCCAACCACCCTCCTGCCAGCCTCCTCCACCATCAAAAGTGAAAATAAAATTGCTGGGTGCGTTGGCTCACACCTGTAATCCCAACATTTTGGGAGGCTGAGGCAGGCAGATCACCTGAGGCCAGGAGTTCAAGACCAGCCTGGCCAACATGGTGAAACCCTATCTCTACTAAAGATACAAAACTTAGCTGGGCGTGGCGGTGCATGACTGTTGTCCCAGCTACAACACTCAGCTAGGCTGAGATAGGAGGATTGCTTGAGCCTGGGATTTCAAGACCAGCCACGGCAACACAGGGAGACCCCATCTCTAATAAAAATAAAAATGAAAAAAAAAAAAAAAAAAAACTGGGCATGGTGGTGCGCACCTGTAGTCCCAGCTACTGGGGAGGCTCAGACAGTAGGATCCCTTGAGCCCAGGAGATCCAGGAAGCAGTGAGCCATGATCACACCACTGCACTCCAGCTGGATCAACAGAGTAAGACCCTCTATTGACTCCAACCCAGATTTTGCAATGGGGCTGAGAAACCTGACACCACACAGTCTGACTAGTACACGGCCTTTGTATCGGTGCTGCTCTGGGACGTTCTCAGACCCTTCCCATCCTCTGCTCTGGTCCACACAATGCAGCGATCCTTGCAACCTTGTCCATCCAGATAGGTGACCAAGATCTAGGGACAGACTTAGTCAGAAAAACTGTCCAGTCATCTAACCTCTGAGCCTCAGTTTCCCCATTGTTACAACAGGAATAAGCATTCTACTCTTTTGAGAACATGGCTGTAAAGAGCCTAGTCCAGTGTCTGGCACATAGTAGGGTGCCCTAAAGTGGGTGGGCTACTGGCACTGAGTGGAGGCCACTAATTAGCTGAGCTGTTGGCACTCAAACCAAACCCTTGGCCTGGATATGGAATAGACAGCAGAGTGAGTCAAGGGGACCACAGCCCTTTTTTCTTTTCTTTTTTTTTTTGGTGAGATGGAGTTTCACTCTGTCACCCAGGCTGGAGTACAGTGGTGCAATCTTGGCACACTGCAACCTCCGCCTCCCGGGTTCATGTGATTCTCCTGCCTCAGCCTCCCAAAGTGCTGGAGTTACAGGCATGAGCCGCTGCGCCCGGCCTGGCTCTGCCATTTAATGAGCCGGATTGCTCTTATGTTGAAGCCCTAACTCCAGTACTTCCAAATGTGCCTGTGTTTGAAAATAGGGCCTTTAAAGAGGTGAGAAAGTTAAAAAGAGGCCTTTAGGGTGGGCCCTAATCCAATCCAACTGGAGTCCTCATACAAAAAGAAAATTTGGGCTAGGTGCGATGGCTTACACCATCTACCCAGCACTTTGGGAAGCTGAGGCAGTAGAATCACTTGAGTCTGGGAGTCCGAGAACAGCCTGGGCAACATAAGAGACTCCATCTCTACAAAAATAGCCAGCCACAGTGGCACATGCCTGTAGTCCCAGCTACTCAGGAGGCTGAGGTGGAAGGATTACTTGATCCCCGAAGGTGGAGGCTGCAGTGAGGTAGGATCATATGACTGCATTCCAGCCTGGGTGACAGAACAAGGCCCTGTCTCAAATAAATAAATAAATAATAAACGCAAATTTGGACACACACAGAGATACCAGGGTTGCCCATTCACAGATGAAAGACCATATGAGGACAGTGAGAAGACAGCTGTCTGCAGGCCAAGCAGGGAGGCCACAGAAGAAAGCAACCTGCCGACCCCCTGATCTTGGACTTCCAGCCTGTGACAAAAGAAATGTCTGCTGTTTCAACCATCCAGTCTGTGGTCCTTTGTTAAGGCAGCCCGTGCTGACTGGGACGGTGGGCATGGGCAGGCTGCTGCATTCATGTGAGCCTCTATATCCATATCTGTACGATGGCCATGACAACAGGGCACCCTCTTGGAAGTATTCTATGAACTCAGTGCTGGCACACAATAGCCTCTGTTAGCCTGGAAGTCTCTGACAAACAGCGCTGAATGGTAGGGAAGAGGTGGGGCTAGGATTGGTGTTGGGGCACGTGGTGACCTGTCGTGCGCAGGCACACCACAGAAGGAAAAACCAGAGCAACTCTCAGAAGCAGGTGTGATCGCTCAGAATGCCTGGTGGTTTGAGCCACTGGAGCAGGGCAGTCGGCCCTTCAATTACCAGACAGGGATTGGGAGCTGTGGGACCTTGAGTCTCTGAGTCAAAGTGGCATGTTGTTCATGAACTGCTCAAGGAGGTGGGGCAGGGAGAGCTGCACTTAGGAAGGTGGCTAGGGAGTTGTATATCATTATTATTATTACTATTACTATTATTATTTTTGAGACGGAGTCTCTCTCTGTCACCCAGGCTGGAGTGCAGTAGCGCGATCTTGGCTCACTGCAACCTCCACTTCCCAGGTTCAAGCGATTCTTGTGCCTCAGCCCCCTGAGTAGCTGGGATTTCAGGTGCCCACCACCACACCGGGCTAATTTTTGTATTTTTAGTAGAGACAGGGTTTCACCATGTTGGTCAGGCTGGTCTCGAACTCCTGACCTCGTGATCCACCCGCCTAAGCCTCCCAAAGTGCTGGGATTACAGGTGTGAACCACTGCTCCCGGTTGGAGTTGTATATTATTTTATTTTTAAGAGACAGGGTCTTGCTCTGTCGCCCAGGCTGGAGTGTAGTGGCATAATTGTAGCCCACCATAACCTCGAACTCCTGAGCTCAAGTGATCCTCCCACCTCAGCCTCCTGGGTAGCTGGGACTACAGGCTTATGCTACCATGTCCGGCTAATTTTTAAATTTTTTGTAGATGTGGGGGTCTTACTATGTTGCTTAGGCTAGTCTTGAACTCCTGGCCTCAAGCGATCCTCCTGCCTCAGGCTCCCAAAGTGTGGGATTATAGGCATGAGCCACTGTGCCCAGCCCTGGTAGAGGGTTTTAATACTAAAAGGGGTGAACTTCAAGGATGGGGTCACAGGGAGCTAGTGAGGGCATCCAGCGAAGACAGAGGAAGGGGCCGCTGTGGCCAAGAGGGTTGCAGGCTTTGGAGAGGAGTAGGGGATGGAAGGAGGATGTACATCCATTCTTCTAGGGCCAGGGTGATGGGGGAGTGGGGTCACAGGGCCCCTTCCTGAGGACAATAGAGAGCAGGGTAGGTGTTCAGAACTTTTTAACTTTTTGGTGCAGGTGAGATGCAGTGGGAATGGGGTACATGTTTAGGCTGGTGGCCTTGTTTAATGGTGAGGGACCATCTAGGATGGGCAGGGTTCCTGGGGCCCTGTCTCCCATCCAGGGTGCTCTGAAGAGGACCAATAGAGCAGGCTTGGGTTAAGGGAAGAAGAAACTATTCCAAAACCTAAAGCACTGTGCAGGGCATCTGTCATTCTCTCAGAGAGGCAGCTCTGGCACAGGGAGAGCGCTGGACTTCGAGTCAGAAGACCTAGCACGAGGCTGGGCGCGGTGGCTCACGCCTGTAATTCCAGACTTTGGGAGGCTGAGGTGGGTGGATCACTTGAGTTCAGGAGTTCGAGACCAGCCTGGCCAACATGGTGAAACTGTCTCTACTAAAAATACAAAAATTAGCCGGGCGTGGTGTCACACATCTGTAATCTTAGCTATTCAGGAGGTTGAGGTAGGAGAATCGCTTGAACCCTGGAGGCAGATGTTGCAGTGAGCTGAGATCGCACCACTGCACTCCAGCCTGGGTGACAGAGCGAGACTCTGTCTCAAAAAAAAAAAAAAAAGACCCAGCATGAGTTCTGGCCCCCCCCAACCCAGCAGCTTTGTGAGCTGGAGCCAATCCCCTACCCTGCCCTGCCCCATAGGCCAAGTGCAGAAAACCCCTGCTGGGTCTGCTACACATGGCGGCAGCCATGTGATCTGGAAAGCACCCCAGTCCGCCCTGCGCCTATAAACCCCCAAGGACCAAGGGTCCTGCCTGTGCTGGGACCTCCCTGACCTCCCTGCCCTCACCTTCCTCTTGCTTCAGGGTCAGTTGCTCCTCGGACTTCTCCCGGTTTTGATAAAGCTTTTGGAGGCTCTGCTCTTCCGGCTCCTGCCTGCAGAGGACAGAACCCCGACCCAGGGCAACATCCGGCCGCCCACCCTGCTGATAGCTAGGGGAGGGGTTGGGGGAGCCTGCAGGAGGAGGTCGTGGGGGAGGCTTTGGGGAGCCCGGAGAGATCAAGAATGGCAGGAAAAAGGAGATCCAGAGGAGAAGTGGGACAGAGGAGAGGGGACTAGAGGGAGACCCCTTCGGGGGAGTTAGAAAAGGGGTCAGAAGTGGGAGAGGAGGCAGAGACATGGGAGATGCGGAGAGGAGACACATGAGGAGAAATGGAGAGAGGGGGACACACGAGGGAACAGGCAGGTGCAGGGACAGGGACCTGCATCCGGGACAAGGCTCTGATCTTGGGGCCTTTCAGGAGCGGGCGGGTGAGCAGCGGGGGCTCCTACCGCGCCTTGGCGTAGCTCAGGGTTCTCTCGCTGCTCTGGTGCAAGAGTTCCATCCTTCTCCAGCCCAGGTCCAGGGCAGGGCCCAGCAGGACAGGGCAAGGCATGGAGGTGGGGACCGGGGCTCCCATGGGGGCAGGTTCTGGCCCAGGAGCTGGCAGCCGGGCCCACGATGGGCCGCTGGCAGGGACCGAGGCAGGGGTCTGAGGCAGGCTTGGAGCTGAGGTGGGCACCGGGGTCAGGGTCCTGGGCGACTTCTGGGCTGTCTGGGACCGGGCCTTCGAGGCTCTCCGATGGGAGGCCTCCATTTTCTCCACCTCCAGCAAGCACTTCATGAAGCCCTGCCGGAAGTTCCCGAGGCTCTGTGTCCCTGCAGCCACCGCGGGCTTCTGAGGCTGCTGCTGCGCACGGTCTGGCTCCCGCCTCTCTCCAATGTCCCTCACCTCCTGGGGACAGGGGAGGGGATCCAGGAGGCCTCTAGTGGGCCAGAGTGTCCCACAAATCTCCTCCCTGCCATCCCCTCTCCAGAGATCCTCAGACTGCCCCTTACTCTCTGAGCCTTTGGAGGATGTACCCCAAATCTCACATGCACCCCACTGTGCTCCTGCCCCACGTCCTCCCCAACACTTGACTTGCCACATCCAAGTGAGCTGTATTTTCTTTTTTGAGACAGGGTTTTACTCTGTCACTCAGGCTGGAGTGCAGTGGTGTGATCTCAGCTCATTGCAGCCTTGACCTTCCAGGCTCGAGTGATCCTCCCACCTCAGCCTCCAGAGAAGCTGGGACTACAGCCGCGCACTACAACGCCCAGCTAATCTTTTTTTTTTTTTTGAGACGAAGCCTTGCTCTGTTGCCCAGGCTGGAGTGCAGTGGTGTGATCTTGGCTCACAGCAACCTCCACCTCCCAGGTTCAAGCGATTCTCCTGTCTCAGCCTCCTAAGTGGCTGGGACTGCAGGTGTGCACCACCATGCCCAGCTAATTTTTATATTTTTAGCAGAGATGGGGTTTTGCCACGTTGGCCAGGCTGGTCTCCAACTCCTGACCTCACATGATTTGCCTGCCTCAGCCTCCCAAAGTGCTGGGATTACAGGCATGAGCCACTGCGCCCGGCCTAATCTTTGTATTTTTTGTAGAGACAGGGTTTCACCATGTTGCCCAGGCTGGTCTGGAACTCCTGACCTCAAGTGATCCTCCGCCTTGGCCTCCCAAAGTGCTGGGATGACAAGCGTGTTCCACCGCGCCCGGCTGAGCCATGGTCTTGAGTGAGTTACTCCTGGTCCCACCACTTGGCTTTGTTCATGCCTGTTGTCTGCCCTCCTGACCAGAAGGTAAGCATTATGAGGGCAGGATCTTGGCTGCCTCTTTTATTCCTGTACACCCACTTCTCATTCACTCAGCAACCCCAGTCTCTCTTGCACCTGTTCCCTCCCCTCAGAGGGACTGGCTATCCCCATTCTGCCTCTTGCCAGGCCAGGCTTTTCTCCCAATCAAAGACACTGTGCTTACCACACACTCTCTCTTCCTAAGTTATCAACTTCGCTTTCCCCACCAGATTACTCCTATCAGCATGTAAATATATTATCATCTTCCCTCTTTTATTTTGAAAGAAATAGGGTCTCGTTTTGTTGCCCAGGCTGGAAGGCAGTGACACGATCTCAGCTCACTGCCACCTTGAATTCCTGGGCTCAAGAGATAATCCCACCTCAGCCTCCCAAGTAGCTGGGACTACAGGTGCTCACCACCAGGCCTGGCTAATATTTTAATTTTTTGTAGAGACAGGGTCTTGTCTTGCCCAGGCTGGTCTCAAAACCCTTGGCCCAAATGATCCTCCTACCTCAGCCTCCCAAAGTGCTGGGATTGCAGATGTGTGCCACCAAAACCGCTAATCTTCCTTCTTTAAGAACAAAACAGGCCAGGCAAGGTGGCTCACGCCTGTAATCCCAGCACTTTGGGAGGGCGAGGCAGGCGGATCACAAGGTCAGGAGATCGAGACCATCTTGACTAACATAGTGAAACCCCGTCTCTACTAAAAATACAAAAAATTCGCCGGGTGTGGTGGCAGGTGCCTGTAGTTCCAGCTACTAAGGAGGCTGAGGCAGGAGAATGGCATGAACCCAGGAGGCAGAGGTTGCAGTGAGCCGAGACCGCGCCATTGCACTCCAGCCTGGGTGACAGAGCAAGACTCTGTCTCAAAAAAAAAAAAAAAAAAACAAAACAAAACAAAGTCTCCTGATACCACCCCACCCCTGATCATCCCAGTTCTCTGCTCCCCTTCTATTGCAAAATTCCTTGAAAGCGTTGGCTGTCCTGACTCCCCACTTCCATCTCCAATCAGGCTCTGCCCAGCACTCCCCAAAGCTGCTCTCGCCATGCCACAGTCAGATCTCTGCCCTCATCTGAGTTGACCCCTTGGCAGCATTAGACACAGATGCCCATTCACTCTGTCCTTCTGGAAATGCTCCCTTCTCTAGACACCCGCCCCTCACTGGCTGCTCTGCCCCTGCCTCCGGTGCTGGCTCCCCCTCACTTGTGCTCCATTTCTCAGTGTTGCAGAGACCCAGGGATTTGTCCTCAGTCCTTCCCCTGCTCTGGACTCCCTCCCTCCCTAAAAGTCATCCTGCTGCCCATGACTCCATTTTCCTCACATTTCTTTGTCCTTCCGAATACCAGATGTCCTCCTTGACATCTCTTCTTGGGTGTCTAGAACAGGACCAAAGCAGAGACCCCAGGTTCCTCTCATCTGCTGCTACCCAGGCTCGTGTCTCACTTCATGACACCACTGGTGGCTCAGGCCCCAGACCTAGAGTCCTTTTATTCTTTTCCAACTTTTTTTTTCTGTGATAACATACACGTAACATTTACCATCTTTGTTTGTTTGTTTTGAGACAGAGTCTCACTCTGTTGCCCAGGCTGGAGGGTAGTGGCACGATCTTGGCTCACTGCAACCGCTGCCTCCCGTGTTCAAGCAATTCTCCTGCCTCAGCCTCCCAAGTAGCTGGGATCACAGGTGTGTACCACCATGCCCGGCTAATTTTTGTATTTTTAGTAGAGACAGCATTTTACCATGTTGGCCAAACTGGTCTCGAACTCCTGACCTCAGGTGATCTGCCTGCCTCGGCCTCCCAAAGTGCTGGGATTACAGGCATGAGCCATCATATCCAGCCACATTTACCAACTTAACGATTTTCTTTCTTTCTTTCTTTCTTTTTTTAGATAAAGTCTTGCTCTGTCGCCAGGCTGGAGTGTGGTGGCGTGATCTTGGCTCACTGCAACCTCCAGGGTTTGAGCAATTCCCCTGCCTCAGCCTCCTGAGTAGCTGGGACTACAGGTGTGCACTACCATACCCGGCTAGTTTTTTGTATTTTAGTAGAGACAAGGTTTCACCATGTTGGCCAGGATGGCCTGGATCTCCTGACCTCTTGATCCGCCCGCCTTGGCCTCCCAAAGTGCTGGGATTATAGGCGTGAGCCACCACGCCCGGCCAACGATTTTTTTTTTAGAGACAGTGTCCTGCTATGTTGCCCAGGCTGGTCTTTTCATCTTGTAGAACAGAAACTCCATATCCATTAAATAATAACCTCCCATCACCACTCCCCCGGGCCCTGGCAACTACCATTTCCACCTCCTGTCTCTACAGATTTGACTAAGAATCTCATATAAGCAGAATTGCTTTGTCTTTTTGTGACTGGCTTATTTCACTTAGCATAACATCCTCAAAGCTCATCCATGTGGCAGCATGTGTCAGAATTTCCTCCCTTTTTAAGGCTGAATAATAGTCTATTGTACGTACAGACCACATTTGGCATATCCATTCATCTGTCAATGGACACTTGAGTTGCTTTCATCTGTTATCCGTTGTGAATAATACTGCTATGAACATGGGTGTACAAAGATCTCCTTGAGATCCTGCTTTCAGTTCTCTGGGGTATATACCCAGAAATGGAGTTTCAGCATCATATAGTAATTCTATCTTTAATTTTCTGAGGAACTACCATCTTTCTCTTCTCTTCTTTTTCTTTTCTTTTCTTTTTTGAGACAGAGTTTCACTCTTGTTGCCCAGGCTGGAGTACAATGGCGTGATCTTGGCTCACCGAACCTCCACCTCCCAGGTTCAAGCGATTCTCCTGCCTCAGCCTCTGGAGTAGCTGGGACTACAGGTGCGTGCCACCATGCCTGGCTAATTTTTGTATTTTTAGTAGAGAGAGGGTTTCGCTATATTGGCCGGGCTGGTCTTGAACTCCTGACCTCAAGCGATCTGCCTGCCTCGGCCTCCCAAAGTGCTGGGATTACAGGTGTGAGCCACCATGCCCAGCCTATCATACTGTTTACCACAGTAGCTGTACCATTTTACATTCCCACCAGCAGTACACAGATGTTCCAGTTTCTCCACATCCTTGTCAACACTTGTTATTTTCTGTTTTTTTTTCTTGTTTATAGCAGTCGTCCTGATGAGTGTGAGCCTAGAGTTCTTTTTTTTTATTTTTTTGGGACAGAGTCTCGCTCTGTTGCCCAGGCTGGAGTGCAGTGGTGCAATCTTGGCTCACTGCAACCTCCGCCTCCCGGGTTCAAGTGATTCTCGTGCCTCAGCCTCCCGAGTAGGTGGGATCACAGATGTGCGCCACCACAGCCTGGCTAATTTTTTTGTATTTTTAGTAGAGACAGGGTTTTACCATGTTGCCTAGGCTGGTCTTGAATTCCTGGCCTCAAGGGATCTGCCCACCTCAGCCACTCAAAGTGTTGGGATTACAGGCGTGAGCCACCGCACCCAGCCTAAACTGTATTTATTTATTTACATGTTAATGGTCTAGACTTTCTGCCAACTAGGTCACAAGCTCCATTCACCATGAAATCCCCAGTTTCACAACTGTTTTTGGTATGTTGTCCTCAATATGTATGTTAACTAAACACTGATTATTTCAGTTTTCTCAGTGATGTCTGAGAAGCAAGATAATGTAAATAATGCACTTGGACAGAGTAAACGCTCAACAAACAGTACGGTTGAAATAATCATAGCTGGACGGGCGCGGTGGCTCACGCCTGTAATCCCAGCACTCTGGGAGGCTGAGGCAGGCAGATCACCTGAGGTTGGGAGTTCGAGACCAGCCTGACCAACATGGAGAAGCCCCGTCTCTGCTAAAAATACAAAATTAGCTGGGGTTGTTCGCATGCCTGTAATCCCAGCTACTCGGGAAGGCTGAGGCAGGAGAATCGCTTAAACCTGGGAGGTGGAGGTTGAGGTGAGCCGAGATCACACCATTGCACTTTAGCCTGGGCAACAAGAGCGAAACCTCATCTCAAAAAAAAAAAAAAAAAAAAAAAAAGATTCTAGTTGAGTATTCTGACAGCCTAGAAAAGAGACCCATTTTCCCATGTCGAAGACTCCTTTAATTGTTTTCCTGAATTAAGGGCAAATGCTCAATTTCTGTCAAGCCTAAAACAAACTAGCAATTAAAAGCAGTTCTGGGCCAGGCGCAGTGGCTCATGCCTGTAATCCTAACACTTTCGGATGCTGAGGCAGGTGGATCGCTTGAGCTCAGGAGTTCGAGAAGAGCCTGGGCAACATGGTGGGACCCTGTCTCTACAGAAAATACAAAAATTAGCCAGGCATGATGGCTCGCGCCTGTACTATCAGCTACTTGAAGGGGCTAAGGTGGGAGGATCACTTGAGCCCAGGAGGCGGAGGTTGCAGTGAGCCAAGATTGTGCCACTGCACTCTAGCACTCTGGGTGGCAGAATGTGACCCTCAAAAAAAAAATCAGTTCTGGGGCTCCTGCTCCATTGTGATATTGGGGCCCAAGATGGTGGCCATGAATCCAGCCTCACTGTCATCATGGCCCTCCGGGGACTCCCCATGGCCCTCTGGGGACTACAGGGCTTCCAAAGTCCGGGGCCTCTGCCCCTGTTGCAGATACAGACTCTGAGCCCCAAGGTGGGTAGAAGTCTGTCTCAGAATGTCTCCTATTATTATTATTATTATTCTTTTTTAGAGACGGAGTCTCGCTCTGTCACCCAGGCTGGAGTGTGTTGGTGTGATCTCGGCTCACTGCAAGCTCCACCTCCCGGGTTCACGCCATTCTCCTGCCTCAGCCTCCCGAGTAGCTGGGACTACAGGCGCCCGCCACCATGCCTGGCTAATTTTTGTATTTTTAGTAGAGACGGGGTTTCACCATGTTAGCCAGGATGGTCTCGATCTCCTGACCTTGTGATCCGCCCACCTCGGCCTCCCAAAGTGCTGGGATTACAGGCGTGAGCCACCACACCCGGCCAAATGTCTCCTATTATTTCAGGATCCAGCACCAAGTTTTGCTCCCAGCAGGCGCTCAGCCTGTGGGTGAACGATGGTGCCAAGGCCCTGACATCTTTCCCTCCAGCTTCTCCAACCCTCACACACCTGGATTCCTCCTTCTGCCTTCTCTGAGCCCCTTCCACCTGGCACCAGGTGTCCTGAACAGGCCACTGCATTGACCTCTGTGCAGCTCTTCTGTCACTGCTCTGCTACCCCCGAGCCTGCAGGGGCTCCCTGTGACTGTCACACCCATCCCTTCATCCATCTGTGCCACAAGTGCAGTCACGTGGGTACAGGGGTGCCTAGTGCCCAGCCTCGGGGTGCTCTAGTCTAGTATTTCTTCCTAGGCCCAGCTTTTTGCAAGGTGTTAAGAGTGTCATTGAAGTGCTAAGGCCAAATGCTTCACTCCACGACTGTGCAGGATGGGTCTCTGGTGCAGGTGGGCCTTGGACCCACCCAGTTCTCTCTCATTTCTCACTTGTAGTTCTGAAGATTACACAGTTAAAGAATGTGGTGGGGGCCGGGCACGGTGGCTCATGCCTGTAATCCCAGCACTTTGGGAAGCTGAGGCGGGTGGATCATTTGAGGTCAGGAGTTCAAGACCAGCCTGGCCAACATGGCGAAACTCTGTCTCTATTAAAAATACAAAAATTAGCCACACGTGGTGGTATATGCCTGTAATCTCAGCTACTTGGGAGGCTGAGGCGGGAGAATTGCTTGAACCCGGGAGGTGGAGGTTGCAGTGAGCTGAGATCACACCACTACAGCACTCCAGCCTGGGCGACAGAGAGAGACTCCATCTCAAAAAAAAAAAAAAAGAATGTGGTGGGAATGCAATATCCTAAGATAGGGAGGGACTGGCTGGAACACCCCAGGATCTGTTCCACTCCCCTGAGCCCCAGAAATAGGATGGCCTTCAAGGCTTTAGCCCAGCAAATCATGTCACCTTGATGTATAAAACCCAGGGTGTGCTGCTTTCTGCGGTCCCTCAGCAAGTGCGGCACACGCAGACAGGACTCCCTCTGTCCCAGACAGCTTTCCTGAGCCTTGGGGCCCAGGCTCACAGTGGATCCTAGGCTTCTATTGTCCTTTGTTGCCCATCTTTAGTAATAAACTCACTTTTATAACATGTATGCATGGGTATTCTGCCTCACTGGACTCAAGACAAGTTGGTAACCAGTACACGGTGAGCCTGCCTCACATCCTGGAGGCTTCATATCACAGCCAGTCTAGCTTTTCAGCCGCTCTGTCCATTGTATCCAATATGCTTGTCCCACGAGGCCCAGATGATGGCCCTCTCCATCGTCACTTTTCATTCACCTTCCTTCCCATCTCTGTAACTTTCCTTGTGATGGGTCTGCTGCCTGGCTGCCCTTTCTTTTCTTTGCCTTTTTTCTTTTGAGACGGAGTTTCACTCACTGCCTAGGCTAGAGTGCAATGGCAAGATCTTGGCTCACTGCAGCCTCTGCCTCCTGGGTTCAAATGATTCTCCTGCCTCAGCCTCCCAAGTAGCCGGGACTACAGGTGCCTGCCACCATGCCCAGCTAATTTTTTTGTGGGCTTTTTTTTTTTTTTTTTGAGACAAAGTCTCGCTCTTGTTCCCCAGGCTGGAGTGCGATGGCACGATCTTGGCTCACTGCAACCTCTGCCTCCCAGGTTCAAGCGATTCTCTCTTGAATAGCTGGGATTACAGGCACCTGCCACCACGCCTGGCTAATTTTTTTGTATTTTTAGTAGAGACGGGGTTTTTTTTCCCCATGTTGGCCAAGCTGGTCTCGAACTCCTGACCTCAGGTGATCCGCCCACCTCGGCCTCCCAAAGTGCTGGGATTACAGGCATGAGTCACCGTGCCCGGCCATTTTTTGTGTTTTTAATAGAGATGGGGTTTCACCATGTTGACCTGGTTGGTCTTGAACTACTGACCTCAGGTGATCCGCCCACCTCAGCCTCCTAAAGTGTTGGGATTACAGGCGTGAGCCACTCACTGCACCTGGCCCTGGGCGCCCTTTCTACTCCCTGGCTCTGTCTGTATTCCATTCCCTCTGTATGGCCTAATATCAGTCCTCCCTCTCCAGAAAGCTACCTGCTGGCCCCAGGGCTCCTCTGAGTGCCTGCAGGACTTCCTGTCCAGGACCTCTCATCTCTTGTGGTGCCACCAGCTCAGCTGCATCCTCCAGAGCAGGGAGCAGGGGCCCTCCCCGGCTTTCCTTGTCCTTTCTCTCCAAGCACTGGGCCTGGTATGCCACAGACACTCAGTATGTACTTGCAGAGCTAAATTGTGCCCTCTCCTCTTCTCCCCCACAGTATCCAGCCCACGCTTTGCATGGGGTAGGGATGGGGTAAAAGGCAGAAACACACAGGCAAGGAATAGTTCTTATTTCTCTCTCTCTTTTTTTTATTTTTATTTTTTTTGAGATGGAGTCTCGCTCTGTCGCCCAGGCCGGAGTGCAGTGGCGTGATCTCGGCTCACTGGAAGCTCTGCCTCCTGGGTTCATGCCATTCTCCTGCCTCAGCCTCCCAAGTAGCTGGGACTACAGGTGCCTGCCACCATGCCCAGCTAATTTTTTTGTATTTTTAGTAGAGAAGCGGTTTCACCTTGTTAGCCAGGATGGTCTCGATCTCCTGACCTCATGATCCTCCCGCCTCAGCCTCCCAAAGTGCTGGGATTACAAGCATGAGCCACCATACCCTCTCTTTTTTTTTTTTCCAAGACAGAGGCTTGCTCTGTTTCTCAGGCTGAAGTGCAGTGCCGCTATCTTGGCTCACTGCATCCTCTGCCTCACGGGTTCAAGTGACTCTCCTGCCTCAGCCTCCAAAGTAGCTGGGACAACAGGTGCACGCCACCATGCCCCACTAATTTTTGTATTTTGGCCAGGCTGGTCTTGAACCCCTGACCTCAGGTGATCCACTTGCCTCGGCCTCCCAAAGTGCTTGGATTACAGGGATAAGCCACTGCATCCGGCCTAGTTCTTATTTCTCATCTGACTTCTCACTAGTCTGGAGAGGTACCTCATCTTATTCCCATCCATTCATTTATTCAACACATTCCTGTTGAGTACCTACCACGTGCTGGGCATTGTTTGAGGCACAAAGCATAGAGGAGTAAGTCAACTAGCAAGGCTGCCCTCAGGGAGCTTGCGTTCTAGATAATGAATAGGTTGACAACTTAAAGATAATGTCGGAGGGAGAAAGTACTACAAAGACAATAAAACAGGACAATGTGATAGGCTGAGTGTGGCTGACAGGCTCCTTGAGATGGCTGGCCAGGGAAGGCCTTGTGGAAAAACTGATGTCGAAATTGAAAGTGAATGACTCAAGAGAGCCGTAAGACTGTCTATGAAGAGGAGTTCAGGCACAGGAACATTCAAAGGCCCTGGGGTGAGACTAGGCTTAGCATATCCAAGGGCTGGAGGTTAGACCAGAGTGGCTAGACATAGGGCTTTATGGCTCTTGGTGAAGATTTTGGATCTTATTCTAAGAAGATGAGGCTTGGACTAGGGTAATGAAAGAGGGAGTGGAAGGAAGGGACGGATTCAGGATTTATTTTGTAGGTAGCACTAAACAGGGCTTGTTGACACGTGAAAGGATTATAGAGGGAAAAGGAGGAATCAGAGGTGATTTTGAGCTGGGTTGCATGAGCCCCTTGGGTGAGAAAGGCAGTGTCATTTGCTGGGCTGAAGAAGACTGCTGTGGTCATGTTTGAGAAGTGAATTAGCCAGCCAGAGGGAATTCAAGTAGGCCATTGGATATATGAACATGGAATTTAAAGGCAAGGTCTATGGCTGGGCATGGTGGCTCACGCCTGTGATCCCAGCAGTTTGGGAGGCTGAGGCGGGCGGATCACCGGAGGTAAGGAGTTCGAGAGCAGCCTGACCAATATGGTGAAACCCCATCTTTACTAAAAATACAAAAATTAACCGGGTGAGGTGGTGCTTGCCTGTAATCCCACCTACTCGGGAGGCTGAGGCAAGAGAATTGCTTGAACCTCAGAGACAGAGGTTGCAGTGAGCTGAGATTGCGCCACTGCACTTCAGCCTGGGCAACAGAGACTCTGTCAATTCAAAAAAAGAAAAAGGCAAAGTCTCGCCTGAAGATATGGATTTGGGAATCATCAGAGGGACTGAATGAGATCATCCAGGGAGAGAATGGAGATGGGAGACCAGAGGGTGGAGCCCCGAGGGTGGAGAAGATGAGGAGGAACTAGGGAGGGAGACTGGGAAGGAGTTGCTAGTGACATGGGAGGAGAACCAAGGTAGGGCTGTCATGGAGCCTGGAGAAGGCAGCATTGAGGAGAGAGGGAGCCACTGTGTCTTCTGCTGTTGCGAGGTGGGCTCTGTAAGGACAGAGCTCTTCCATTTGATAAGCCAGATGGAGATTATGGAGACCCCGATAAAAGCTCTCATATGGGGATGTGTTGAGAAAAGACAAGCGGAGGAGGTGAGGGGGACAATTATTGAGGGATGGGGCTGCAAAGGGGAGCAAGGAAAGACGGCTTTTGACGCCAGGTATGTTTGTACACGCCTGTAGTCCCAGCTACTCAGGAGGCTGAGACTAGCTTGAACCCGGGAGGTGGAGGTTGCAGTGAGCCGTGATCACACCACTGCACTCCAGCCTGGGCAACAGAGACTCTGTCTCAAAAAAAAGGAAAGAAAGAAAGAAAGGCAGCTTTTGATATTGTGGAGGCTGAGCCATGTTTGTATGCTGATGGAATCGTCCTGTAGTAACGCAGAGAGGGATCATGTGGTGGGGGGAGGGGACGAGAGCTAATGAATAAATGGGGAGACAGCCATGGGAGCAGGGGCCCATCTTCACAGCTCCCATTGCAGCCAAATCAAGGCAGGGAGGGTGGTGGGTTTGGGGATGCTTCTTCTCATCTGATGCTTCTGTTTGTCAGTGACACATGAGTGAGATGAGGGGCGTGGGGGATGCTGTTGTGAAATGATGACCTGGAGCGGAGGGAGGGCGGTGTGGCCAAGGAAAAGTGAGACTTGCAGGCAGCATCTGACATGAGTGGTTAATGCTTGAAAGTGAAACCCATCAATAAGACAGGATGTTCTCCAACCGCATTAAGCTGCTCAACATGGGTACAAGGCTGAGTGAGTTTAGCCAGGGTGGGGTTTTGCCAATGAACAGAACAGGATGAGACAGGGCAGATGCTGGCAGGGCATGCATGCTAGTGACTGTGTATTTGCAGGTTGCCTGGTCAGGTCAAAGAACTAGGAAGTGGCAGAGCTTGGGGAGGGAAGGATGGCTGGGAGGGGTCGGGGAAGCCTCCCAGGTGTTCAGGGATGCTTTGGATTGTGTGGCTGTGGCCGAGGGCAAATGGGTGGAAGAAATCCATGCTGATGTGGAACAAGCCACCACCTGGGATGAACCCAAGGGCTCCAGAGTGTAAGAGCATTCTTGATGCCCACCCAGAATACACACACATGCATACACACAGGCACAGGCACACACACACACGTGTGCACATCCATGTGCACTTTAACACACAGCCACACACACCTTCCTTGGTTTGACTCCAAATAGGGGTTTGACGTGCCACATCCGCTTCTGCCCTCTTCCTCCTCCTGATCCCCCCTGCCTTTCTCCTACACAGCTCGTCCCCGTTCCCCCTATGGCCCTACTTACTGGTGGAGGAAGAGGCCCCGGTGCTGGGTGGGTCTCCACAGCCTCACCCCTGAATAGAAGAGAAACCCCCAGGTGGGGGAAGCGCTCAGCTGAAGGTTTGCCCCCCTGCCCTCCCCTCTCAGCCCCCAGGACACTCAGTTCCACCCCAGCCTCATCCCCTTGGCCTTCTCATCTCAGGGGGCTCCTTATGTCCCCACATCCTCATATATACAGGCTCACGGAACCAAGAATTCTGGTATTCCAGCCATTACACAGATGGGGAAATTGAGACCCAGCGGAGCATGACTTGCCCAAGGTCCTCTACCAGGTCAGGAGCAGTCTGGACTAGAATTCACCCCACCTGAAACTCAGCAGAAGAGCATCCTTGTTGGGGGCAGGGGATGGCACTGGATGATGACTTACCCTCCTTTTGCTTTTTTAGGTCCAGGCGTGGATGGCAGGAAGGGGTTGACTGTCTTTTCCTCTGGAGCCACGACGGACATTGGGGGCATTGCTTCCTGAGAGCTGTCCCCATGTCCCCCTGGGCTGGGCTCTGGCGGAGCCTCCTGTGGCCTGATGTGTGGGACACCTGCCTCCTTGGGGTGCTTGCCTCCCAGTGGCTGGCCATGGCTGGCCAAGCGGCAGCAAGGCTCTGCTGGCTGCACCATGTCTGCCTGGTGACTGGGGGTGGATTGATATCCGGAGCCCTGTCAAGGACAAGGACACCACGGCTGGGGAGCTCCATCCTCGTTCCCAGGTGAACCTCAATGCTCCAGGCGAACTGGAGACCAGTTATTACACACTTACTAGGGTCCCAGCACTTCAGGCATCATCTTACTTAATTCTCCTAGTGCCCCTAGAAGGTAGCACAGGTACTCCCACATTTTGAAGGGTGAGGAAATTGAAGCCCAGAGAAGGCGTGGCCTACCCAAAGAACCACACTTCCCTATGGGAGTGGAATGAGAGCCTGGAAAATTGAGAAGATCCCCTTTAAATAGGGTTTTCCTTTGTGTGTGTGTGTATTTTTTTTTTTTTTTGAGACAAGTCTCACTCTGTCACCCAGGCTGGAGTGCAGTGGCAAGAACACAGCTCATTGTAGCCTTGACCTCCTGAGCTCAAGGGATCCCCCTGCTTCAGCCTCCCAAGTAGCTGGGACTACAAATACCTGTCACCACGCCTGGCTGATATTTTTTAATTTTTGGTAGAGATGAGGTCTCACTATGTTGCTCAGGCTGGTCTTGAACTCCTGGGCTCAAGCATTCCTCCTGCCTCAGCCTCCCAAAGTGCTGGGATTACAGGCATCAGTCACCATGCTCAGCCTTAATGGGATTTTCCAAGGGATACTTCAAAGAACAAGAATCCTTCATGAGCCTCCTTAAAAAGAGGAGGTTTTGGCCAGGTGTGGTGGTTCACACCTGCAATCCCAGAATTTTGGGAGGCTGAGGGGCAGGTGGATCACTTGAAGTCAGGAATTCATGACCAGCCTGGCCAACATGGAGAAATTCTGTCTCTACACAAAATTAGCTACGCATGGTGGCTCATGTCTGTAATCCCAGCTATTTGGGAGGTTGAGGGACGAGAATCACTTGAACCCAGGAGGTGGAGGTTGCAGTAAGCCATGATCACACCACTGCACTCCAGCCTGGGCGACAGAGTGAGACTCTGTCTCTTGAAAAAAAATAATAAAGGCCTAAGTGGGTGGATCACACGAGATTAGGAGTTCAGGACCAGCCTGGCCAACATGGTGAAACCCTGTCTCTACTAAAAACACAAAAATTAGCTGGGCGTGGTGGTACGTGCCTGTAATCCCAGCCACTCAGGAGGCTGAGGTGGGAGGATCACTTGAACCCAGGAGGTGGAGGTTGCAGTGACCCAAGATCACACCCCTGCACTCCAGCCTGGGCAACAGGGTGAGACTCCATGTCAAAAAAAAAAAAAAAAAAAAAGTGGTATATTATGGTATATCCATAGAATGGAAATATTACTGAGCAACCAAAAGAACAACATGTTGATACACACAATACATGAATTTCTTTCTCTTTCTCTCTCTCCTTTTTTTTTTTTTTTTTTTTTGGAGACAGAGTCTCACTCTGTTCTCCAGGCTGGAGTGCACTGGCATGATCTCAGCTCACTGCAACCTCCGCCTCCCAGGTTCAAGTGATTCTCCTGCCTCAGCCTCCCGAGTAGCTGGGACTACAGGCACCTGCCACCATGCCCAGCTAATGTTTATATTTTTAGTAGAGACGGGGTTTCACCAGGTTGGCCAAGCTGGTCTTGAACTCCTGACCTCAGGTGATTCACCCGCCTCAGCCTCCCAGAGTGCTGGGATTACAGGCTGAGCCACCGCACCCGACCTAGATGAATCTCAAATAGTCATGTGGAGTGAACGAAGCCAGACAGAAAGAATGTACACTGTACAATTTCATTTGTGTAAAATTCCACGAAATACAAACAAATCTATAGTGATAGTTGGTAGTCGCCTGGGGATAGACTAGTGGGAGGGGGGATGAGAAAGGGCATGAGGAAATGGTTGGGGTGATGGCTATGTTTGCTTTCTTGATTGTGGGGATGGTTTTGTGGGTGTGTACATATGTCAAAATATTAAATTGTACACTTAAAGTATGTGCAAGTGAATGCCAATTATACCTTACTGAAGCTGTTAAAAATAAATCTTACCAGGCTGGGTGCGGTGGCTCACACCTGTAATCCCAGCACTTTGGGAGGCTGAGGCGGGCGGATCACGAGGTCAGGAGGTTGAGACCATCCTGGCTAACACGGTGAAACCCCGTCTCTACTAAAAATACAAAAAAATTAGCCGGGCATGGTGGCGGGTGCCTGTAGTCCCAGCTACTGGGGAGGCTGAGGCAGGAGAATGGCATGAACCTGGGAGGCAGAGCTTGCAGTGAGCCGAGATTGCGCCACTGCACTCCAGCCTGGGCGACAGAGCAAGACTGTCTCAAAAAAAAAAAAAATCTTACAGATAAATAAAAAAAGATCTTGTGGTCAAATAAGTTTGGGAAAGGCAATATACTCTAACCATATCTTTTTAAAATTTTTTATTTATTTTTTTATTTTTATTTTTTTTGAGACAGGGTTTCACTCTGTCACCCAGGCTGGAGCACAGTGGTGTGATCTTGGCTCACTGCAGCCTGGACCCCAGGCTCAGGGGATCCTCCCATCTCAGTATCTGGAGTAGCTGGGGCCACAGACATGTGCCACCACATCCAGCTAACTTTGGTATTTTTTGTAGGAACGGGGTTTCACCATGTTGCCCTGATCTCAAACTCCTGGGCTCAAGCAATCCTCCCACCTCAGCCTCCCAAAGTGCTGGGATTACAAGCACGAGCCACGGCGCCTGGCCTCTAATCATATCTTGCAAAATCTTACAAAGGCTCAGCAGCTAGTAAACTGCTTCCAGGATATCCTAGCATACAGAAACCTGTTTCAGCTTTGTTAAACTCAGCATGTCCCAATATTATCTGTATACAGAACCTGGCACCTCCTCCCTCCCCCCTGCACCCATTGACATACCGTGGGGCCACTCTGGAAACAAGACTTATTTTTATTTTATTTTTATTTTTTTGAGACGGAGTTTTGCTCTCATTGCCCTGGTTGGAGTGCAATGGCGCGATCTCAGCTCACTGCAACCTCCACCTCCCGTGTTCAAGCAATTCTCCTGCCTCGGCCTCTTGAGTAGCTGGGATTACAGGCATGTGCCACCACACCCGGCTAATTTTATATTTTTTAGTAGAGACAGGGTTTTACCATGTTGGCCAGGCTGGTCTTGACCTCAGGTGATCTGCCTCCTTCGGCCTCCAGAAGTGCTGGGATTAACAGGCGTGAGCCACCATGCCCGGCCTGGAAACAAGACTTAAATGCTTGTGATGTAGGCTGGGGGAATAGCCCAGTGACCCACAGACTGAGTGCTTGACATCTTCAGGGCACAGAGGTGAGCAAACATTCTGTCACCCAGGCTGGAGTGCAGTGGCCTGAACATAGCTCATTGTAGCCTTGACCTCCTGGGCTCAAGGGATCACCCCTGCCTCAGCCTCCCAAGTAGCTGGGACTACAGATACATGCACCAGAATGGGGGGCATGATAGGAGGGGGGCTCTTTCACCTCCTCTGTGGTAGGTCATTCCATACCCTTCTCCCCAGATCTCCTAGGTTACCTGGCAGCTCTCAGGAGGCTGATCCTCCCCGATTCCCCGGTTCCGTTGCCTCCCCTGCTGGCCCTTGATCTCCTTTCCGGAGCCCAGCTGCTGCAGCCCTTCAGGTACTTCAGGAACCCAGGAAGGCAGCAACCCCAGCTCACTCTGATCCTGGCCTGCTTGCAGCTCCTGGGACCCTTCCTGGGGGACCCAAGAGGGCTGTTTCTTCCTGGGGAAAATAGACAAAGTGACACTTTAGCTCCCAGACTGGGGCACTGTTTTATATATTTTTACAGGGCTAGGCATACCATAGGTGCATAGCTAACGCCTGGAAGGACCAATGAAGGACTCACAGGAATTCCCCAAATCATAGACACTTTGATGTCAATGTTTGGGGGAGTTAAAATTTAAACTTTCACAATTATTTGTAGAGACAAGGTCTCTCTGTGTTGCCCAGGCTGGTCTTGAACTCCTGGGCTCAAGCAATCTTCGACCTCGGCCTCCCAAAGTGCTGGGATTAGAGGTACGTGCCATTGCATCCAGCCTAGAATTTAAGTTTTATAGTATTTTTAAACTGTTTTTCAGAAAAAAATGAAACAAAAATCAGAACTGGGATGCAGAGAGGACAAGAGATTTGAGCCTAAGGTCATAAAGCTAAAGATAACTGTTCAAAATTTGAAGCTGTGTCTATCCGATCTCACTTTAGTATTCTGGAGTATTTCCTCCAAGCTTCTTCCTATGCGTATGCATACTTATTTATTTATTTATTTATTTGAGACAGAGTCTTGCTCTGTCACCCAGGTTCGAGTGTAGTGGCATGATCTCAGCTCACTGCAACCTCCACTTCCTGGGCTCAAGCAATCCTCCCGCCTTAGCCTCCCAAGTAGCTGGGACTACAGGCATATGCCACCATGCCTGGCCAATCTTCATATTTTTTGTAGAGATGGGGTTTCACCATGTTGTCCAGGTTGGTCTTGAACTCCTGGGCTTAAGTGATCCGCCAACCTCAACTTCCCAAAGTGTTGAGATTACAGGCGTGAACCATGGTGCCCGGCTATATATATATATATATATATATATTTTTTTTTTTTTTTTGAGACAGAATTTTGCTCTTGTTGCCCAGGCTGGAGTGCAGTGGAGTGATCTTGGCTTACTGCAACCTCTGCCTCCTGGGTTCAAGTGATTCTCCTGCCTCAGCCTCCCAAGTAGCTGGGATTACAGGCATGTGCCACCATGCCCAGCTAGTTTTATATTTTTAGTAGAGATGGGGTTTTGCCATGTTGGCCAGACTGGTTTTAAACCCCTGACCTCAGGTAATCCACCTGCCTTGGCCTCCCAAAGTGCTGGGATTACAGGTGTGAGCCACTGTGCCCGGCCTAATGTACTTTTTTCAATTAACATCATAGCCTGTGTTTTTCGCATGCTAAAAATCCTTCAGAAACATGCTTTATATGTTTTCTTATGTTCATTAAATGTATAAAATTCCATATTTTAAAGATAACCATCATTAACCATTTCCCTATTGTGTGGGCGCTTAAGGGGTTTCTAATTTTTTAGTATTTAAGATAATGTGACAGTGAAAGTCTTTGTGCATAAAACTGCTTGAATCACCAATTATTTCCTCATGGCCTATTTCCAGAAATGGGTGAGGATAAAGGGAGTTTCAAGGCAGTTTAAACAAATTGCCACGTTGATGAAACAGGTATGCTTAAATGGTTTCTATTTCCACCGGCATGGTATGCAGTAGTTGTCTCAGTGGGCCTCGGACCTGGCTTGAGTTGTCTCTCCTAACTTTTCTTGTAGAGGAGGCTATTTAGGAGCTTCTGGTTATAGTCAAATCCAACTAAGCCAGCTAGTCTTTACTATTTCTATTATCCCAGCCTTTCACTTTGCCTCTATCTGGCTCGCTCTTGATTTTCTCTTTTTGAATACATTCTTGCTGTAGAAAAGTTTTAAAAAAACACAAAATTTAGAAAACAATTACGTGTACATCTTTACATGTTCCTGTGTCTCCTAACCTTTTTTTGTTCATTATTCTATTAATTCAGTGAATCAATATTTATCGAACATTTACTATGTGTCAGGCATAGTACTAGGCATGAGGGCTTTGAGGTTGAACCAGGTATATGATGCTCCTCAAACAAGACACATAAAAGATGTTTGTGGTCTCGTTGGGGGAGTTCAGACAAAAGGTTAACATGAACTCTTTAGTGCAACTGGTGCAATGAAAGAGAAGGACAAGGTGCTGTCGTGGGTGGAGCTGCCTTGGCCTGGGAGTTCTCCATTCTCTCTCTCTCCCCCGCGGGTGGGCTACAGGGGGTTCTCTCTTGGACCTGTTCTCTCGAGAGCCCCTCAGCTCACCCTGGTCTTGCTGGAGGCCCCTGCTCCTGGATTCTGAGCTCTGAAGGCCCCTTCTCAAATGCATCTCTGAGTCTGGGCCCCTTCTCTGGCCCTCGTGAAGCTGATGAGAGGTGCTTCTTGCTGCCCACTTCCGAAGCATCCGGAAACATGACCTGGACAGAGATATCCATGGCAGTGGCTTGAGGGCTGGCATTGAGTACCCGTTCTGGAGTGATCCCTCCCACTCCTCCCTGGGTACTCTTCTGGCCTCAAGGACAGGGAGATCCTGTGCCTGATTGGGGAAGCTGTTGGAGAGGGGTGAGCAGGAGCTGAGAGGCAGGGATGCAGGGCCCGGCCCTGCTGTTGCTGTTGCTTAGCACGTAAGGCTCTGGTATGAACTGGAGTCCAGATTAGTACCCGAGACAAGGGGATTGCCTTAAGGACAGCTTGAAAGAGCACCCTGGGGGACCCCAAGACTCTCACAAGGTCCAAGAGACGCCTTCAACAATTCCCATGCCTTCAAAACGCAGGCTCTAGTTTGAACTGAGTTTTTATTTCATTTTTTGAGAGAGAGTTTCCCTCCTTTGCCCAGGCTGGAGTGCAGTGGCACAGTCTCGGCTCACTGCAACTTCCACCTGCTGGGTTCAAGCGATTCTTGTGCCTCAGCTTCCCGAGTAGGTGGGATTACAGGTGTGCGCCACCATGCCCAACTAATTTTTTTTTTTTATTTTTTTTGTAGGCCAGGCTGGTCTCGAACTTCTGACCTCAAGTGATCCGTCTGCCTCAGCCTCCCAAAGTGCTGGGATTACAGGCATGAGGCACCGCACCTGGCCTGAACTGGGTTTTGATCACTATCATGGTCTGTCACTCTCCAACTGGGTGACCTGGAGCCAGTGACTGAGACCCCGCTCCAAGCATCACCGGAGTCAGCAAACTCCAAACAAATGGACTTAATTAACTCATTGACATTGATATAATACAAGATTCTGATGTGAGCTAATACTAACAGGCACCTACTATGAGACAGGGCCTGTGCTAGGTGCCTTAGTCAACACCGTAAAACAAATGAGGCTGCAAGGGGTGCAGTGACAGGCCCAACATCACACAGCTGGGTAAGTGGTGGGACTGGGACCCCATGACGGTGCTTGTTGAAAAAATAAATGGGTGGATGAAGGAAGCCCTGAATGTTCACCTCTAGCCTCTCTCCTAGCCTCCTCCCCTCCAGGCCCTCTCCCTGCCCCAGGGGAAGTGAGGATTTATAACAGAGGCTACAGGGAACATACCCAAGGGCATGTTGACTTTTTATTTTTTTTTTTGGCTTTTTTTTTCTTTTCCTTTTTGTGGAGAACGGGGTCTCGCTATATTGCCCAGGCAGGCCTCGAACTCCTGGACTCAAGCTCTCCTCCCGCCTCTGCCTCCCTAAGAGCTGGGATCACAGGCGTGAGCCACCGCGCCTGGCTTTGTTTTTTTTTTGAGACGGGGTCTCACGATGTTGCCCAGGCTGGTCTTTAACTCCTGGGATCAAGCAATCCACCTATCTCTGCCTCCCAAAGTATTGGGAGCAGGCGTGAGCCATGGCACCTGGCTGACTTTTTATTTTATTGTATTGTATTTTATTTATTTGTTTGTTTGTTTGTTTATTTATTTTTGAGATGGAGTTTCACTCTTGTTGCCCAGGCTGGAGTGCAATGGTGCAATCTCCGCTCACCGCAACCTCCACCTCCCAGGTTCAAGCGATTCTCCTGCCTCAGCCTCCCAAGTTGCTGGGATTACAGGCATGCACCACCATGCCAGGCTAATTTTGTATTTTTAGTAGAGACTGGGTTTCTCCATGTTGGTCAGGCTGGTCTTGAACTCCCGACCTCAGGTGATCCACCCGCCTCGGCCTCCCAAAGTGCTGGGATTACAGGCGTGAGCCACCGCGCCCGGCTGGCTGACTTTTTAAATGGTGATATCTTTGGCCCTGAGGAAACTGGATGGTGAGGAGGGTCTTCTTTATGCTCTTCAGTTCATGCTACTTGGCACATTCAAAAAGAGGCCAGTGGGGCGCAGTGGCTCACGCCTGTAATCCTAACATTTTGGGAGGCCGAGGTGGGCGGATCACTTGGGGTCAGGAGTTCAAGACCAGCCTGTCCAACATGGTGAAATCCCATCTCTTCTAAAAATACAAAAAAAATTAGACGGAAATCATTTGAACCCAGGAGGCAGAGGTTGCAGTGAGCCATGATCACACCATTGCACTCCAGCCTGGGTGACAGCAAGACTCTATCTCAAAAAAAAAAAAAAAAAAAAAAAAAAGAAGATGCCGGACACGGAGGCTTATGCCTGTAATCCCAACACTTTGGGAGGCTGAGGCAGACAGATCACTTGAGCCCATGAGTTCAAGACCAGCCTGGGCAACATGATAAAGCCTTGTCTCTACAAAAAATTAAAAAAATAGTTGGGTATGGTGGCACAAGCCACGCCTATAGTTCCAGCTACTCAGGAGGCTGAGGCAGGAGGATCGCTTAAGCCTGGGAGTTCGAGGCTGCAGTGAGTCGTGATCGCACCACTGCACTCCAGTCTGGGTGAGAGAGTGAGAGCCTGTCTCAAAAATAAACAAACAAACAAACTAATAAACATATTTGATGGAAAGAGGCTGAGAGGTGTGATGGAAGCTTAGGATGCAGGCTGGGCTCTGGGGAGGGGCATGGAGGGAAGCCCTGAGTAGCTCTCAGGAGAATAAAGCTGGGCTGGAGGCTGTGAGGGGAGTTTGGAGGCCATGCAAGGCACCTAGAAGAGCGAGTAGGCAATTCTGGGTTTGCTCACCCTGCAGCTCTTTCCGTTACAGAAGCCAGCATTGTTTTTGGGAAGCTTCTCTTCTCCATTCAGCCCATGGGGCTCAGTGGAGCCACCTATCACCTCTGTCTCCATTGTATCAAGAGATCCAGACCACTCCCCACTGCCATGGTGATTGGTTCAAGGATGAGCATCTGACCACAATCTGGGCCAATGACAGTGATGCTAGAGACTTGTTTCAACTATTGCAAAGAGGCTCACTTCCTGTTGGAATGCTAAACCAGAGGGTGTAAGATGGGAAGATGTAATCCTGGAGTGGCCAGGGCAATCCCTGCCATCTTGCAGGGAGAGCTTGCCTGAGAATGAATCCAACACGGAGGAACATAGAGCCAAGAGATACTCATTTAGCACATTGATCTAGCCATACCTGAAGTCTATGAAGGCATGTGTCAGTTACCCAAACTGATATATTCTCTTTTCTGCTTAATCCAGTTTGAATTGGGTTTTGTGTCCATTTTTAACAGAGTCTTAATTAAAGCAGCTGGGGAGGAAGCCTGGGCAGGGGAAGGGAAAGGTGCCAGCTAGGAGTGAATGGATCAGAACATGGGGTGCAGGTCCCTACCTTGCTGACTCCTGGTATGATGGGCTCAACACCAGCCCTCTTTATGGTGATCCTCAGGCCAGGACTTGGCTGCGTCCCTGGAGCCTTGGTTCTACCCTCCGTGTACATCTGGGTGTTTCTATTGTCCATGATGCCAGCGCCAACACGGGTGCCAAGTGAGGGGCATCACCTAGTGTGCTCCTACAGGAGAAATCCAATCAAGCGTCCCACCAAGCCCATCACCTAACTGCTGCTTCAGGAGCCCACTTGGAGCCTATAATGTAGACAGCCTGGCTCGAGGGAAGAGGCGGGGCCAGGCCTTGCAAGGAGAGGCACGCAGCAAAACCAGAGAGCTAGCCACATGCCATTTACCCATACGCTTTTCCTAGTTCTCACTATGACCCTGAGGAAAAGGGGCTCTGGAAGGCACAAGACTTGCCCAAGATCTAACACCTGCTAGGTCGCAGACGAGGATTTGAACCATGGCCTGTTGAATCCCAAAACCCAGGCGCTTTCCCCGACGGCGACATTTCCTACAGGGTATTCTTTGGCATACTGGTCCCTTCAGATGCTCCAAGGGGTTCCAAGGCTAAATGCCTTTGGAAAGTGCTGTGATGAGCGAAATGATACAGGCTCTTTCCTGTACAACTTCTCAGAGCCTTTAAAATACTAATGTGCCTTTTAAAGAGAGTCCAAGAATGTCACAGCTGCTCCTGCTATAGATGAAAACTCCATGTTCTTAGATGGGGCTAAGGAACAAGAACTAGGGACATCTGTCCATCTGTCTCAGGGCCCCAAAGTCTCCAGCGGCAATCTGCAGTTCACCAAAGCACCCACACCCTGCCCTGGACACATCCTTTCTTTTTCTTTTTCTTTTCTTCTTCTTCTTCTTCTTTTTTTTTTTTTTTTGTTTGTTTTGAGACAGAGTCTCGCTCTGTTGCCCAGGCTGGAGTGCAGTGCTGCAATCTTGGCTCACTGCAACCTCTGCCTCCTGGGCTCAAGCAATTCTCCTGCCTCAGCCTCCCTACTAGCTGGGATTTTAGGCGGCCGCCACCATGCCCGGCTAATTTTTGTATTTTTAGTAGAGATGGGGTTTCACCAGGTTGGCCACGCTGGTCTTGAACTCCTGACCTCAAGTGATCCGCCCGCCTCGGCCTCCCAAAGTGTTGGGATTACAGGTGTGAGCCACTGCACCTGGCCATTTCTGAAGCCTTTCATCTCTCCTCCACCTCTTTCATCCAACCTCATGTTCAGCTGTGCCACCACCCCCTACACAAACTTTCTGTTTTAATCCAGGCAGGCTCCTGCAATCCTAGTCCCACAGACCCCAGCCTCTGTGCCCACCTCCCATTTTTTCTATCTTTCCGATAGCCCCCAACCCATCCTTCAAGCTCCTCCCTCTTCTCCAAGTTTCCAACCATCTCAGCTCTCTCTCCAGCCACTGAATTCCTTTGAGGCAACATCAGCACCATTTCTATGGGTACATGGACCCCCTTTCACTGTTAACTAGTTTCCAGGAGTAAATCCTAACCCCCATGCCCCTTCCTCCTGTAGTGAGACCATATGACCTTGAAGATCTTGATGGTGCTTCTTCCACTTTAAATCATGGCAGGCCCGCCAGCATCCACGGAGGAACCTTCCATGTGCTGGAAACCTTTGTAAACAGTATTCTCCTAACAGCCCTGTGAAGTCTGGGTTCAGCCCTGTTTTAAAGATAGGGAAATTAAGGCTCTGAGCAATGTTTTGTCCGATACCACATGGCCAGTCTGCAGAGGAACTGGATTCAAACCCAGGCCTGTCTGACTCCCATGGCCACTCATCTCATCATATCATTTTGCCTACAAAGAAGCTTAAGTCATTCATTCATTTCCTTGTGCAATCGATAACTGTTTAATGACACGTGCCCGTGCTAGGGACAACGTCAGGCCTTAGGGGATACACTGGGTGTCCTGACGGTTCCCACAGTTTACCAGGGACACAGAGGAGGCGCACTTAATAGCTGCTGACCCAAGTTCGCACTTCCTTTTCCTGCCCTCCAGGCCCTTCCTGCAGTTACAGCTGCACCCCTGCCATGCAAAGCAGACCTCAGCTGGTTTGGTGGGGTGACCTCCCACCCCTGGTGCAGCTCTGGCCTCACGAAGGACCAGGCTGTCACCTGGAGCGGAAAAGTCAGGGCTGTGGCCAAGTCCTTCTCTCTTGCCTTGGAGTTCCTTGCCCCTCCCCAGCCTCTTTCTCATTAGGGTTCCCCTAGCCATTCCCGCTTCCTCTGAGTCTTCCTGTCTCAGGGGTGGATGAACCACCTAGGGAAAATCTCCCCCTACGCCCCTCAAACACACCCCCTATTGTCCACTGTCTCTGCCTGAGAATGTGCAGGCTCAGCCTTGGAATTGTCAGGCCCCAGTATTCCACAAACTGAAGTTTTACGGAGGCAGAAGCCCCAGAGGGGCTCCAGCCCCTATCTGTCCACATCTGGAGCTTGCTAACTCTGAGAATCTAGACAAGGAGGGGAAGCCCCAGCCCTAGCAGAGGGGCTTGGAATCCAAGGGTAGAACTGGGAGAGAAGTTGACAAATATCGACTATGTCACCCTTTCAGATCACTTGGGACCCTTTTTTGTTTACAGCTTTATTGAAATTTAACTCACATACCATACAGTTCACCCATTTAAAGTGTACAATTCAACGGCTTTTAGGATATTCACAGAGTTGTACCACCCTCGCCCTAATTCTAGAATATTTTTATCACCCCAAAAAGAAACCCCACACCCCTTGGGCATCATCCCCAATCTTCCCACCCCAAACCCAGCCCTAGGTAACCACTAATCTACTTTCTGTCTTAGTGGATTTGTCTATTCCGAACATTCCATATAAATGGAATCATACAATATATGGTCCTTGGTGAGTAGCTTCTTTCACTTAACGTCATGTTTTCAAGGTTCATCCATGTTGTAGCACACATCAGAATTTCATTCCTTTTTATGGCTGAGTAATATTTCACTGTATGGCTAGACCCCATTTTGTTTATCCATTCATCAGTAGATAGAAATTGAGGTTGTTTCTTTTTTCTTTCTTTTTTTTTTTTTTGAGACAGAGTTTTGCTCTGTCACTCAGGCTGGAGTGCAGCAGTGCGATCGTAGCTTACTATAGCCTCAAACTCCTGGGCTCAAGGGATCCTCTCCCCTCAGCCTCTGAGTGGCTGGCTGGGACTACAGACGCATGCCACCATGCCTGGTTCGTCTTAAAAATTTTTTAATTTTAAATAGAGGCGAGGTCTCATTAGGTTGCCCAGGCTGCTCAAAGTCCTGAGCTTAAGTGATCCTCCCACCTTGGCCTCCCAAAGTGCTGAGATTACAGGTGTGAGCCACCATGCCTGGCCCGTTTCCACATTTTACCTATTATGAATAACACTGCTATGAACATTCATGTACAAGTTTTTATATGAACATACATTTGCATTTCTCTTGGTTATGTATATAGGAACGGAATTGCTGAATCACATGTCAACTCTATTTTTAGCTTTTGAGTAATTGCCAGACTTTCTCAAAGTGGCTGTATCATTTTACCTTCTTACCAGCAGCATATGACTGCTCCAATTTTTCTGCATCCTCTCCAACACTTGTTATTATCTGTCTTATTTATTTATTTATTTATTTTTTGAGACAGGGTCTTCCTTTATCACCCAGGATGGAGTGCAGTGGTATGACCATAGCTCACTGCAACCTCCAACTCTGGGGTTCAAGGGATCCTCCCACCTTAGCCTCCTGAGTAGCTGAGACTACAAGTGCACACCACCACACCTGGCTAATTTTCAAATATTTTGTAGATGGGAATCTCACTATGTTGTCCAGGCTGGTCTTGAACTCCTCAGCTCAAGGGATCCTCCCGCCTCAGCCTCCCAGTGTTTTGGGATTACAGGTGTGAGCCACTGTACCGCCTTACTTGTCTTTTTTATCATAGCTATCCTAGTGGATGTGAGTGTAAAGTGTTATCTCATTCTGATTTTGATTTGCATTTCCCCAATGGCCGATAATGTTGGACATCTTCATGTGCTTATTGGCCATTTGTCTATCTTCTTTGGAAAAATGTTTATTCAGAGCCTTCGTCCTTTTTTTTTTGAGATGGAGTCTCGCTCTGTCACCCAGGGTGGAGTGCAGTGGCCTAGTTCCAGCTCACTGCAACCTCCGTCTCCCGTGTCCATGCAATTCTCCTGCTTCAGCCTCCCTAGTAGCTGGGATTACAGGTGTGTGCCACCACACCAGACTAATTTTTGTATTTTTAGTAGAGACGCGGTTTTGCCATCTTGACCAGGCTGGTCTCAAACCCCTGACCTCAGGTGATCTGCCCACCTCAGCCTTCCAAAGTACTGGGATTACAGGTGTGAGCCACCATGCCCGGCCCCCCCCTTTTTTTTTTTTCAGACAGGGTCTTACTCTGTCCACAGGCTGGACTGCAGTGGCATGAACGTGGCTCACTATAGCCTTGACCTCTTGGGCTCAGGTGATCCTCCCATTTCAGCCTCCCAAAATGCTGGGATTACATGCATGAGTCACAGCACCCAGCCTGCCTCTGTCCATTTATACTGGGTTGTCTTTTTATTATTGCACGGTAAATGTTCTTTATAAATTCTAGATACATGTCCTGAATCATATATATGATCTGCAAAAATTTTCTCCCATTATGTGGATTACATTTTCACCTTTTTGTCTTTTGAAGCACAGAAGTTTTAAATTTTTGTAAAAGTCCCATTTATCGGCCTGGTGCGGTGGCTCACACCTGTAATCCCAGCACTCTGGGAGGCTGAGGCGGGCGGATCATGAGGTCAGGAGTTTGAGACCAGCCTGGCCAGCAAGGTGAAACCCCATCTCTACTAAAGATACAAAAAATTAGCTGAGTGTGGTGGTGCGTGCCTGTAATCCCAGCACTTTGGGAGGCCGAGGCGGGCAGATCACCTGAGGTTGGGAGTTTGAGACCAGCCTGACCAACATGGAGAAACCCCGTCTCTACTAAAAGTACAGAATTAGCCGGGCATGGTGGCACATGCCTGTAATCCCAGCTAGTCAGGAGGCTGAGGCAGGAGAATTGCTTGAACCTGGCAGGTGGAGGGTTGCAGTGAGCCGAGATCGCACCATTGCACTCCAGCCTAGATGACAGGGTGAGACTCTGTCTCAAAAAAAAAAAAAAAAAATACAGATAGGGTGCAGTGTATACTGCTCAGGTGATGGGTGGACCAAAATCTTACAAATCACCACTAAAGAACCTACTCATGCAGGGCAAGGTGGCTCACGCCTGTAATCCCAGAACTTTGGGATGCCAAGGGGGGCAGATCACTCGAGGTCAGGAGTTTGAGATCACCCTGGCTAACATGGTGAAATCCTGTTTCTACTAAAAATACAAAAATTAGCTGGGCATGGTGGTGCCTGCCTGTAATCCTAGGTACTTGGGAGGCTGAGGCAGGAGAATCGCTTGAACCTGGGAGATGGAGGTTGCAGTGAGCAGAGACTGCACCACTACACGCCAGCCTGGGCAACAGAGCAAGACTCCGTCTCAAAAAAAATTACTAATGTAAACAAAAAAAAAACACCAAAAAACAAAAACCTTAGTCATGTAGCCAAATACCACCTGTACCCCAATAACCTATGGAAAAACAAATAAATAAATAAATAAATAAAAAGTTTTGAAATCAGGAAGTGTGAGTCCTCCAACTTTGTTCTTTTTCAAAATTCTTTGGGTATTGAGTGCCCCTTTTATAAGTGGTTTCCTCATCTGAAAAATGGGAGAATTTCTCTTGGAAATATCTATGATGGCAGGAAAATACAGCAGATAAAGATAAGTGGCATATCATATATATGTCTGGAGGCCGTCAGGGAAAGCTTGTTCACCTTACACCCCACCTTGGCCCTGCACCTACCAGAAATCAGCTGGATGAGTCACAGTGAGATTTTCCACCCCTGCTCACCGCCTTGCACATAGGATGGGCTCTGTCTGAGCCTATACTTTGCCTGTTGGCTTGAATTGGATTTGTTTGGTATACAGGGCAGTTAAACTGGGAATAGATGGCAGGTCCAATTATTCTCAGCAGCAGAGGTTTAGGAATGCATTTCAGGAATATCCAGCCATGTGGTTAGGGTTTGAGAATAAGGCAAGGGGCTGTGTGACCTCCAACTACTGGACAGTGTCATTTCCCCCAGCTTGTCACTGGTTCAGTGGCCCCCATTACACAATGAAGATAACAATCGTTGCCTTGCCAACCTCACAGTGATTATTGGGCCAGGGTACTCTCTCCCAGAAAGCCTTCCCTGACTCTCCCCAGACTGTGTGGGGTTTCTTCTCTTTGCTCCCACAGGCCCCTGTGAATTTGCTTCATTACAGTACCTTTCATTCTGCTTTGCCAATGACTGCTTTTCTCTCTGTCTCCTCCAGTCTGCGAGCTCCAGGATGGTAGGAGCTGGATTGGCCACATCCCAGTGACCCCAGTACTCAGCACCTGGCATAGGGTATGTGCTCGATGCCTGTCTTTGTTAGACTGAACAGAACTGAAAGTGCTCTGAATGGCTGGGTGCGGTGGCTCACACCTGTAATCCCAGCACTTTGGGAGGCCGAGGTGGGTGGATCACTTGAGGTCGAGTTATAGACCAGCCTGGCCAACATGGTGAAACCCCGTCTCTACTAAAAATACAAAAATTAGCCAGGCATGGTGGCGCATGCCTGTAATCCCAGCTACTTAGGAGGCTGAGGCACGAGAATCACTTGAACCTGGGAGGCAGAAGTTGCAGTGAGCTGAGATCATGCCACTGTCTTCCAGCCTGGGTGGTAGAGTGAGACTTAGTCTCAAAAAAAAAAAAATTGGAAAATAAGGCCAGGTATGGTGGCTCATGCCTATAATCCTAGCACTTTGGAAGGCTGAGGCAGGAGGATCTCTTGAAGACAGGAATTCAAGACCAGCCTGGGCAACATAGCAAGACCCCCGTCTCTACAAAAAGTAAGAAAATTAGCAGGGTAGGGTGGTGTGTGCCTGTAGGCCCAGCTACTCAAAAGGTTGAGGCAGGAGGATCCCTTGAGCCCGGGAATTTGAGGCTGCAGTGAGTGATGATCGCACCATTGCACTCCAGTGTGGGGTGACAGAGAGAGAAAGAAAGAGAGAGACCCTGTCTAAAAAAAAAAAAAAAAAGAAAAGAAAAAGAAAAGAAAAGAAAAGAAAAATAACCAATATTTGCAAAAATGTGAAGAAATTGAAACCCTTGTGAACGTAAATGGTGCTGCTGCTGTGGAAGACAGTTTGGAGGCTCCTCAAAAAGGTGAGCAAGGCCGGACATGGTGGTTCACACCTGTAGTCCCAGCTACTTGGGAGGCTGAGTTGGGAGGATCACTTGAGCCTGGGAGGTTGAGGCTGCAGTGAGCCATGATCATGCCAGTGCTTTCCAGCCTGGGCAACAGAGTGAGATGCTGTTTCAAACAAAACAAAACAAAACAAAACCACTAAACATAGCATTATTGTATAACTCAGCAGTTTCACTCCTATGTATACACTCAAGAAAATGGAAAACAGGACTAGAACAAGTGTTTGAACACCAATGCTCATAGTAGCCCGATTCCCAATACCAAAAGGTGATAACATCTCAATTGTTGACAGATGAATGGATAAACAAAATATGGTATATACATGCAATGGAATATTATCCCTCCATTAAAAGGAATGAAATTCTGATCCATGCTACATGAAAGAACCTTGAAAACTTGATGCTAAGTGAAATAAGAAACACAAAAGCCCAATATTGTATGATTCCACTTATAAGAGGTATCTAGAAAAGGCAAATTCATAGAGACAGAAAGTAAAACAGAGGTTACTAAGGGGTGGAGCAGAAGGAAATGGGAAGTTATTGCTAATGGGTGTGGAGTTTCTGTTTGGGATGATGAAAAGTTCTGGAAAGCATGATATAGTTGCACAATATTGTGAATGTACTTAATTTCACAGCATTGTACACTTAAAATGGTAAATTTTATGTTATGTATATTTTACAATAAAAATGTAAGTGGTTAGATCAATCCTATAATAAAAAGCTTATAAAAAATGAGTAGAAATGGCCAGTCGTGGTGGCTCACGCCTGTAATCCCAGCACTTGGGAGGCCGAAGTGGGCGGATCACTTGAGGTCAGGAGTTCAAGATCAGCTTGGCCAACCAGATGAAACCCCCGTCTCTACCAAAAAAATACAAAAACTAGCCAGGCTTGGTGGTGGGTGCCTGTAATCCCAGCTACTCGGGAGGCTGAGGCAGGAGAATCGCTTGAACCCGGGAGGTGGAGGTTGCAGTGAGCCGAGATTGCACCACTGCACTCCAGCCTGGGCGGCAGAGTGAGACTTTGTCTGAAGAAAAAAAAAAAAAAAAAGTAAAAAGGAGAAGGAGAGTGAGAGAGAAAAGGAAAGAAGGGGTGGGGAAAGTTTGGGGTATTCAGTGAATCAGAAGTTTGGGATCAGCTTCACCCCCACATAGGGGCTGGCACATTGCAGGCACTCAACTCAATGAGAGAATGGTAGGGAAGGAGGGATTTTGAGAATTTGGCTAGGGTAGACATTGTATCTCCCAGAATATTCTGGGAGAAATCGAAGTTAAGACTGGAATTCTTCTTCTTCTTTTTTTTTTTTTTTTGAGACAGAGTCCCGCTCTGTCACCCAGGCTGAGGTGCAGTGGCACAATTTCAGCTCACTGCAACTTCCGCATTCCGGGTTCAAGCGATTCTAGTGCCTCAGTCTCCCAACTAGCTAGGACTACAGACACACGCCACCAAGCCCGGCTAATTTTTGTATTTTTAGTAGAGACGGGGTTTCACCATGTTGGCCAGGCTGGTCTCGAACTCCTGACCTCAGGTGATCCGCCCGCCTCAGCCTCCCAAAGTGCTGGGATTACAGGCGTGAGCTACCAAGCCCGGCCTGGAATTCTTCTTAAATTACTTGTGTTACTAAACTTTACTTCTTTGAATACAACTCGTTGTTGAGGTTTGGCCACACGGGGCCCTGAGCATATAAGTGGGTTCCCCTAGGGGAAGCATGGAGGGTGGTAGGGTAATGGCATCTATTTAGTCTGGTGGGTCAGGTGCCAGCTGAGCCTTACAGTCAGGAGAGGGAAGGATATTCAGGCAGAGGAGGCGCCGAGGCAAAGGCTGGAGGACAGAGATACTGCAGGGTGGGCTACAGCTTTGCCTCTCGGTCAACTGGGCCCCAGGCCTAAGAAACTGAAGCGATGGGGATGATCCACACCCAGACCACGGGTTACAGAGGGGTCTGTCCATGGCGGGCGCAGGGCGCTTTCTTTGCGTCGGAGGGTGTCTGGAGGGAAGGAGAAGCCTCTGGAGGGAGGGAGAAGCCTCCGGAGGTCGCCCGCCACGTGTCTTGAGCCGGGTTTCCAGCAGAGGGCGCACAAACGAGGCGGTGCTGAGGCCCGCGAGCTGCCGCTCTAGCCGAAACCTGGTCAGAGAGTCGCACCGCTTCCGTCCGTCGGACAGAGGAACGGTGGAAGTCGCCGGAAGTTCGGTGGGCTCCAGGCGTCGCGATGGAGGAGAGCGGGTACGAGTCGGTGCTCTGTGTCAAGCCTGACGTCCACGTCTACCGCATCCCTCCGCGGGCTACCAACCGTGGCTACAGGTGACTACCCACCGCCAGACCAGGCTAGCTCCAATTTAACCCTTTCTCCGCCACCCGGACACACCCACTGCGGGAACCGAGGACAGCCCTGGCCAGTTTTGGGGCGAGGGGGAGCTAATGCTGCTGCTTCTTCCAGTTCCAGGCCCGAGCAGGGAGGCGGATCCAGAGTTTCGCCCGTCTCAGTTCGACGCACGGGACTCCTGGCGGCGGGGAGGGCGTTAAAGCCGTATCTAGCGCTTAGGGACCCCGGTGGGCTGCCGGGTACCCTAAACTTGGTCGGGGGTGGTGATGTCACAGACGCTTCTCTTTCAGCGCTAACCGGTGGCCTTGAAGGGATCCTCGAAAAGCCTTAAGCGGGGAGGTGCCCTATCACAGACGGAAATCCCCGAGAGGAGGGGAGGGAGCCCAGAGCCGGCTGAAAGGACCGGTCCCGGGGAGCTTTAAGGTGACGGTCGAAGCCCAGGGACCCCTTCCTACCCAGATCCCTTCGCACGAATTTCACCCTTGATCACAGCCTGGAGCAGTTGGGAGGACCCCTTCTATATTTCTCTGGTCTCTACCTGAGACGAATAAACACACACGCTTGTAAACATACTGAGTATCTCTGCAAAGGAACACAGGAAACTGCCCTAGGGGAGGGGAACCGCCCTTGGAAGGAAACTTCCTTTCCCTTTTGTGCTGTTTGCGTTTTACTACTCTTTGTATGCGTTATCTATCAAAACGACGAAAAATATTAAAAGAAAAAAGATACACTTCATACAGACAACCTGGCCTATGGCTATTTTGTGCCACTGAGTGGTGGTGGGGAGTGCTCGTATTTGCGGGGGCCTGGGTGGCTCTTGAAGGCGATGGTTGTCCAAGTTTTTCGGAAATACAGGATTGGTCTGCACCCCAAGAATGATGGAACGTCCACATTTCCTCTTGTTACTTTCCAGTTGTGTTACCGTGGGCTCATAGCTGATCTTATGGTGAAAAGATGCGTTAGTGAACATTACATTCATGACATATTTTAAAATAGTATAAAAACAAAAACAACAATAACCAAAATACATTTGTTTTCTGTCATCAAACTGTGGTTGGACCATCAAACCATTGATGGTCGTCTAGCCCCATCTCCTGTTGGGTCTTTTTTTTTTTTTTTTGAGACAGAGTTTCCCTCTTGTTGTCCAGGCTAGAGTGCAATGGTGCGATCTCGGCTCACTGCAACCTCCGCCTCCCGGATTCAAGCGATTCTCCTGCCTCAGCCTCCCGAGTAGCTGGGATTACAGCCATACACCACCACACCCGACTAATTTTGTGTTTTTAGTAGAGATGAGATTTCTCCATGTTGGTCAGGCTGGTCTCGAACTCCCTACCTCAGGTGGTCCACTCGCCTCGGCCTCCCAAAGTGCTGGGATTACAGGCAGGATCCACCGCGCCCGGCCCCCTATTGGGTCTTTAGTAGGATGGATTTGGTTCCTCTTGGTGCCCCAGAGAGCGAGGTTATGAATTGTCAGGGCTGGCTGGTTTAGCTTAGAGGAAACTACCAGTGCCTGCACTTAAGTCTTGGAGCTCTCCTTAGCCTGAATCTCAGGCCTGGTAAGAGGAACAGGAACTGAGTCTGCTGATTTGTGAATTGAGAATCTGCATTTGTGCAGCCCTCAAGACAGCCGCGTCCAGGGTTCTTGAGAACTGGCATAGGGACTTCTAAGAAAAGCCTCCTGGAAACACCTGCGGTTCTTGCTATTTGGGGATTTAACTGACCTTTTCTTAGAACTAAAATGTGAAGTTAATGCTTTAAAAGAGTCAAAACAGCTGGCTGTGGTGGCTCACGCCTGTAATCCCAACACTTTGGGAAGCCTCGGTGGAAGGATCCCTTGAGCCCAAGACTTCAGGACCAGCCTGGGCAACATAGACCCTATCTCTATAATTTTTTTTAATTGGCCTGGTGTGTTGGTACACACCTGTAGTCCCAGCTACTCAGGAGGCTGAGGTGGGAGGATCTCTTGAGCTCAGGAGGTTGAGGCTTCAGTGAGCCGTAGTTGCGCCACTGCACTTCAGCCCGGGTGACAGAGTGAGACCCCGTCTCAAACAAATTAGAGCCAAAAGAGGCATTGCTGTAGGTTCATGGTTTCCTGGGTTTCTTCCTAAGGACCCATTCACTTTTCTCACATGTACTGTTGTTCTCCTTTTCTCTTCTGGTGATTGTTCCATGCTGTCTTTTTCTTTCAAGATAGTCTCACTGGTCTCAAATGGTCGCTCTGACTGCTGCAGTCAAGCAGTGTCAGAAACAGAATCAGGCCCCTGCAGCTGCTGCTTCTATAGAAAGGAAACTGGAAGGAAGTCCTACGTGGAGGAGGACACTGTGGTCTAGAGAGGGGGTCACCAAGTGACAACCCAGTGTGTTTTTGTATGGTTCACACCTAAGAATAGTTTTTACATTTTTTAAATGGTTTGGAAAATTTTTAAAGGAGAGTATTTCATACTGGGAACATTACATGAATTTCAGATTTCAGTGTCTACACTTTGATTGAAATACAGCTGTGCTCAGTAGAAAATAGTTAAGATACCTAAAGCATCACCACGTGCATGTTCTATACTGATTTTACCCTACAGCAGCCGAGCTGCCTTGTTGTGACAGGCTGTGTGGCCTGTAGAGCCAAAGATATTTACTGTCTGACTCTTTACAGAAAATGTTTGCCAACTCTTGGGCTAGAATAAGCAGCCCTTTCCATTCCCAGCATTGGGGTCACACAGCAGGAGCCTCTGGCAGAGATTCAGTGGTGTTTGTCCCCTTAGGGCTGCGGAGTGGCAGCTGGACCAGCCATCATGGAGTGGCCGGCTGAGGATCACTGCAAAGGGACAGATGGCCTACATCAAGCTGGAGGACAGGACGTCAGGTAACCGGAAGGGAGGCTGCATCAAGCTGAGGGGCCGCACCCCACTTTATGAAGGGAGAGGTGGCCTGGTCTGGCCAGGCTGCTCAGGGGTCATGGGAACCTGTCCTGAAAAATCAGAGACGTGTGTGTACCTTTAAGCTGTACCATTCCCCCACCTTAGTTGTAGAAAGTACCGTCTCCAGGTGTAAAAATGAGTATTTCATGTCAAACACTAGTTCCTTTTAGGAGTCCTCAGGAAAATGTGGGGGCCAAGGAGAGGAGACCGCAGCTTGGTCCTGGTAGGAAGTAGGAAGCCCTGGAAGTGGCCTTGAAGACAGGCGGGTGAGGATGCACAGCCCTCTGCCGCTGGGCTCTGCTTCCTACTGAGGAATTGTTTATCAATGCAGCGGTAACTCCCAGAGCTGACCACACCCATTAACCGAAGAAGCTGGAAACTGTCCTACTCAGCTCTTTCTGTAGTGAGAGGACGAGCTGAGCTGGGTTGTGTTGGGGTCAGCTGGCAGAGATCGTCTTGGGGGAAACTTCACAAGTCCTGGGCCACCTGTGCCTCTGGGTGAGCTGTGGAGGGCAGTGCACCTGGAATCCCCCAGCCGAGACCCCTAGTGGGGTCGGACACAGTGTCTGCTCAGTCAGGTGCCACAACATTCGGTCATTTATTTTTTCTAATATGTAGAGATTTTCCTTTGTAGAGCAGAAGAGAAAGTGCAAAAGTTTAGAGAGAGAACTGGCTGCCTCTTCTCAGAACTATGTTCTGCCTGAGCTGCTGGATGTGGGGTGAGCCACATGACCTCTGGGGCCTTGGCCTCCTCCTTGTTGAAATGGGGATCATATTAGTTCCTCCTTCATAAGATTGTTGGAGAATAGGAAGTGAGCAGATATTTCTGTAATGCTTTACGGACTGCGAGGCAACCCAAAGCATTGATGTGTTCTTCGGGAACTTGGGTACTGGCGGCAGAGGAGTTTGGAGAGGCAGCTGCCATGGCCAGACCAGAGACTTTAAGCTGGAGAATTGCTGGGACACCCCAGGTAGTGTCATAAGAGAATGGTAACACCTCGTTCTCTGAGGAATTTGGTAACTGCGACTTTATTTTAAAAAATCATTTGTTTTTAGATGGAGTCTTGCTCTGTCACCCAGGCTGGAGTGCAGTGGCACGATCTCAGCTCACCACAACCTCTGCCTCACAGGTTCAAGCAATTCTCTGCCTCAGCCTCTCGGGTAGCTGGGATTACAGGCGCCCCCCCACCATGCCCAGCTAATTTTTTTTGTACTTTTAGTAGAGACGGGGTTTCACCATATTGGCCAGGCTGTTCTTGAACTCCTGACCTCGTGATCCGCCCACCTCGGCCTCCCAAAGTGTTGGGATTACAGGTGTGAGCCACTGTGCCCAGCCAGCTGTGACTTTAACATGACTCCCTAACGTAACAGGCACTGCCTAGGGCTGAGCCTCCCCTGTGGGACCCACCCCAAGGTGCTCTTAGCTCAAGGTCATGCCTGGGTCATGTTAGACTCTTACTTTCCCATGAGGTAATGAGCATATCACTCTAGGCCAGGCTTTCTCAGCTTCAGCACTGTTGACACCTGGGGCCAGATGAGTCTTTGTTTTGGAGAGCTGTGGAGCCCAGTGAGGACATTTCACAGCATTCTTGGCCTATGTCTAGCAGATGCCAGTAGCACCCCCCAAGTTGTGACAATCAAAATTATCTCTAGACATTGCCAGATGTCCTCTTGGGGACAGGGGAGCAAAATCACCCCTGATTGAGAACTACTGCTGTAGGCTGAAGGAATCTTGGTGAGGTTGGAACACAAGGCAGATAAATTGACAAGAAACCACAGACTCTAGGGCTGTTGGTTTTGAATCAGTTCAGCCTTGATTACAAAATTACCTCTTGCCTGGGCATGGTAGCTCATGCCTGTAATCCTAGCACTTTAGGAGGCCAAGACAGGTGGATCGCTTGAGCCCAGGAATTCCAGAGCAGCCTGGGCAATATGGCAAAACCCTGTCTCTAATAAAAATACAAAAATTAGCCAGGCGTGGTGGTGCACACCTGTGATCCCAGCTACTTGGGAGGCTGAGGCACAAGAATCACTTGAACCGAGGAGGTAGAGATTGCAGTGAGCCGAGATTGCGCCACTGCACTCCAGCCTGGGTGACAGAGCAAGACTGTCTCAAAAAGAAAAGAAAACAAAAAAAAGGCCGGGCACGGTGGCTCACCGCCTGTAATCCCAGCACTTTGGGAGGCCAGTGCAGGCAGATCACCTGAGGTCGGGAGTTTGAGACCAGCCTGACCAACACGGAGAAACCTTGCCTCTACTAAAAATACAAAATTAGCCGGGCGTGGTGGTGCATGCCTGTAAACCCGGCTATTCGGGAGGTTGAGGCAGGAGAATCGCTTGAACCTGGGAGGTGGAGGTTGCAGTGAGCCGAGATCGTGCCGTTGCACTTCAGCCTGGGCAACAAGAGTGAAACTCCGTCTTGGAAAAAACAAAAAACAAAGTTATCTCTAAACCACAGGATTCAGTAGAAGATATATGGTTAAATACTTAAAGCACCAGCCAGGTGTGGTGACTCACGCTTATAATCCCAGGGCTTTGGGAGGCCAAGGTGGGAGGATCACTTAAGACCAGGAGTTAGAGACCAGCCTGGGCAACATATCAAGACCCTATCTCTAACAAAAATTGAGTGGGCATGGTGGCATGTGCCTGTATTCCCAGCTACGTGAGAGGCTGAAGCGGGAAGATTACTTGAGCCCAGGAGTTCGAGGCTGCAGTGAGCTATGGTGCACTGCACACTGCACTTCAATCTGGGCAACAGAGCATGACCCTGTTTCTTTCTTTTTTTTTTTTCTTGTCATGTTGGCTGGAGTGGAGTGGCACAATCTCAGCTCACTGCAGCCTCCAACTCCTGGGGTCAGGGATCCTCCTGCCTCAGCCTCCCAGGGAGCTGGAACTAAATGTGCATGCCACCATGCCTGGCTTATTTTTGGATTTTTTGTAGAGACCAGGTTTCACCATCTTGCTCATGCTAGTCTCAAATTCCTGGGCTGGGCTGGGTGCAGTGGCTCACGCCTGTAATCCCAGCACTTTGGGAGGCTGAGGCAGGCAGATCACCTGAGGTCAGGCATTCAAGACCAGCCTGGCCAACATGGTGAAACACTGTCTCTACTAAAAATACAAAAATTAGTGGGGCGTGGTGGTGCATGCCTGTAATCCCAGCTACTTGGGAGGCTGAGGCAGGAGAATCACTTGAACCTGGGAGGCGGAGGTTGCAGTGAGCCGAGATTGCGCCGCTGCACTCCAGCCTGGGTGACAGAGGGAGACTCCATCTCAGGAAAAAAAAAAAAAAAAGGTATAAATCAAATTCCTGGGCTCAAGCAACGCACCCCACTTCAGCCTCCCAAAGTGCTGGGACCATACCCACTCCATGACCCTGTTTCTAAAAAACAAAACAAAAAATACTAAAAGCAACAACAGACGTCAGCACATGGGAAAAACTGATGCCAGTCATAAATGCTTGTGGAAATTTTATGTTGTGCCGCACTGTCGAGTGCTGTAGTTGACAAGGTGATGTGTTTCACAAGGGCTTTTAAAGCTAGTCACGCTTGCCCTGTCTCAGATTGAATTAAATCAGCCTGCTTCAGATTCCCTATGGGTATGAAAACTTCCTCCCTTCTTTCCTCGGGGCTCACTGGCCCCTCTTATAGTCCTGCCTCAGGTACTAGCCTCTTCAGCAGGTGTGATTACCTAGGCCAGGGTTCACCTGTTCTAGGACACTCAGGGTTCAGGTAATATAAGTGGGTAAAGCAGATGGAATGGATGGGCTAGCAGCTCCAACTTATTCTCAGGTGGGCTTGGAGGCTCAGCATTAATAAAGCTTAATTTTAAGAGAGGCCAGGCAGAATACCAAACTGTGAGCTAAATTTGACCTGTAAGCTCTCTGACTTAAGCCTTTCCTTGATTATATTTTCTGTGTCTTCCCTTTAGCAAGAATGGATTCGATTTGAATCCCACAGTAAGGTTTGCCGATCTGTCTCAGCTGGTTAGAGATGCCTTGCGGGCAAAAGGCCCAGTAGTGTGGTAGAAAACCTTGGCTGGAAGGGGGCTCAGGGCTCAGCGCTCAGCCTAACCTGTGCTTTCAGGGGAGCTCTTTGCTCAGGCCCCGGTGGATCAGTTTCCTGGCACAGCTGTGGAGAGTGTGACGGATTCCAGCAGGTACTTCGTGATCCGCATCGAAGATGGAAATGGTAGGCATGGGTCCTGGTGCTTCCTCCTCTTGGGAAAGGTTTTCTCTGCCTTTGGAAGGTGGGTTGATCATGTGTTGTTCCCCAGGGCGACGGGCGTTTATTGGAATTGGCTTCGGGGACCGAGGTGATGCCTTTGACTTCAATGTTGCATTGCAGGACCATTTCAAGTGAGTGGGTCTGGGAGACACACGCTCATGCCCCTCCCTTCTTTCCCTGGACAGAATGATCTCCCAGGTTAGGATACCCAAGTGTTTGTGTGTGATTTGTCTGGCAGCAGAGACTCAGGAGAACCCAGGACAAGCCACCTCTCTTCTCTGCCAATGTTCATCTCTGCTGTAAAGCCTTCTCTTTTACCTGAGGCTCATCTCTACCATCCCAGCCTTCGGGCCTGCCACCTGTCTCCCCTTACCAGTCCCCTGAGCAGCCAGAGTCCTCATCAGGCTCCTGTGGCCTTTCTGGGCCTGCTCCTCCATGTAATCAATGGCGCTTGGATTCCCAGGGCACCCAGCAGATGCCCTGATGTCCTTTTCTGAAGCTAAGAGACAGGGCAGGAAGTCCTCCTCCACCATCTGCAGGGCTCGAACTCAGGCTGCCAGTGAGTGGGCTGTGCCCGGCCACTCACATGGGCGCCTCTGGCTCTTCCCTTACCGGTGCTGCTGGGTGGTGTGGTATGGAGGGTGGGGGACTTTTGTGTTGCCCTCTACTTTTGGGTATCTGTCTTGTCCCCCCGTCTGCCTTCTGAGTGTTTGAGGGTGTGTAGAGACCGCATCTTAGTTCTCATGTCATATACTGTAGAGGGAAGGGCAGGCTCTCACGTGTCCTAGAGATAGTGTTAGGACCCTCTACGTAAGTGATCTCGCTGCATTCGTAGCCATCTTGAAAACCTATAGAATTGTGGGCATATTTTGCTGATGAGGAAACCAATGTGCATGCCGCTACTTAAGTGTCAGATTGGGATTTGAATTCAGGCCTCACTCCCAAGCCTGCACTCTTTCCAGCACCCCGTCTCACTACGAGGCTCAGCCTGGACTGATAGCAGGCAGTAGTGAAGTGAGCCAGTGATTGCAGGGCAGCTGGTCTCTTCCTTCCTCACCTTTTTCCTCATGTTCTCTCCCCAGGTGGGTGAAACAGCAGTGTGAATTTGCAAAACAAGCCCAGAACCCAGACCAAGGCCCTAAACTGGACCTGGGCTTCAAGGAGGGCCAGACCATCAAGCTCAACATCGCAGTGAGTTCTACCCTTGCTTGGCTGTGGTGACGTGATACTTGTGGCCACCCAGCCCCAGAGCCCATTGCTCTTCTTACAGTTCAGCTCCTTCAGTTCAGCAGATGTTTAGTGAGCATCTGCCTTGTGCCAGGTCCTGCATCGGGGTGAACAAGAGACCTCTGTTCTCATGGAGCTCAGAGTTGAGCTGAGACAGGCAGGTAAAAATGTGATAACAACATGGCAGGAAAGGTTCCATGACTAAGGGATGCCCTGGGTGCCGTGGGCTCCTAGAGGAAGGGTGTGCAGCCCATAGTTGTGGGAACCAAGGAAGGCTTCCTGGAAGAAGGGACCTGTAGGCAAGGGAAGAGTGATCAAAGAGTGGTTCACACAGAGGAACAGCAGGTGCAAAGCCTCTGAACTGAGAAGGAGCATCAGTCATTTGCTGCCAGAGGTGGTGTTTCTGTCCTAGCTATTAGAGTGCATCAGGAGGGACCTGTGTGCTCATCCCAGGCTGTGTCTTGAATAAGGAAGATTTGGGAGAGTTCTGGCAGGAGGGCGTTGAGGTGGGCGCTGGGAGTCCTGGGCAGCTTGTGCTGATGGTGTTGTCCTGGCTCCTGTGTCTTCGTTCTGAGCTGCTCTGCCTCTGGCTTCCCTCCCGTCAGCTCCTGTTCATAGGAACAGGTTGGGCTGGGCTGGGCTGGGCTGGGTTGCCTAAAGTTGGCCTTTACCTGGCTGCAAGGGTGGAGAGGGGAGATGAGGTCAGAGTCATGATTGCGGGGACCCAAGGACCAAGTGGATTGGTTTTTGTTTTTGCTAGGAATACTGTGTTGAGATGGATTTGTTTTTTCAAGAAGCTTTGTAACTCTAAAATAATGCTTTTCCTCTTTACTTACTCTTTCTCCTCTTTTCTGCTTCGTGCTGGTGATGATTTGGGATCCTTGAAGTTGGCCAGCTGGCCCTTAAGAGAGAAATGCAAGTCCAATCCAGTGGACTGGTTGGGATGTGATTCTTTCTCTCGCTTGGAGGAAACTAACATTTAATGAGCATCAGCTGAGGGCCAGGTAGTGGTTTTTTTTTGTTTTGTTTTGTTTTTTGTTTTGTTTTGTTGTTTTTTTTTTTTAGGCATTTCTCATGTGAATTAAACATCCTCTCCCTTTCCTCCATGAGATGAGGAAATGGAGGCTTAGGGAGGGTTGGGGACTTGCCCAGGGTCACAGAGCTAGAAATAACTGGCACAGCTGTGCTCACACTGAGGTCTTTGAGGTCTTTTGACTTCAGGGCTGGACTTACGATTTTATTAAGCTGCTGCTTTCCTTACAAGTAGGGAACACATTATCTTCATCTGTGTAACTTGTGCTGCTTTCTGGCTCATGCTTGGTGCTCAGTTTTTTTTTTAAAGCATTTTCTTGAAGTATAATGTGCATGTAAAAAAGTGTACAAATCATAAATGCAGAACTCTGTGAAATTTAAAAAATCTAATCTATAGGCTGGGAGTGGTGGCTCACGCCTGTAATCCCAGCACTTTGGGAGGCTGAGGTGGGCGGATCACCTGAGGTCGGGAGTCCGAGACCAGCCTGACCAACATGGACAAACCCTGTCTCTACTAAAAATACAAAATTAGCCGGGCATGGTGGTCCATGGCTGTAATCCCAGCTACTCCGGGGGCTGAGGCAGGAGAATTGGCTTGAACCTGGGAGGTGGAGGTTGCAGTGAGCTGAGATCGAGCCATTCATTGCACTCCAGCCTGGACAACAAGAGCGAAACTCTGGCTCAAAAAACAAAACAAAACAAAACACCCAATTTATAAACTTGCACCTTGCTCAAGATGCAAAAGATTGTCAGCACTCTGGAAACACCTCTCCTGGCCCCTCCCAGTAACTGCCCTGAGTAACCCCATCCTGACTTCACATACCCTAGATTTTGTTTGTTCTTAACTTTCATGAATTGAATCATACACCTAATCTTGATTTGGAATGATTTCTTTCTTTTACTCAATGTAATTTTTGTGAGAGTCATCCATGGTGTTGCGTGTAGTTTGTTCATTCTCATTGTTGTGGCATGTACCATTGTGAGAATTCACCCGATTTATTTATGTTTTACTGATGATGGACATTTGGGTAGTTTCCAGTTTGGGGCGATTACAAATAATGCTGCTGTAGATGTTTGAGTTCATGTTTTTGGTGCATATATGTATGATTTCTGTTGGTTTATATCTAGGAGTGGAACTGCGGAGTCATAAGTTTAAGTTCCTATGTTGAGCTTTATAATCCTTTCAAATAATTTTTCAAAGTAGTTTTACCAGTTTACACTTAAGCCAGCAGCGCGTGAATGGTTACTTCATATCGTAGTCAATACTTGATAATCTACATTTTAGCCATTCTGGTGAGCGTGTAATGGTATATCATTATAGCTTTGATCTGCATTTCCCTGATGAATGAAGTGGGGGTGCTGGGTTTTAAAATGGACCTTATTTGTGAGAGATTCAGAATGATGATGCACTAAGTATAGCTCATAGCAATGGAGGTGCTAGGTAGGACCATCTTTTGGTTACACAGATGTTGGGGGTCTGGGGTCACCTTGGCCCTCCTTGTGGGGTTTTCTGGTAGCATTGGGACTCCAGCAGAACGGGCTGATTTGCATTCCTCTTCCCTCTTTAGAACATGAAGAAGAAGGAAGGAGCAGCTGGGAATCCCCGAGTCCGGCCTGCCAGCACAGGAGGGCTGAGCCTGCTTCCCCCTCCCCCAGGGGGGAAAACCTCCACCCTGATCCCTCCCCCTGGGGAGCAGTTGGCTGTGGGGGGATCCCTCGTCCAGCCAGCAGTTGCTCCCAGTTCAGGTTAGTGCTCAGTGGGTGACTGCTGCATCAGTACCTGCCGGCTCCTCTTCTCCCTGGCAGCCAGGCCCCATGGTTTCCCCCCCGTTACACACATGGATTGGTCATGTAGTACCTGTCCGTGTCAAAGAAGGCGGGCACCCAAAGCTCATTCTGCACACGCTGGGTAAGGGGCTCCTCCTACTTGGCCTTTAGGGCGTCTGCCCTCCCCTGAGAGGCCAGGGCTGCGACTTGTTAGTTACTGTGAAATCATCAACATGTCGGTTCCTGGTTCCCAGTGTCTGCTCAGTGGGTATTGAGTGAGTGGGTAATGGAGACACAGTCTCTGCTCACGTGTAGTGAGAGAGATGAGTCACAGCACAGAGACCAAATGTGTAGGGCCTAGACCCACCATCAGCTGCTGTGATCTGGAGAGGTTTCATGAAAGAGGTGACATTGATCTGGACCTTGAAGGAAGGAGATAGAGTGGGAGTGGTTGGCATTCCAGGCAGAGAGAAGAACACGAATGAGGCCCAGACTTTTAGACACCTGGTGTATTTAGGGAGATGGGTACAGCATAAGGTGTGCCAAGGTGAGTGGTGGGAAATGAGATTTCGTTTGGAGTGAGCACCTCGGGTGTGGGAATCTGAGAGCATTTGCCCTGGCAGTTTGTGCTGAGGAGCCCTTAGGAGACCCTGGGATTCCGGAAGCGAGTGTCTAGTGTCAGCTTCTGACCACGCTGGGGTGCCAGCCCTTTTCCTCTACCTCCCCGCGCGCCCCCCCCGCCCGCCGCCCCGCCCAGCCCAGCTTGATGCTCCTGGCCTTCCCCAGGCTGGGCGATTGTCACCAGCGTGCCTTCTGCACACAGCTCTCCCCAGCTTGCAGGCAGGAAGCCTTCCTGCTTTACTGATTCCTAAGCCTCCCCAACATTGGCTGCCCTATCTGGAGGTCAAGCTTCAGACTTCAGTCCTGTGGGGAGAGTGGCAGGAGGGGCAGTCAGAGAGCCCCGGCCCGGTACCAGGAACTGTTCTTTAAGTGCTATTTCTCAGAGTGGGGTCATAGGACCACTTGCTTTGGCATCGCTGGGGGATGGGGGCAAGAATCTGCATTCTTGTGTCTTTTTTTTTTTTTTGAAATGGAGTTTTTTTGCTCTTGTTGCCTAGGCTGCAGTGTAATGGTGTGATCTCGGCTCACTGCAACCTCTGCCTCCTGGGTTCAAGTGATTCTCCTGCCTCAGCCTCCTGAGTAGCTGGGATTACAGGCATGTGCCTCCACACCCAGCTAATTTTGTAATTTTAGTAGAGACAGGGTTTCTCCATGTTGGTCAGGCTGGTCTTGAACTCCCAACCTCAGGTGATCCGCCCGCCTCAGCCTCCCAAAGTGCTAGGACTACAGGCGTGAGCTACTGCACCCGGCCCTTATGTTTGTTCTTGTTTGTGTGTTGACTAAAGTCTGAGAGCTACTACCTTAGGCCTTCCTAAGCAACCAAGGTTGCTGATGGATATTTATTTATTTAAGATGGAGTCTTGCTCTGTCACCCAGGCTGGAGAGCAGTGGCATGTTCTCGGCTCACCGCAACCTCCACCTCCTGGGTTCAAGTGATTCTTCTGCTTCAGCCTCCTGAGTAGCTGAGATTACAGGCACGCACCACCACGCCCAGCTAAGTTTTGTATTTTTAGTAGAGACAGGGTTTCACTGTGTTGGCCAGGATGGTCTCGATCTCCTGACCTCGTGATCTGCCCGCCTCAGCCTCCCAAAGTGCTGGGATTACAGGCATGAGCCACCGTGCCTGGCCTTGCTGATGCATTTTTAACAGCATTTTAATTTTAATATGGTGCACTTGCTGTGTGCCAGGTAGAGTTCTAGGCACTGGTACGTATAGCATCCAGTTTCAGCTCTCAAGGGCTTGTTTTCTGGTGTCTGAGACAGGCAGTTAGCATGTCAACAAACAAAATGGTGTCAGATAATAAGTCATGAATATCAACATTTATGAAGCACTTACTATATGAACAATATGGTTGGGTTCAAATTTCAGCTTACTAGCTTTGTGATATTTATTTATTTATTTTTATTTTTTATTTTTGAGATGGAGTTTTTTGCTCTTGTTGCCCAGGCTGGAGTGTGATGGCGCAATCTCGGCTTACCACAACCTCTGCTTCCTGGGTTCAAGCGACTCTCCTGCCTCAGCCTCCCAAGTAGCTGGGATTACAGGCATGCGCCACCTCACGTGGCTAATTTTGTATTTTTAGTGGAGACGGGGTTTCTCCATGTTGGTCAGGCTGGTCTTGAACTCCTGACCTCAGGTGATCCTCCCGCCTTGACCTCCCAAAGTGCTGGGATTACAGGCATGAGCCACCGCACCTCGCCTACTTATTTATTTTTAAGAAGGAGTCTCACTCTGTTGCCCAGGCTGGAGTGCAGTGGCATGATCTCAGCTTACTGCAACCTCCGCTTCCTGGGTTCAAGCAATTCTCCTGCCTCAGCCTCCCAAGTAGCTGGCATTACAGGCATGCACCACCATACCTGGCTAATTTTTGTAATTTTAGTAGAGACAGAGGTTTCACCACGTTGGCCAGGCTGGTCTCGAACTCCTGACCTCAGGTGATCCACCTGCTTCAGCCACCCAAAGTGCTGGGATTACAGGCTGAGCCACTGTGCCCAGCCCAGTTTTGTGATCTTTAGAAAATCACTTCTCCATGCCTCATTTTTCTCATCTGTAGGATAGGGGAAGTAATGATACTTAAAATATAAGTTTCTTGTGAGGATCAAATAAGCTGATTTATGTATAGCACTTAGAACAATTTTTGGAACATTCTAAGTGCTCACTGAATGTTAGATCTCATTTTATTAATATCGTTATTGCCACTATATGCTGGACCTGTTCTAAGCATTCTGTGGATATTTAATCTTCACACCAGTCCTATGGAGTAGTTCCTGTTATTTTCAGCATTTTAGAGGTAAGAGAATGGAAACTGAAATGACCTGCACAGTCACGTGGCTCATCCCAATCTGTCTTTCCCTAGGGGCTGGGGTGAGGTTCACAGAAGATAATGTGCCTTGAGCACTTGGTGAACTGTAAAACTCTAAACCATTGAGGGCCCTAGTTTTATCTGTTCTCCTGGCCCAGAGCAGATTAGAAATAGCAACTTAGTGCCAAGGTGGAGGGTGGCAAACACAGGCCCTTCAGAAGGGCAGTTGGCAGCACTGGGGGAGGTGCCTGAAAAGCACAAAAGCAGGCATTGCAGCCCCATGGCGTCGCCTACCTTGGTGGAGAGATAGGATTGAGCTTCTGTGTGAGCTCTTTGGAATGCTCTTCCTGACCCCTAACCAGTTTGGGGCCTGGGACTTGGCACGTGGCTGGCACGTAGTGTTCTCAGCCAGTTCATCCAGACATGGTAGTGCAGGCTTGATATGAAGATGATCTTGCGGTTTTGGTGGACATTCTCCGTTCAAGAAGCTAAGACGGGTTATAGTAAATTTTAAATAGATTTCAACATAAATGGTTGATAACAAAGTCAGCTTCAGGTATGCATGTTAGATGACGTGAGACTAACCACCCATCCCGCGGGCACCCCTCGTTCCACCTTGTATGTGGCTTTCTGCGTTTTCTCCAGAGCGCACAAGGGCTGGTGAGAAGATGCTGGAAGTGTGGCAACTCAGGGTGTTTGGTTGCCCAAAAGCATGTCTGGTGTGGCTTTCCCAGCTACCTGGTGTCATGAGACTGATCACTGAGTCTCATGATTTGGTCATTGAAACAACCAGAAAGGTCTCTGACTTCTCTGTCCCCTCTTCTCTTCCTACGGGTCGGACTCGGGAACATCAATAGGAGGTGCTCCTGTACCCTGGCCACAGCCCAATCCTGCCACTGCTGACATCTGGGGAGACTTTACCAAATCTACAGGGTAAGGAGGGCCATGTTCTGCGGAGGGGCTGGGGCCAGGGCCGTTGCTCTACAAACCTGGTATTGTTCCACATGCCTGCCTTCTGGTGTTAGGATTAGGAGTAACAGTTTTAATTTGGATGTTTTCTTTTCTTTTTTTTTTTTTTTTGAGAGGGAGTTTTGCTCTTGTTGCCCAGGCTGGAGTGCAATGGCATGATCTTGGCTCGCTGCAACCTCTGCCTCCCAGGTTCAAGCTATTCTCCTGCCTCAGCCTCCTGAGTAGCTGGGATTACAGGCACCTGCCACCACGCCTGGCTAATTTTTTATATTTTTAGTAGAGATGGGGTTTTACCATGTTCGTCAGGGTTGTCTTGAACTCCTGACCTCAGGCGATCCACCTGCCTCGTCCTCCCAAAGTACTGGGATTACAGGCATGAGCCACCGCGCCTGGCCTGATTTGGATGTTTTCAAGCTAGCCAGAGGACAGAGCCCCAGCGTGCCTGCTTTGGGTGGCACACGTCTTTCCGTGGAGGTTTTGCTGCTTTCCAGTGCTATATAGCCTGGGGCAACCCTTTGCAAATCTGGGCCTTTAAACCGCCTTCCCAAGTGCTTTGGCTTGTCCCCAGTACCTCCTTCTTCTATACCCCATCCCCCACCTTCCCCAAAATAGTGGACTGAGAGTTCAGACCCAGGCTCCAGCCTCAGCCCATCCTCATAGAACGCCTGAGGCTAGGTGGCTTGTCTTCTCTGATTCCATAAGATCTCAAGACTTTACTTGGGGCCAGGGTGAAAAGATACTAAATTCCTACTGCACTATTATTTACATGGACAGATTCTAGGACAGGGGTCAGCACACATTTTCTTTTTCTTTTCATGTTTTGAGACAGGGTCTCTCTCTGTCACCCAGGCTGGAGTGCAGTGGCACTATCACGGCTTACTGCAACCACATTCTCCCATGTTGCTGGCTCTACAGGTGCACATCACCATGCCAGCTATTTTTTGTATTTTTTCATAGATACGGGGTTTTGCCATGTTGCGCAGGCTGGCCTTGAACTCCTGGGCTCAAGCGATCTGCCTGCCTCGGCCTCCCAGAGTGCTGGGATTATAGGCACGAGCCAGTGTGCCCAGCCACATTTTCTGTAAAGGACTAGATAGCAAATAGTTTAGACTATTCAGGCCGTGTGGTCTTCGTTCTAGCTACTCAGTTCTGCTCTTGTTGCACAAAAGCAGCCACAGACAATATGTAAATAAATCAGCATGGCTGTGTGCCAGTAAAATTTTATTTACAAAAATAGAGGCATGGGCTGGGCGCGGTGGCTCATGCCTGTAATCCCAGCACTTTGGGATTCCCAGGCAGGCGGATCACCTGAGGTCAGGAGTTCAAGACCAGCCTGGCCAACATGGTCAAACCCCATCTCTACTAAATACACAAAAATTAGTTGGGCGTGGTGGGGTGGTGCCTGTAATCCCAGCTACTTGGGAGGCTGAGGCACGAGAATTGCTTGAACCCGGGAGATTGCAGTCAGCTGACATCATGCCACTCTAGTCCAGCCTGGGTCACAAGAGCAAGACTCCATCTCAAAAAACAAATAAACAAACAAAAAAAACAGAGGCGTGAAATGAGGACTGTAACCCTTTTCCTGTTTGCCCTGAGAAAACTTGCCAGTGGCACTTCAGACTGCAGCGTTGACCCTGAGATAACTTTGCCACAAAATGTATTGCTTTTATATTATTTTTGCATCGCTCTAGTATATCAGCTTTGGAACAAAAGACATTCTATTTATAGCATTCTGTTTTTAATAGTGGTATTTCCATTTACAAAATATAGTAATTCTGTTTTTTTTTTTTTTTTTTTTTTGAGACAAGGTTTCACTCTGGTTGCCTAGGCTGGAGTGCAGTGGCGTGATGTCGGCTCACTGCATCCTTGACCTTCCAGGCTCAGGTGATTATCCCTTAGCCTCCTGAGTAGCTGGGACTACAGGCAATTGCCACCACACCCGGCTAATTTTTTGTATTTTTAGTAGAGGCGGGGTTTTGCTATGTTGCCCAGGCTGGTCTGGAACTCCTGGAATCCAGCAGTCCGCCTACCTCAGCCTCCCAGAGTGCTGGGATTACAGGCGTGAACTACCATGCCTGGCCCAAAATATAGTAATTATTGATTACTGAAAAAGTCAAATCCTAGAAAACGCAGCATTCTTACATGTGATGTTAACATCGTTCTTGAACAGTTTTTAGCCTAAGATTCATTTGAGGAGTCTGATTTTTCCAAAATAGTTCTGATTATTCAGATGATTCTGAAATAACTCCAAGAACAGTTTTTATATTTTATTTTCACGTTGAAAATCAGTCAGATTTGCTTCAGCCTCAAAGAGCATGTTTATGTAAAATTAAATGAGGGCTGGCAGTGAGCTATATTTTTTCTACATGGGAAAGGGGTTAAGACTCTTCGGCCAGGCATGTTGGCTCACGCCTGTAATCCCAGCACTTTGGGAGGCCAAAGCAGGCAGATCACTTGAGGCCAGGAGTTCGAGACCAGCCTGGGCAACATGGCAAAACCCTGTGTCTACTAAAAGAAATACAAAAATTAACCGGTCATGTAGTTCCAGCTACTAGGGAGGCTGAGGTAGGAGGATCGCTTGAGCTCAAGAGGTTGAGGCTATAGTTGGCCTTGAGTGTGCCACTGCATTCCAGCCTGGGCGACAGTGAGACCCTGTCTCAAAAAAAAAACAAAACAAAAAACAAAACCACAAACAAAAAACTTTGGTAAATACAGTTACATTAACTATTTAAAAAAAAAAAACCATCGAGGGCCAGATTTGGTCTCTGTGCCAGAGTTTGCTGACTGCTGCTCTAGAACATTTAGGAACTGGCTTCTTAGAGCTTTTTCTGTCCAGAGAGAAACCAACTTTTATCTGCTTTGTATTTTCAAAGATCTGAACTCCCCCACCCTTCCCTGTCTTCTCTTTACAGATCAACTTCCAGCCAGACCCAGCCAGGCACAGGCTGGGTCCAGTTCTGACCTGAGCACGGTTTTTCCTCATGTGACTTCTGGGAAGGCGCTCCCTCATCTGGGCCAAAGGAAGGAGGACGAAGCCCTCCTCAGCTGGCCTGTGTTTGGGGCATGAATCTCTCCTCTCCTCCTTGTCTGGCTCTGTTGACAAACCGGGCATGTTTGGCAGTAAATTGGCACCGTGTCACACTGTTTCCTGGGATTCAAGTATGCAACCAGAACACAGGAGAAGAAAAGCTCCAGGATCCCTGTCCCCATCTGTCCTCTTGATGTGAGAGAGACTCTGAGACTTCTTCCATCGCAATGACCTGTATTAAACACAAGCCCCCCAAGCAAAAGAAGAGGTTGAGTTTGCTGCCAGGATTCAGATCAGCCCTTCCCAGGGTCTGCAGGTGTCACATGATCACAGTTCAGCGGGAGGCTTTCCGTACCCACACTGGCTGTAGCCACTTCAGTCCATCTGCCCTCCAGAGGAGGGGTTTCTTCCTGATTTTTAGCAGGTTTAGAGGCTGCAGCTTGAGCTACAATCAGGAGGGAAATTGGAAGGATTAGCAGCTTTTAAAAATGTTTAAATATTTTGCTTTGCTAATGTGCTGATCCGCACTAACTCATCTTTGCAAAAGGAACTGCTCCCTCGGCGTGCCCCAGCTGGGGCCTCTGAAGGGATTCCTCACTGTGGGCAGCTGCCCTGAGCTTCAGGCAGCAGTGTTTATCTCTGGCCAGTTGTCTGGTTTCCATGTATTCTAGGCCAGGTAGGCAACACAGAGCCAAGGCGGGTGCTGGAAGCCAGACGGAACAGTGTTGGGGCAGGAAGGTGGATGCTGTTGTCATGGAGCTGTGGGAGTTGGCACTCTGTCTGCTGGTGGCCCTCTCGGCTCACATGTTCACAGTGCAGCTCCTGGCAGACTTGGGTTTTCTCTTTGGTGGTTTCTAAAGTGCCTTATCTGCAAACAACTTCTTTTCTCCTTCAGGAACTGTGAATGGCTAGAAGAAGGAGCTCAGTAAACTAGAAGTCCAGGGTTGCTTGGTTTACTGGTTTATAAGAAATCTGAAAGCACCTCTGACATTCCTTTTATTAACTCACCTCTCAGTTGAAAGATTTCTTCTTTGAAAGGTCAAGACCGTGAACTGAAAAAAGTGTTGGCCTTTTTGCGGGACCAGATTTTTAAGATAAAATAAATATTTTTACTTCTGTCATTGTATGTGAAAGATGAATGTGTTTCTGGCCGCGTGGCTGTTAAACTCTTCAGGGTGCCACAGCTAGACTCACGGCCACTTCTCTCACCACTGACCAAGTGTCCAGATTGAAAGTTCAGGGCTGGGGTGTGAGGCTGGCCAAAGTGAGGAAATGCAACCTTGTTGTCTAAGGCAATCGGTACCTTCTCTCCTGTGTTCTCTAGGATAGTACAGTCTTTTCATCATCCTTTGGTTGATGTGAAAGTAGTTGCTTGAATCACTTTGTGTGGGGCTTAATTCTCTTGTGGCGTCTCATGATACAGGCCGTTCTAGAGAGCCTGGCCCCTTGCTTTCCGTCTTCCACCAAACCTACCGGCAGAGCATCTCCCTAAGTAGTAAAGGGGTGCAGATACCCAGAGGTCAAAAGTAAAATTAAGAGGCCGGGTGCAGTGGCTCACGCCTGTAATCCCAGCACTTTGAGAGGCCAAGACGGGAGGATCATTTGAGGCTGGGAGTTTGGGACCAGCCTGGGCAACATAGTAAGATGCATTTCTTTCCTTTTTTTTGAGACACAGTCTCAGTCTGTTGCCCTGGCTGGAGTGCAGTGGAGCAATCTTGGTCACTACAACCTCCGCCTCCCAGGTTAAAGTGATTCTCCTACCTCAACCTTTCCAGTAGCTGAGATTACAGGCACCTACCACACCGAGCTAATTTTTGTATTTTTTCAGTAGAGATGGGGTTTCACCATGCTGGCCAGGCTGGTCTCAAACTCCTGACCTCAAGTTATCTGCCCGCCTTGGCCTCCCAAAGTGCTGGGATTATAGGCGTGAGCCACGGCACCCGGCTGTTAGACCCCATTTCTTAAAAAAAAAAAAAAAAAAAAAAATTAGTGTGGTGGTGGTGCATGCTTGGAATCCTAACTACTTGCGAGGCTGAGGTGGGAGAATTGCTTGAGCCCAGGAGTTTGAGGCTGCAGTGAGCTATGATCACGGCCTCGCACTCCAGTCTAGGCAGCAGTGAGACCCTAGAGAATTCTCTAAAAGAATTAAAAATGAAAAAAAGCCACAACACTTCTTTTGCCTGAGGATTCTGTAAGAAGCAGTTTTTATTGTTATGGAAATAGCCACTCTGATTAAGAAACTGTAGAGAGGAGAAAGAAAATGAAAATTGAAGATTCTCTTGCCCATTGAATTAAGGGTAAGGAGATTGCATTAAAGGATCTTCGGGAGCAGTAACTTTTTTATGTCGATTTCACATAGCATTACTTCACATCGAGTCAGTTTTAAGTACTTGGAGGGTGGAAATCAGAAAGCTTAGATGTAGAGGAAGCTTTATTAGAAGTGTGTACCATGGCTGGGTGTGGTGGCTCATGCCCACAATCCCAGCACTTTGGGAGGCCGAAGTGGGTGGCTTACTTGAGGTTAGGAGTTCGAGACCAGCCTGGCGAACATGGTGAAACCCCGTCTACTAAAAATACAACAATTAGCCAGGCATGGTGGCGCACGCCTGTAATCCCAGCTACTTGAGAAGCTGAGGCATGAGAATTGCCTCCAGGAAGTGGAGGTTGCAGTGAGCTGAGATCATGCCACTGTACTCTAGCCTGGGCAACAGAGCAAGACTGTCTCAAAAGGAAAAAAAAAAAAAGTATGTACCATTGAAGATCAGCACTTGGATTGTGGAGACAGACCTGGCCTTAGGATCTAGGCTATCCCCTGGTTAGACGTGTGGCCACAGGCTGTTCCTTCACCTGAGCGTCACTCGGATGAGGCACTAGCAGATGCACATTGCATTGTTTGACCTTAATGACCTTTCTCTGGAGTCAGGTAAGTACCCAGAACAGTTCATCATGGTAGGGAGGAGGAGGTGGCACAGCTGATGACACAGCCCTCAGGAATCTAGCCTGAAAAGCACCTTGTGGGGTCTGGGGCCAGGAGCAAGGGACAGCTTGATGCTGTCCATCACTAACTGGAATCCCAGCTGGAAAAAACTCATTACAGGACCAGAATCTCCAGGAAAACTCAATCCCAAACCAGGCATCACTTCAATTACACCCCTGACTGGAGTTTACAAACTGGTGGGTGGATGGTAGAAGATGGCTGCTTTCTTGGGGGGTATGCTAGACCTCACTTGCCCTCTGCACAACAGAATTTGGATGCACTGGGAGGTGTGGCAGATAGACTCCCAGGTGGTCACTGTGATCCCCACCTGCTGTTCACAGCCTTATGTACTCCCTGCCCCTTGAGATGGCCTAGACCTGTGACTGCTAACCAGTAGAGTGCCACAAAGGTGACAAGATGTTATTTTCATGGTTGCCTTATGTAAGACTGCAACATCTGCCTTGCTGAGAAATTCTCTTGCTGGCTTTGAAGAAGGAAGCTGTCATGTTGTGTGAGCTGCCCTTGGGAGAGGGTCAGGTGGCTAGGAACTGAGGTAGCCTCTGACAGCCAACAAGAAACTGAAGCTCAGTCCAGCAGTCTGCAAGAAAGCAAATGCTGCCAGCAACCACACAAGCTTGGAGGCTGATCACTCCCAGGTAAGCCTTCAGGTGAGACCCCAGGCCTGACCAACACTGACTGCAGCCTTGCAGAGGACCAGCTAAGCTGTGCCCAGACTGTCCCATAGGAACAGATGGTAAATGTATTGTGTTAAGTCGCTAAGTTTCTGGTAAGGTTATGCAGCAATAGATAACCAACACAAAGGTTAGCAAAGTGTGTTTGAGGTGGGAATCAGTGTGGAAAAGAGAGAATCTGGATAGACTTAATAGCTGTAGGGCCTTGGGAGGTCCCTTATGATGCTCCTTTGGGCCTTCCTGTTGCCTTTAAGTAATGCTTATTGTTTATTGCTAAAGTAATGCTTAACTCTCTGCTAGGCACTATTCTATGCACTTATAAAACTCATTGCATCATCTCTACAACCCCATGAGGTAAGGACTTGTTTTTTTTGTGTTTTGAGACAGTCTCGCTCTGTGGCCCAGGCTGGAATGCAGTGGCATGATCTCAGCTCACTGCAACCTCTGCCTCCTGCGTTCAAGCAGTTCTTCTGCCTCAGCCTCCGAGTAGTTGTGATTACAGACGTGTGCCAGTACTTCCGGCTAATTTTTTTGATTTTTAGTAGAGACGGGGTTTCATCATGTTGGCCAGGCTGGTCTCAAATTCCTGACCTCAAGTGATCAGCCTGCCTTGGCCTCCTAAAATGCTGGGATTACAAGTGTGAGCCACCGCACCTGGCCAGTAAGTACTTGTTTTAGTCTATTTGGGACTATGACAGAATAACATAGCCTGGGTAGTTTATAAACAAAAGAAATTTTTTGCTCACAGTTCTGGAGGCTGGGAAGTCCAAGGCACCAGCAGATTCGGTGTCTGGTGAGGCCGTCTTTTTGCTGTAACCTCACATGGTAGAAGGGGCAATAGAGTACTCTGGGGACTTTTTTTTTTTTTTTTTTTTTTTTTTAAGAGATGGAGTCTTGCTATATTGACCAGGCTGATCTCAAACTCCTGGCCTCAAGTGATCCTCCTGCTTTGGCCGCCCAAAGTGCTGGGCTTAAAGGCATGAGCCACCACATGGGAATGGCACTGCCTTTTTTTTTTTTAAAGATAGTTTTGCTCTTATTGCCCAGGCTGGAGTGTGATCTTGGCTCACTATAACCTCTGCCTGTTGGGTTCAAGCAATTCTCCTGCCTTAGCCTCCCAAGTAGCTGGGACTACAGGCACATGCCACCACGCCCAGCTAATTTTTGTATTTTTAGTCAAGATGGTGTTTTGCCTTATTGGCCAGGCTGGTCTCAAACTCCTGACCTCATGATCCACCTGCCTCAGCCTCCCAAAGTGCTGGGATTATAGGCGTGAGCCACCACACCTGGCTGGGGCTTCCTTATAAGGGCAATACTGTTTGTGAGGGCTCTACGCTTATGACATAATTACCTTCCAAAGAACTCACCTCCAAATACCATCATACTAGGGGTTAGGTTTCAGTATGAATTTGGAGGTGGGGGTGGACACAAATGTTTATAGCAGTACTCATCCCTGTTTCGAAAATGAGAAATGCAGAGAAATTATATAATTTGTTCAAAGTCACATGGTTGGTAAGTGGCAGAGCTGGGATTTGAACCCAGGCAGTCTGGCTCCAGCATCCATGCTTTTAGTCAGGGTGGCTACTTCTTTGGAGCAGTGCTCCCTGCAAAGCCTGGCACATAAGACCCCCTTAATATATGAAAAGTCCCATTCCCTCCACATGGCTTACGAAAGCCGTGGCAAGTAGGAATGACAGGCGAAGGGTGGGGCTTTATTCCATTGGTGATTGAAAGCTACTGAAATGCATCATGGGCACACAGTAGGTGCTTAATAGTTGTCGATTTCTATGAGCTGGGAGTGAGAAAGATACCATGCTCTGTGGACTGAGTGGACTGGAGTAGGGAAAAGACCAATTTTTCCTCACCGCAGCTTGAATGTAGACAGATACTGTTTTTTTTTTTTTTTCTTTTTTTTTTTTTTTTTTTTTTAGCCAACCATACAAAGCCTGTAAGTAGGTACTTTATTTATTTGTATTTTTATTTTTTTTTGAGACAGATTTTCACTCTTGTTGCCCAGGCTAGAGTGCAATGGTGCAATCTTAGCTCACTGCAACCTCCACCTCCCAGGTTTAAGCGATTCTCCTGCCTCAGCCTCCCAAGTAGCTGGGATTACAGGCTTCCGCCACCATGCCTGGCTAATTTTTGTATTTTTAGTAGAGACAAGGTTTCATCCTGTTGGCCAGGCTGGTCTCAAACTCCTGACCTCAGGTGATCCGCCTACCTCAGCCTCCCAAAGTGCTGGGATTACAGGCATGAGCCACCACACCCGCCCAAAATGACCTGCATTTGTCATCTCCGCTTCTGTGGTCAGGAATCTGGTGCAGCTCAGCTGGGTCACAGGCCTCTCACAGGCTGCAGTCAAGGTGTCAGTCGAGGCCGCACTGTCATCTTAAGGCCCAGCAGGGAAAGCGTTTGCTTCCAAGCTCGCTCACGTGGTTTTGGGCATGATTCTGTTCCTCGTGGCTGTTGGACAGAGGTCACTCTCATTTTCTTTCCACGTAGGCCTCTGCATAGTTCACATCTTTGCAGTTGCTTCATTGAAGCCAGCAAACGTGATTGTGGCAAGATAGCAGTCATAGTTTTAATTCCAGAAATGATCCCATCCCTTGGCTGGGTCTTCAGAGTAGAAGTCACAAGTCCTGTCCGCACTAAGTGGAGGGTGTGGATACCAGGAGGCAAGGATCATTGAGAGCCATCTTAGAAGTCTACCTGGCCGGGGTGCAGTGGCTCACGCCTGTAATCCCAGCACTCTGAGAGGCTGAGGTGGGCCGATCACGAGGCCAACAGATGAAGACCATCCGGGCCAACAAGGTGAAACCCCGCCTCTTCTAAAAATTAGCTGGGCGTGGTGGAATGCGCCTGTAGTCCCAGCTACTCGGGGGGCTGAGGCAGGAGAATCACTTGAACCCAGGAGGCAGAGGTTGCAGTGAGCCGAGATTGTGCCACTGCACTCCAGCCTGGCAACAAAGCAAGACTTCGTCTCAAAACAAGTCTACCTGTGTATTAGCTTGCTAGGGCTGCTGTAACAAGTGACCACACACTGGGTGCTTTAAACCACCTGAATGTATTTATTCTCTCCCAGTTCTAGAGGCTGGACATCTGAAATCAAGATGCCAGTAGGGCCATGCTCCTTCCAGAGGGTCTAGGCCAGAATCCTTGCCACTTCAGGCTTCTGGTGGCCCCGAGCATTCCTTGGTGTGTGGCAGCATCACGCCAATCTCTGCCTCCTCCCTGTGTTTCCATGTGTGTCCTCTCCTTTCCTTATTAGGATGCCCATCATTGGATTTAGGCCCCACCCTAAATCCAGGAGGATATTATCTGCAAATGCCCTATTTCCAAATAAGATCACATTCACAGGTGTCGGGGGTTAGGACTTGAACATACTTTTTTGGGAGACACAGTTCACCCACTATGTCTACCTGCTACAAGGCCCATCAGTAAGGGATGGATTATATAAATTTAGGCATATCTGGTGGAATACTAGATCTCTGGGGAAAACAATGAAAAAGAAGCTCTTTATATATTGATAAGGGATAAGGGATGGTCCCCAAACTATCAAGGACAGGTAGCAAGGTACAGAACAAAGTGTATATATAATATGTTCTCTTTGGCATTAAAAAAATGGGAAGGGAGGCCGGGTGTGGTGGCACACGCCTGTAGTCCTAGCTACTAGAGAGGCTGAGGCAGGAGAATCGCTTGAACTTGGGAGGCTGAGGTTGCAGTGAGCTGAGATTGTGCCACTGCACTCCCGCAAGGGTGACAGAGCAAGATTCCATCTCAAAAAATAAATAAATAAAAAGGCCGAGTATGGAGGTCACACCTGTAATCCCAGCACTTTGGGAGGCTGAGGCAGGCAGATGACCTGAGGTCAGGAGTTCTAGACCAGTCTGGCCAACATGGTGAAACCCCATCTCTACTAAAAATACAAAAATTAGCCAGGCATGATGGTGGGCACCTGTAATCATAGCTATCTGGGAGGCTGAGGCAGGAGAATTACTTGAACTTGAGAGGTGGAGGTTGCAGTAAGCCAAGATCATGCCATTGCACTCCAGCCTGGGCGACAAGAGGAAGACTTGATCTAAAATATCCCTGGAAGGAGTCACGGGAACAGCATCCCACAGATTGCCTACAGGGTGAGATTGGGAGACAGGAATATAAGAGATGCCTATTTTAACTTTATAATTTTCTGTACTATTTGAATTTTTTTTTTTTTTTTTTTTTTTAAAGTAGAGACAGGGCTCTCTTTTGCCCAGGCTGGTCTCGAACTCCAGGGCTCACGCCTGGCCCTATCTGAATTTTGAACCATGTAAATGTACCATCTTTTCAGAGAAAAATAAAATCTGGCTGGGCATAGTGGCTCACACCTGTGATTCCAGCACTTTGGGAGGCTGGGGTGGGCGGATTGCTTGAGCCCAGGGGTTCAAGACCAGCCTGGCCAACATGGCGAAACCCCATCTCTACCAAAAAAATGCAAAAGTTATCCGAACGTGTTGACACCCGCCTGTAGTTCCAGCTCTTTGAAAGGCTGAGGTAGGAGGAGCGCTTGAACTCAGGAGGTGAACTGATTGCTCTATCAAATGTGAACAGTGTGGAATCAGTCATCCTCATGGTGAGCCTCACCATTGTTTGTGAAAACAGCATTTCTTCCTCAGTTTGTGCGTGATTTATTTAACCCTTTTCAAGATGTTTTTGAAATAAGGTGGGTTTCATGGTTTTAGGATTATAACTGATGCTGCAATCTCTACCATAGTTGTACACATATCTTTGGTCACTCCTGCAGATATTTCTGTAGTGTAGAGAATGGGATGTGCCATTTTAAATTACAGCATTTATTTAATGCTTCTAATTTGAGTATATTCTGCAAATTTATCTTCCATGGGAACGGTAACAGATCATATTCCAATTTGTTTCCTAATTCTATCAATGTCCCTTTTGTCATTTACTTGCCAGCACAACAAACTTTCTACACATTGATGTATGATATTCCACTGAGGGGAGAGGCACCCTCCTGGCTTAACTGAAGGGGTGTACCACAGAAGGACATGGTGGACATCACACACAGATTCTGTGGCATAGGATGAACTGCTAAACTAGGATATTTTAAAGTCCTCCAACATCTGTAATTGTTTTCCGTGGTGAACAAGTGTCGTGTGTCTCAAGAAGACAGGCCACAGTGACCTCTTTGAAAGCTTTCTGTCAAGTCTCTTATCCAAGGGGAGCAAAATCACAAAGGTCCCAGGCGATTTTTTTTCCTCTTTCCTCTTTTCTTCATAAATCTTGGTTTTGCTTTTATTTGACGAAAACAATCTGATGCCTGTTCTCCCTTCTATACAATGGTAAATTAGCATGCAAGTAGCTATCCCTTTATTATTGTTTGATAGATTTTTGCAGCGGCTATGTCCGTAAAAATTAGCCCACCTGAGATATATCACTGGAGCCAACAGAACCCTGCACCCAACAGGCACCTTGTGCAGACCTGGACCCTTACAGCTGTTGGCTCATGTTCCTTTGGTTCTTCTAATGAATATCATGAGTAGAAACTGAGCTCTTTGGCTTTTACCCACTACCATGACTCTAGTACATTTTCTCTCTCTCGTTTCTCTCATTTTTGTATCATGATTTTCTGCCATCAGGGGCATCAGTGTGGGTTCCTGGTTTTGATGGTATGGAGTGAACTTCTGGGATCGTTTTATGACTGTATAACAGTTGGTATTCTTCTGTTGATGAAGATTTGTGTTGTACCCAGTTTTTCCTTAGTATAAAAAGGAGGTTAATAAGAACATTTTTGCTAGAAGCCTTGTTGGATGTATTGTTCATTTTACGGGGGTAATCAATAAATGTAAGCGTGCTTCTTTATCAGGTAGGCTTAACTCGATGAGAAACTGCCAATTACTAGAACAGCTGTTGGGCTAAGTTGCAGTCTAACATCACACAGCAATATCATACACACTCTGTATGAAGAAGCAGGAGAGGCAACAACTTTCATAATCAGTTTTTCTGTTTCCCTTCATTTTCTTGTGAACCCTTAATGGCATCTTTGAAGGTGACTGGTCACACCAAGTGTCACCACCAGCCTATTCGAGTCTTGCTGCAGAGCCATGGAGTTATATACCAGGACAGCCCTGCCAAGTCTCAGGCTCATAAACACCAGGCAGGAATAGATGCCTATGAAATGAGAAGGGTCAGGTGACCCCTCCCTCTCCTGCCATGTCTGTGCCTCTCTTTGCAGCTGCCGTGTCTCTAAAAACAATCATTCACACTTATTTTGTCAAAGATATATCAGACATTAGTCAAATCGATGAAAACCAATTTTATTCAGTAACTACTGACCGTAGAGGAAGGGGCTGGTTCTGTTCGCATTTGTGCAGAGGTGATGGCATTCTAATGGGAGAGAGAGGCAGGGGAGAGGGCAGGGGGCAGGGCACAAGTGAAACATTACAAAAGATTGGTCATTTTAAATGTCTGCCTCATCAGGACAGCTGTGTCTGCCAGCTGGCAATATTAGAAGTTAGGATTCTAACCTCCCACAGAGACTGGAAGACAGAGGCTCAGTCCTTCCTGAGAACTACACCTCAAAAGTATTGCCTTTCAGATCCTGGGCAAAGATACATTGAAGTCCCTAGGAGATACACACATATATCAAAGGGATGGAGGAAGGATTCCCTTCTTAGTAAGTGCTATAAGAAAGAAAGATCCTGAAACTGCCATCATCAAGTATTGGCTAGACTAAAGTAAGTTCCCCTGGCAGCCTTGAGCTTTCTTAGGTAGGCATTGTCATGGGAGCCTAGGGTCATTCGTGAGACATGGTCTCATGCTACTAGAAGCCATGATAGACTCTGATCATCTCTTAGCACAGAGGTTTAAACTCAGTCGTTTTGTGCTGAGTTTGGTGGTTCTCACTTTCTCTCTCCCCATTCCATTGTCAGGATTTTACTGGACTCTGTTAGATGGACAAGGCCATGGGCCATTTTCAATGGTTTTTAAGCAGCTGAGGCATATCTATTGAGAACTAAATTAAAATAAAACCATGAGATTGAGAGTGGGCCCCACAATAGGTATCCATTACCCATATTCAAGGAGATGGAGAAAAATATTTCTAGACTTTGTCAAAATGGAAAGTGACTTATGCAGCCAGGATGAAATTCAAACTTACATTACTGAAGTATAGAGCTTATTGATATTTTTTAAAAGAAAGTCATGGCAAAATGACAATCCACAAGTGGCAATGGTAGATAGGGGTAGGGAGAAACTCTGTAAGGTCAAAATTATCCTCACTTTAAATGAAACTCCTACATGTTGCTACTATAAGGGAACGGAAGCCAATGTTACGCTCGACTATACTAATTGTCATGGGATAAACAGGCAGGACATGATGCCACATTTATTAGTCACTTCTATTGATAGTATTTGTGAAAATTAATTTTTGTGTCAATTTGCCTGGGTCGGGGGTGCCCAGACATTTGGTTAGACATTATTTCTCACTGTGTCTTTGAGGGTGTTTCTGGAAGAGATTGACATTTGAATCAGTAAACTGAGTGAAGCAGATTGCCCTCCCGAGTGTGGGTGGGCCTCATCCAACCCATGGACGGCTTGAATAAGATGATGGGTTAAGAAAGGTTTCTGCTCCACTGTCTTTGAGCTGGGACATCAGTCTTCTGCCTTAAGCCTTGGACTTGGTCTTGAACTATATTCGACTCTCCTAGGTATAGAGCTTACTCAGAGTAGAACTTGGGCTTCTCTGCGTGCGTGCATGCGTGTGTGTGTGTGTGTGTGTGTGTGTGTGTGTGTGTGTGTATCTTGTCCTCTGGATAACTCAGACTAATACAGTATTATATGCCAGTTGCCGGGTTTTGTCTCTATGCTTTTGAAAGGTGTAAAATAAATAAATAAAATCCTGGAGGGTTCTCAAAGAAGAACAGTAAGGATTAGTAGAAGTTTTAAACTTCTAGGAAAACCCCTAAGCACAGCTTTTGTTAAAACTATCTTCAAGAAAATAAAGGGTTTTGGAAAATTATTGTTGCCTTAATGTTTTCTAAGCAAAGGCATGATCACTCAAGGAGAAATACACTTAGCTTTCTTAAAGTTAATTTTTACGTTTTAATAATTCACATACAATCTTAACTCAGAAAAAGAGAGGTCCCTTGTACGCCTTACTCCGTTTCCTCCAATGGTAACATCTTGGTAATATTTCCAAAATGGTAATATTTGCAAATAGTGGCCGGGCGTGGTGGCTCACACCTGTAATCCCAGCACTTTGGGAAGCTGAAGTGGGTGGATCATGAGGTCAGGAGATCGAGACCATCCTGGCTAACACAGTGAAACCCCGTCTCTACTAAAAATATAAAAAATTAGCTGGGTATGGTGGTGGGCACCTCTAGTCCCAGCTACTCAGGAGGCTGAGGCAGGAGAATGGTGCGAACCCAGGAGACGGAGGTTGCAGTGAGCCAAGATCGCGCCACTGCACTCCAGTCTGGGCGACAGAGGAAGACTCCGTCTCAGAAAAATGAATGAATGAATAAATAAATAAAATTTGCAAATATTGCAAATGCCACAGTACCAGGAGATTGACATTTATACAAGCAAGGTACAGAACATTTCCGTCAACACCGGGATTCATCATGTTGCCTTTTTATAGTTATGACCCCTTCTATTCAGTGCTGCTCCTCCTTCCCTCCTTAACCCCTGGCAACTACTAATCTATTCCCCACTCTTATAATTTATTCATTTCAAGAATGTTACTTAAATGGAATTCTACATGTAACCTTTGGGATTACCCTTCGTCCACTCACCATAATTCTGTGGAGATTCGTCCAGGTTATTGTGGGTATCAATCATTTGTTGTTTTTTTAAAAAAAATTACTGAGGACTATTTGATGCTGTGGATATATACCACAGTTTAACCATTCATCTCACAAAAGTCGTGTATACATTGTTTCCCCAGTTTTGGCTATTAAAAACAAGGCTGCTATAAACTTGAAGTACATGGGTTTTGTGTGAACATAAGATTCTATTTCTCTGTGATAAATGCAGGGAATGTAATTCCGAGGTGGTATGGTAGTTGCACATAGAGTTTTAAAAGTAAAAATTATACAGATATTCTCCAGAGTGGGCTGTAATCTTTTACATCCCCACCAGCAATGTATGAGTGATCCAGCTTTCTCTGAATCCTTGACAGCACTTGATGTGGTCACACTTTTATGTTGGCCATTCTGATAGGTACGTAGCAATTTCTCATTGTTTTAATTAGTAAATCACTAGTGGCTAATAATGTTCTGATTTCAACATATGAATTTGGGGGGGCTGGGCACAATGCATCCCATAACAATGTGTATTCTGGTGTGGTTGGGTGTTCTAAAATTGCCAATTTAAGTCCCGCTGGTTGATCGTGTTGTTGGGTTCTTCTGTATTCTTGCTGATTTTCTATCTGGTTGTTGTATAAATTGTTGAGAAAGGGGGACATTGAAGCATACAGCTGTATTTGTGGATTTGTCTAGTTCTCTGTTAAGTACTTTCAGTTGTTCTTGCGTAGACATTTATGAATTTGTCAGGCGAGGAGTTGGTGGATTGGTCCTTTGCACATTATATAGTCTCCCTCTCTGTCTCTGATTAGTTTATTTGTTCTGAAATATACTATATCTGGCATTAATATAGCCAGTCTTGCTTTCCTTTGGCTAAGGTTTGCATGATATATCTTTTCCCACCCTTTTCATTTCAACTTGCCTGTATCATCATATTTGAAGTTAGTCTCTTTGTAGCCAGTATGTAGTTGGTTCGTGTCCATTGACCTACTCTGCCAGCCTGTGTCTTGCAACTGGTATACTTAGGCCATTGATATTTAATGATATTGACATGGTAGGGCTTAAATCTGCCATTTTATTTTTCCTTTTCTGTTTGTTCTCCCTGGTTTCGTTTTCTGGATATGCTTTCTTTTTCTTACCTTCCTGTCATGACTTGAACATCTTTGAGAATGGTGTTTTGCCTTATCCATAGTGCTTTTGAGTATGTCTGTTTGTATAGCCCTCTTGGTTTTTCCAGACATTCGTATATCTGTGCATCTATATCTTAACCACACGGTATACTGGTGTCATTGTTTTACCAATTTGAGTGAATGATAGACGAGTTACCTCCCTTGTAGGTCTCTTTACCCTCCCAGTTTATAACCATTTCAAACATTTTCTTTATGGAGAGTTAGAACCACATTGAATGGTGCTATGATTTTTTTCTGAAACCGTCAAGCATAGTTTAGAAAACTCAAGAGGAGAAGGAAGGCCTATTTTGCTGTTTTCTTTCTTTCCGATGTCCCAAGGTTCCTTCTTTAATCATTTCCTTTCCGTCTAGAGAACTCCCCTTAGCCCTTCTTTTAGGGTAGAACTGCTGGTCAGAGATGTCCTTAGCTTTTCTTAATCTGAAACTGTTTTGATCTTCTCCTTAATCCCTGAAAGATGTTTCTGCTGGAGAGAGGAGTCTGGGCTGACAATTTTCTTCTGCGGCTTGAAAAGCACTGCACAACTTCTTTCTGCCTCCGTGGTTTCTGATGAGAAAGCCATCATCGTCGGAATTGTTTTTCCTTTCTAGGTAAGGTGTCACCTTTCTCTGTTGCTTTCAATATATTTTCTTTGTCTTTAGTTTCCAACATTTTATTTTTTCACGTGTCTTGCCATAGACCTCTTTGGGTTTTATCCTATTTGGGGTCCTCACAGCTTCTTAAGCATATAGGTTTATGTCTCTTGCCAACTCTGGGAAGCTTTTAGCCATTTACTTCTTTATGTTTTCAGGCTTGTCCTCTTCCTCTTCCCCTTCCAGACATAGATGACAACATGAAAGTGAGACCTTTTGAGGTAGTTTCACAGGTGCCTGAGGTTCTATTCACTTTCTCCCCGAGTCTATTTTTTCCCTGCTAAGATTGTGTAATTTCTACTTTTTCATTGGCAGTGGATGGATTTCCTTGCTCTGCACCATCCATTCTGCTGTTGAGCCTATGTGCCAGACTTTTTATTTTGGTGGTTGTATTTTTCCACTTCTAATACTTCATTTGGTTCTCCCTTAAGTCTTGTATTTATTTGCTAAGACTTTCTACTTGTCCATTTATTTCAAGTGTGCTCATAATTACTCGCTAAATCATTTTCATCAGGCTTGCTTGCTTTAAAATGTTTGTCAGACAATCCCAGCGCTTCTCTCATTTTATTGCCAGTGTGTGCTTGCTGCCTATTTTCATTCAGTATGAGATTTTCCTGGTTCTTGGTATGATGAATGATTTTCAATGGAAACTTGGACTTTTGGGTATTATGTTATCAGACTGTCGATTTTATTGAAACCTTCTGTTTTAACTACCTTTTTCTGAGTCTGCTTCTGCAGGGGAGGGGAGTGGTGCCATCTCATTGTAGCCAGGTGTGTGTAGAAATCCAGGTTTCTCATCTGATCCACCTCTGTTGACACCCTGAGTGGAGGGCCTGAGAGGAAAGAGCCTGCTGATCAGGCCCCTCGACTTGAGTGAAGGGCAGGCAGGGAGGGTCCTATGGCTCCTGGGAGGAGCCGAAGGGTGGATCGCCTGTCAAAGCCAAGAGCCCTGATGGCGGGCGCCAGGGAAAAGGCCCTGAGGCGGGGTCACAGCCCTGGAGGGGCAGCGTCCACACTCCTGCACAGTGCAGGGCACCTGGGACTCTCAAAACCCGCCGGCTGCTGCACCTTCTGGGACCGGGAGAGTGTCAGCTGGGTGAATCCCGCACACGGGCGCGGGGGCGCGGCGCGTAGTTGTGGAACCGGATACCCCGCGGGCTGCTGGCTCCAGCGCCTCCACCTGCCACTGGGCCAACCCCCTGGGCCTCCTCCAGCTTCTGCTCCCGCCAGCTCAGCTGCTGGGAGAGCTGGCCCCCACCCAGAGACTCAGCAGAACTCCCAGCATCCCCCAGCTTGTTGATCGTGCAGCACCCCAACTCTGGGCCTAACCCAGTCCTGGCAGAAAGCCTGGGTTCGAGCCCAGGGTCTGCCCTGATGTGCTATATGTGCTTGGGCAAGTCATGACCTTCTCTAGCTCTGCAATGCACGTGTGTACAAAAACCAGGGCCCGGCCGGACACGGTGGTGCACGCCTATAATCCCAGCACTTTGGCAGGTGGATCACTTGAGGTCAAGAGTTCAAGACCAGCCTGGCCAAGGTGGTGAAACCCTGTCTCTACTAAAAATACAAAAATTAGCCGGGCATGGTGGTGCACGCCTGTAGTCCCTGCTACTTGGGACGCTGAGGCAGGCGAACAGCTTAAACCCCGGAGGCGGAGGTTGCAGTGAGCCCAGATCATGCCACTGCACTCCAGCCTGGGCAACAGAGCAAGACTCTGTCTCAAACAAAACAAAACAAAACAAAAACCAACAACAAAAAAGAGGGCCCTCACTCAGCTTTGGGAGTAACAGAACCCTTGTATTACTCTAAGAAGAGAAGCTGAATATATAAAACAGACCCAAGTGCAGCTGCTCAGCAGGCCTCAAGGTGGAGACCTGCACCCTGCTTCTTGCACCCCCTACCCCATCCTCTAGAGGCCCCTCCCAGAAACCCAGGCACTCCAGGATAGACCTTGCATGAAGGTCCCTGGATCCCTGAAAATGAGACATTAAGGTCTCTTCCAGATGTGATGTTCCCAAAAGTCTAAGATTCCAATTCTAAAAAGTCTCGACCTATTATTAATCTGTATCATTATTATTATTATTATTATTATTATTATTATTATTTGAGACAGAGTCTCGTTCTGTTGCCCAGGCTGGAGTGCAGTGGCACGATCTCGGCTCACTGCAACCTCTGCCTCCTGGGTTCAAGCGATTCTCCTGCCTCAGCCTCCTGAGTAGCTGGGACTACAGGCGCGTGCCACCACACCCAGCTAATTTTTTGTAGAGATAGGGTTTCACCGTGTTAGCCAGGATGGTCTTGATCTCCCGACCTCAGGTGATCCACCCGCCTCGGCCTCCCAAAGTGCTGGGATTATAGGCGTGAGCCACTGCACCCAGCTAGCCCCATGCTATAGATGGGGCAACTGAGGTATGGGGAGGTTGGGCAGCTTGTCCAAGGTCCCCAGCTAGCAGAAGTGGGGCTGGATTTAACCAAGAAGCAGGCTCCAGTGCCTGTGACTTAACCCAGGACTGGATGCAGGGGGCTGGGAGCCCAGCCTGCCCCACATGCTCTCCACACCACCCCACACACAGCTTGGCCCACCTGCGCTAGCTGCTCCTGCAGCCGGCTGCACTCATGATGCAGCGTGGGGAGCTGCTGCTCCACTGCCTCCTGGGCCTGCTCCGCCGCTCATAGGGAGCCCTCCAGGCCCTGCCGCGCCACCTCCTGTTCCAACCGCAGCGCCTCCAGCCGCTCCTGCTCTTCCCGTGCCACTGTGGCCTCCTGCTTCGCCTGCCGCTGCCGGCCCTGCAGGGCGCACTTTTCTTCCTCCAGCTGTGGCCTGGGTAGGAGTGGGGCCTCGTGAGCAGGGCATCCCTCCCAGGACCAGGACGCCTCCTCCACCCACCCACCAGCCACAATAGCCCAGGGGAGGCTCCCAGGCAATGAGGGACAGGGCCCTTGGGTGTGTGGGACACTGGGGAGGGAGAGATGAGGAGGGCCCATGGAGCTTCTGTGCTTTGATGCCTAGAGAGGATAGACAGACAGAGACAGACAGAGAACCAGAGACAGAAAGGGAGGCAGGGGCCAAGACAGGTACAGGGCTGGGCCCGGGGTGCCTTACTGAGTGGGGAGGACGGGTGGGCAAGGCAGGTGGGCCCGCAGGTGCACAGCGTACCTGGGTGACAAGGCGGTTCAGATCCAACTTGTCCTGAGCAAGGCTCTCGTTGAGGGCGCTCAGCTTGGACAGGGAGTCCTGCAGGGAGGCCTCCTCTGCCCTCAGCCTGGAGGGCAGGGCCAGAGTTCAGAGGATCCCCTGAGTAAGGTCTAGGGATAGCACTGCTCAGAGCCCAGGCTGCAGCGGACAGCGCAGGCCCCCCCGCCAAGGACCCTCTGCGCTGTGGCCACAACTCTCAGACCCCAGGAGCTGAATCTCAGGATGACCCTGAGCTATAGGCACTGCCCCCAGGAGCATCCAGAACAGCAGGGATACGGCCATAAAGAGAGGTCAGTCCACTTATGGCTGGGACCAGAGGTCCAGAGGTCTGTGGTCTGTGACAAAGATCAGCCTGTATCCAGAAGGAAGGGGTCAGTCTGTGACCAGGCTCAGAGGTCTGCCTGACACTGGGACCAGTTTGTGCCAGAGTGAGAAGGCTTGGGGCTGGGGGTCAGATGTAGGTTTGTGGTTGTGCAGCCAACAGGGACCCACCTTGGTCAGCGCCTCGGCCACCTCGGCCTTCTCGGCCTGCAGCATGTCCCGTTGCAGTGTGGCGCGGCTCAGCGCCTCCCTCACCTCCACCAGCTCCTTGGCCAGGACTGAGCGCTTCCCTTCCAGCTGCTCCAGTTGTCTATGGCTGCAGGACAGAGGGCAGGTGGGTGGCCCATGTCACTTTCCTGCCCCGAATCTCCCACAGCCAGCGAGATGCTTGGCTGTGGACCAGGCCTGAGGCAGGAGTTTGGAGAGAAACAGCCTGAGCCACAGGGCAACCAAGCCCACTACTGCTTAGCTCCATGACCCTGGGCCTCCGTTTCCACATCTGCAAAATGAGGTAACACCTACCTTGTCACATAGTTTCTTTGTTTTCTTTGAGACAGAGTCTCGCTCTGTCGCTCAGGCTGGAGTACAGTGGTGAGATCTCAGCTCACTGCAACCTCCGCCTCCTGGGTTCAAGCCATTCTCCTGCCTCAGTCTCCCGAGTAGCTGGGATTACAGGCATGCACCACCACGCCTGGCTAATTTTTGTAGTTTTAGTACAGACAGGGTTTCCCCATGTTGACCAGGCTGGTCTCGAACTCCTGACCTCAGGCGATTCGCCTGCCTCGGCCTCCCAAAGTGCTGGGATTACAGGCGTGAGCCACCGTGCCCAGCCTGTTTTAAGGCTACAAACTTCACATGTGCTTAAAATAGTGCCTGACACATCTCCCCAAGGACCTTCAGAAACAAGAATAACATGCTCCACCACAGTCTACTAAACATCATCAGCGATCACGTCCCTGAGAGGTAAGCAGCGCAGTGGTGAAGAGGTTAACTCTAAAGGCAGAATGTCTGGGTTCAAATCCTGGCTCTTCTAACTAGCTGTGTGACCTGGGGCAAGTGACATGGCTTCTCTGTGCCTCAGTTTACCGTCCATAAAATGAAGATAACAGCTTCTATGTCACAGTTATCATAGGTTAAATGAGAGAACTGAATTGCTTAAAATGGTATCTGGCACTTAGTGAAATCAGTAAGGATATTATTATGATCATAACTTAATTTAAAAAATACTATCGTTAATATTACTACTGTTATTTTAATTATTCTTGTTATTATCATCCAAGTTCTACCTTTTAACTAGTTCTCTGACCCCAGGTAAGTGAGTACACCTCCCTGAGCCCCAATTTCCTGCAATGGGTCTGGTTAGAAAACCCGACATCAGAGGGGTCCAGATGGTAGGAGGCCCAGGACCCAGTGGGTGCTCCCTAACCCCCGGGGCACTGTCAGGGGACCTGAGGCACATTTGAAGGGCCCTGGCAGGGTGGCGAGATGCTGTTCACCTGTGCTCAAGCTCCCGGCGCACCCGCACACCATCCTGCACTGCGTCCTCCTGCTCTTCCCCCAGCCAGTACCGCTGGCGCCGCAGCTCCTCCTGGGCAGCCTGCAGCTTCTTCCGCTCCTGCCGCAGCTCCTTGGCCTGCTGCTGGGCCACCTGCAGGCTGTGGGCCAGGTTGCTCTTCTCCCTTCAGGACAAGCAGAGGGGATGCTGGGGCTGCTCTCTGCAGGGAAGGTGGCTGGCTGCTCCTCTAGCCATGAGCTATAATCTCCCGTTTTCCAAGGAACCTGCCTCCAGGAAGCCTTCCCTGACCCTGCCCGTAGCTGACTCATTTCACTCACATCCTCCAGCAGAAGAACCTGGCTTTCCTTCTCCCCAACCCATCCACTTGGAGTGGATGGAGGTGCTGGCTTTATCTCCAAGCACCCTACCAGGTAGAAGAGGCCAGGTTAGGCTCCTGGGATACATGGGCAATTGTGCCACCAACCCTGCTAGGCCACGTGACCAGGAAATGTCCCCTATAACAACCCATGCCCCTCAATTCTGGGAAGCCTGATAGAGCTGAGTCTGCAGATCCCATGGCTTCCTGCTACACAGTCACATGGTGGCCACGGCAGGGGAGGGAGGAGAAGGGAACAACTGGGACCCCAAAGACTTGCCGTGAGCTGCCACGTTCCCCACTGGCGGTAGGTGCGAAAAACTTTCCCGATGTGATTTTCTTTTTTTTTTTTTGAGACGGAGTCTTGCTCTGTCACCCAGGCGTGATCTCGGCTTACTGCATGCTCTGCCTCCCAGGTTCATGCCATTCTCCTGCCTCAGCCTCCTGAGTAGCTGGGACTATAGGCGCCTGCCACCACACCCGGCTAATTTTTTGTATTATTAGTAGAGACGGGTTTTCACCATGTTAGCCGGATGGTCTTGATCTCCTGACCTCGTGATCTGCCCGCCTCGGCCTCCCAAAGTGCTGGGATTACAGGTGTGAGCCACCACGTCCAGCAATTTTTTTTTTTTTTTTTTTTTTTAGACAGAGTCTCACTTTGTCACCCAGGCTGGAGTGCAGTGACACAATCTCAGCTTGCTGCAACCTCCACTTCCAGAGTTCAAGCAATTCTCCTGCCTCAGCCTCCTGAGTAGCTGGGATTACAGGCACCTATCACCACGCCCAGCTAATTTTTGCATTTTTAGTTAGAAGTGGGGTTTCACCATATTGGCCAGGCTGGTCTCAAACTCCTGACCTCAAGTGATCTGCCCGCCTCGGTATCCCAAAATACTAATTTTGGGCTAAAATTGGGCTAAAAGGGCACACCCAGCCCTAATTTTTTTATTTTTATTTTTTTATTTTGTACTTTTATTTATTTATTTTTTTGACACTCTTGTTGCCCAGGCTGGAGTGCAATAGTGTGATCTCGGTTCACCGCAAACTCTGCCTCCCATGTTCAAGCGATTCTCCTGCCTCAGCCTCCCAAGTAGCTGGGATTACAAGCATGCACCACCACGGACAGCCAATTTTGTATTTTTAGTAGAGACAGGGTTTCTCCATGTTGGTCAGGCTGGTCTCAAACTCCTGAACTCAGGTGGTCCTCCCGCCTCGGCCTCCCAAAGTGCTGGGATTACAGGCGTGAGCCACTATGCCGGGCCAATTTTTAAAATTTTTAGTACAGATGGGGTTTTGCCATGTTGGCCAGGCTGGGCTCAAACTCTTGACCTCAAGTGATCCACCCGCCTTAGTCTCCCAAAGTGCTGGGATTACAGGCGTGAGCCACTGTGCCCAGTTGACAACGTGCTGTTCAGTAAAACACACTCAGCCTGAATTTTCACTTTTTAAAATTTTTAATTAAATTTTAATAGAGCCAGACACAGTGGCTTATGCCTGTAATCCCAGCAATTTGGGAGGCTGAGGTGGGAGGAGTGTTTGAAGCTAGGAGTTCAAGACCAGCGTGGGCAACATAGTGAGACCCCCATCTCCACATTTCACAGAATGCAAAATGGGATGTTTGCTGTGAACACAACTACTTAAAAAGACCTTCTCCTTTCCAGGCATGGAAAGCCTGGGTTTACTCTCCCATGGACCTGAATTCCAATTCCCACCCTGCCACCCCAGCCACACATGCTGTATGAGTCTGAGCGAGCCTCTCAAGCTTACAACAAAAGAGTTCTGAATTGCATAAGTTTGACAGGAAGACTAAATCACAGAGTATGTATAAAACACTCAGCCAAGAGCCTGGCACACAGTAGGTGTGAAGGAAACGTTTGCTATCTCACTGCCAGGCAACACAGTGGGAAGGAAAACCAGTGCCCTACATGAGTTAGGATGGGCAGATGAGGCTGTGAGAAGGCGAGGTCTTTTTATTTCTATTATTTTTCAAACTTTTCATTAGATGGTTACATTTATGAAGAGAAAAACCAAACAACAAAATATCAAAAACAACCTGGCAGCTAAGTGGATAATTTCTTGTCTTAAAAATCTTCAAGGTGCAAAGAACGGTGGCTCATGCCTGTAATGTAGCACTTTGGGAGGCCGAGGTGGGCGAATCACCTGAGGTCAGGAGTTCGACACCAGCCTAGCCAACATGGTGGAACCCCATCTCTACTAAAAATATAAAAATTAGCCAGGCATGCTGGCAGGCATCTGTAATCCCAGCTACCAGGGAGGCTGAGGCAATTGCTTGAACCTGGGAGGCGGAGGTTGCAGTAAGCCAAGATCGTGTCATGGGCAACAAGACTGCGGAAAAAAAAAAAAAGTGGATAATTTCTTGTCTTAAAAATCTTCAAGGTGCCGGGTGTGATGGCTCACACCTATAATCCCAGTACTTTGGGAAGCCAAGATGGGTGATCATTTGAGCTCAGGAGTTAGAGATCAGCCTGGGTAACATGGCAAAACCCCATCTCTACAAAAAACAGAAAAATTAGGCAGGCGTGGTGGTGTGTGCCTGTAGTCCCAGCTACTCAGGAGGCTGAGGTGGGAGGATCACTTAAGCCTAGGAGGTGGAGGTTGCAGTGAACTGAGATCGCACCACTGTACTCCAGCCTGGGTGACAGAACGAGACCCTGTCTCAAATTAAAAGAAAAAAACAATCTTCAAGGCTAGGCATGGTGGCTTATGCCTGTAATCTCAGCATTTTGGGAGGCCGAGGCAGGGGAATCGCTTGAGGCCAGGAGTTTGAGACCATCCTGAGCAACACAGCAAGACCCCATCTCTGAAAACAAACAAACAAACAAAAAACTCCAAGAAATACGGTCCAGAATAGCGCTGTCAATAGAACTCTCTGAGATGACAGAAACATTCTATGGCCATGTGTGGTTGATGAGTGCTTGAAATGTGCCTAGGGCAACTAAAGAACTGAATTTTCTTTTTCTTTTTTCTTTTTCTTTTTTTTTTTTTTGAGATGGAGTCTCGATCTGTCACCCAGGCAGGAGTACAATGGCGCAATCTTGGCTCACTGCAAGCTTCGCCTCCCAGGTTCACACCATTGTCCCGCCTCAGCCTCCCGAGTAGCTGGAACTACAGGCACCCGCCACCACACCCAGCTAATTTTGTTTTTGTATTTTTAGTAGAGATGGGGTTTCACCGTGTTAGCCAGGATGGTCTCGATCTCCTGACCTCGTGATCCGCCCACCTCGGCCTCCCCAAGTGCTGGGATTACAGGTGTGAGCCACCGCATCTTTTTTGTTTGTTTGTTTTTGAGATGGAGTCTCACTACGTCTCCCAGCCTGGAGTGCAGTGGTGTTATCCTTGCTCATTGCAATCTCTGCCTCCGGGGTTCAAGTGATTCTCCCACCTCAGCCTCCCGAGTAGCTGGCATTACAGGAGCATGCCACCATGCCTGGTTAATTTTTGTATTTTTAGTAGAAACCGGGTTTCACCATGTTGGCCAGCCAGCTGGGTTGTGAGCCACCACACCCAGCCTGAATTTTCACTTTTTCAAATTTTTAATTAAATTTTAATAGAGCCAGGTACAGTGGCTTGTGCCTGTAATCCCAGCAATTTGGGAGGCTGAGGTGGGAAGAGTGTTTGAAGCTAGGAGTTCAAGACCAGCATGGGCAACATAGTGAGACCCCCATCTCTACAAAAAATTTAGAAATGTTGGGGGCTTGTCTAGTATCCTTGGGGCTGAGATCAGAGTTGCCCAGGAACCCAGGGAGGTGAGGGCTCAGAGGGTGATGAGGGCACAGAGGAAGGGAGTGGAAACCTAACTCTCAGGCTTCGGTCCCATATCCTTCCCCACGCCAGGCCCAGGCCCTGGCCCCCAACTAGGGGCAGTTGGGAAGTAGAGGTGGGAGGACCGCTTGAGTCTGGGAGTTCCACGCTACAGTGAGCTGTGAGGGACCAATTGTGCCCCGGCCTGGGAAACAGAGCAAGAGCGTGACTCAAAACGAAGCAAAACAAAACAAAACAAAACAAAACTGAATACTAAAAAATAAATGTTGGGCGGGTGCGGTGGCTCATGCCTGTAATCCCAGCACTTTGAGAGACGGAAGCGGGTGGATCAGGAGGTCAGGAGTTCAAGATCAGCCTGGCCAAGATGGTGAAACCCCGCCTCTACTAAAAATACAAAAAATTAGCTGGGAGTGGTGGTGGGCACCTGTAATCCCAGCTACTTGGGAGGTTGAGGTGAGAAATGCTTAAAACTCGGAGGCGGAGGATGCAGTGAGCTGAAATCGCGTCACTGTACTCCAGCCTGGGTGACAGAGTGAAACTCCGTCTCAAAAAAAAAAAAAAAAAAAAAAAATTAGCCGGCCGTGGTGGCGGGCGCCTATAGTCCCAGCTACTACGGAGGCTGAGGCGGGAGAATGGCGTGAACCTGGGAGGCGGAGCTTGCAGTGAGCCCAGATCGCGCCACTGCACTCCACCCTGGGTGACACAGCGAGACTCCATCTTAAAAATAAATAAATAAATAAATAAATACCTAAACGTTAATAGGCACATGCAGCTAGTGGCGACCATATTAGTGCAGAGCCACACGCATAAGGCTCCACTGATGTTATGCCCAGCCGCCGACTTATTCTTCAGCACCCCCAGCTCAGACCTCCCCGGCACCTTCTCAGGAGCTCTTTGGCGCTCCGCAGCCGCTGCACCTCGCGCTGGGCGTCCTCGTGGGCCTGCATGGTGCTGTCGGTCTTGTCCCGCAGGCGCTGCAGCTGTTCCTCTAGGGCCCGCCGCTCACTCTCGCTGTCGCTAAGCTGCTTCCGCAGGGTGCCCAGCAGGTCCTGGCTTGCCTCATAGCGCCCACGCATGTCCTGGGGCGCGGGGATCACAGAGTCTAGCGGGGGTCCTTTGAGGCCTCCAGAGCCCACCTACTCTCTTCTGGTTCCAGGGATACACACTAGCCTACGCTAGGCGGGGTCCAGGGCCTGGACCTGGCCTGGGGCAGGATAGGGGCCTAGGCCTGAGAGCCAGGCTCCCGCTCCCCTCCTATGTGCCCTCACCACCCTCTGAGCCCTCACCTCCCTGGGGTCCCGGACAACTCCTATCAAAGCCCCCCGGATGCCAGACAAACCCCCAGGCACACTAGTCTCCTGGGTTCTGACCCCACCCCCAGGGCTCCCAGGCTCCTCCTCCTTGCATCCTGGTTCCACTCTCAGACTCCTCCCTACCCTGGCTCTGCCCCTAGTTCCCAAGCTCTGATTCCCCTTGCTAGACCTTTTCCCAGGGTCCTGGCTCTGTAGACCAGGGACCTGTCTCCCTCTCTACCAGGACCCTAACACTGCCGCAGCCTCCTCCCTCCACCTGCCCAAGCGCCCACCCCCAGCTGCCCAAGCACCCCTACTTCTGGGCTGGCTTCACCGCAGAGCTCTCGGCCACCTCCTTCGGGATCCTGACACCCTCAGACACTTTCTCAGAGCTCTGGCTGCACCCCAAGGCGCTCGGACTCCTCCCCCGGACCCTGGCCCCGGACCTGCCCCCGCCCCGCCCCTACCCGGAGGGCGCCAGACGCTCCCTCCAGGCCTCTGGCTGAGCCCAGAACGCTCAAGCCCCTTCCTACCTGGACCTGCAGCTCGTGCTTGTGTAAGGTGGAGTGGATCAGGGCGAGCGTGGAGGAGTCTGAGCAGGCCGGGGAGGGGCCTCGGCGGGGTGAACGGCCTCGGCCGGGCGAGGAGCGCCGCGGTGGGGACGGGGTCTGCTGGGCCGAGAGCCCCCGCAGGCTGCCGAAGGAGTCATCCGCGGTGCGCTCGGAGCCGCTCAGCTGGACGCCGCTCTGTGTCCGACAGGACGGACTGAGGGTAGGGGAGGCAGGCAGAAGAAGGCCTCAGAGTTAGGAACCGCAGTGTTAGCTGGCAAAGACGCCCAGGTGAGGCTGGGGGCCGCCTCATCCCAAATGCTCCCTCCTACAAGAATCCTTCCTGATTTCACCTCCTCCGCTAGCTCAGTCCTCAGCTCACAGGTGGCCTCCAAAAGGGCCGTGCCTCCCCTCTGAGACTGGGGGCTCCCCAGGGCCGGGGGTGCTGAGCAGCTACAGCCTGGGTCCCAGGCCCCCACCCATTTGCAGTTCAGTCCCAGGCCACCAAAAGTCGTGGCGGGGGAGCCCAGGACTGCCTGGCAGTGCCCTGTCTTCCCACCTCTTTGGGCTCACACCTGTGCCAGGTCCCTTAGGCTCTGCTGTAGCCCCTCTCCGTCCTCTGTCTCCAGGGCCACCTGCTCCTGTAGCCGCAGGGATTCCTGGAGTGTAGTTAGGGAGACAAAGGGTGGTCCTGGTTCTGTCTTATCTGAAACCTCCCATTCCCCTCCCTTCCTGGTCCACCACTGACCAGGTGGCCTCTGAAGCTATGTCCATAGGCCAGACATCTGGTAGACCCCACAGCAGGCCCGAGGCCCTCAATGAACAGACCAGGCGCAGAGAACAGCTGTGTCCTGCCCCAGGTCACACAGTCGATTGGAGGAGAGCCGGACCTAGAACCCAGGCCAGGCCCCACACAGAGGGGTGACCAAACCAGGCTGTACCCTGGGGGAGTGAGTGTCCCACTAGTGGGGATGGGCAGCTGGGATTCCAGAGGCAGCATCTGGACCTGGAGAGCACGGATGGGAGTTCAAGTCCCGACTCTCCAGCTTACTGGCTCTGAGACTGGACAAGCATTTCCCCTCTTGGGCCTCAGTTTCCCCATCTGTGTCATGAGGATTATGCTACAGGGCTGCTGGGAGGAAGAAATGGGATGGAGGAGGTGAATGTTCTTACCACAAAGCCTGCACACCTGTGAGGGCTGAACCTGAGTGTGAGTGGGATGCTGGGGGTGGTCCAGGCAGCCCAGCCCTAAGCCTGCGTCCATGGATCTGGCCGGTACCCCATCCCACCCTGCCCCATCTCAGGGGCAGCTGCAGCTCACCAGGGCCTCAAGCTTCTCGGTGAGGTCCGTGTTGACCTGATCCTTCTCCGGATTCTGCTTCTGAAGACGCTTCACTGCCAGGCCCAGCTCTGTCACTCTGGAGTTGGGGGAGCAACAGAGGTGAATACGGGACCACCCCAGCCTCTCAAATCCACTAGCTCTGTGTCCACCATGCTTCTCCAAACCCGAGGGAGGGACCCTAACATCCACCTCCCTGGCTGTGTGACCTTAAACAAGTTGTGGCTCCTCTCCAGACCTCACACTTCTCATCTGTGAAATGGGAATGAGGTTCCCACCAGCTTTATCTCATGGGAAAACACTGGAGGACTTGTCCAGGTGGCAGGAGTAAGGGGCACAAGTTGTTTTTTTGTGGTTTTCTTTTGAGACAGAGTTTCGCTGTGTCATCCAGGCCGGAATACAGCGATGTGATCTTGGCTCACTGCAACCTCCACATCCTGGGTTCAAGCGATTCTCCTGTCTCAGCCTCCCTCGTAGCTGGGATTAGAGGCACACACCACCACACCCGGCTAAGTTTTGTATTTTTAGTAGAGACAGGGTTTCGCCTGTTAGGCAGGCTGGTCTTGAGCTCCTGACCTCAGGTAATGCCCCACCTTGGCCTCCCAAAGTGCTGGGATTACAGGTGTGATCCCGGCCACAAGTTCTGTCATAAGAGGCTAAGCTGTTTATGATATACACTGGGCAAGTGCCTCAGAAACTCAGTTGGGTGCCTGGGAAGACTGGCTGAGCTCACAGAGGAAGGCCCTGCTCCTAGTGAACAGATGCTCCCTTCTCCCCAACTCTCCAGTTTTACCTTCTGCAAGGACGCCTGCCCCATGTGGCACCCACCAGGGACCCACCTGGCACTGAGGTCAGCCTTGTCCAGGTCACTTTGCATCTGCTGCTGGGCCAGGTCCTTCTAGTGGAGCACCTTGTCCCGCAGCTGCTCCTCCAGCTGGGCCTGCAGCAGGGCCTGCTTCTCCAGGGCTGCCTTGGCCCGGCTCTTTGCCAGCCACAGGCCCGTGCTCAGTCCCAGGCCCGCCTCCTGGACAGCTCGTGATGTCCGGGCCAGCTCCCCTCCCAGCTGCAGCAGGTCCTTTGGGAGAGAGCACAGGATGGGGATGGGATGGGGCTCGCTCCCAACTACAAATTAAAACTACGCTGAGGCCAGGCGTGGTGGCTCACACCTATAATCCCAGCATTTTGGGAGGCCGAGGCGGGCAGATCACCTGAGGTCAGGCATTTGAGACCAGCCTGGGCAACATGGTGAAACCCCGTCTCTACTAAAAATACAAAAAATTAGCCAGGCGTGGTGGCGCACTCCTGTAGTCCCAGCTACTTGGGTGGCTGAGGTGGGAGGATCACTTGAGCCTGGGAGTTCAAGCCTAAGTGAGTTGTGATTGTGCCACTGCACTCCAGCCTGGGCAACAGAGAGAGACTGTCTCAAAAAAAAAAGAAAGAAAAAGTATTTTAAGTCCATAATACAGGTTAAATCCTTTCCTTTCCTGAATGAACTGTACCACTGGTTATCCAATAGTAAGGAGGGAAAGTGCCTCATTCCAGAATTCTAATTAATATACACAGGAGTGACTAAATGAGAAGCTCACAGTTTTGCAGCCTCTGATGAGTGGGTTGGATCTTGAAAAGAAAGACAGCTGGCATAGGGGCATCCTGCTGGAAGAACACATTCTACTTATGGAGTCTTGATCAAACAAAAAAGCAAGCAGAAGAACCTGAATCTGACCTAGCTTTAGATCCAACATCCAATTTACAGGAAATACATGGGATAAAGAAACATGTTAATTGACACCATAAGGATGCAACCAGCAAAATCCAGACCATGAGAATCTCCAAGGACAATTGGCCCAGTTTCCTGAACAAATAAGTTAAAAGGGACTTCAAAGACAAAGCATGGGCCGGCCACAGTGGCTCACTCTTGTAATCCCAGCACTTTGGGAGACCAAGGTAGGTGGATCACCTGAGGTCAAGACCAGCCTGGCCAACATGGTGAAGCCCCCATCTCTACTAAAAACACAAAAGTTAGCTGGGCGTGGTGTCGCACTCCTGTAATCCCAGCTACTCAGAAGGCTGAAGCCATAGAATTGCTGAACCCAGGAGGGAGAGGTTGTAGTGAGCCAAGATCCTGCCACTGCACTGCAGCCTGGGCAACAAAGCGAGACTCCATCTTGGAAAAAAAAAAAAAAGAGACAAAGCAACCATTTATATTTTGTGAATGTCTATGGATCCAGATTCAAACAAATTGTAAAGAAAAAACTAAAGCAAGACTATCTGTGACTTTTGTTTTTGAGACAGAGTTTCACTCCGTCACCCAGGCTGGAGTGCAGTGGTGTGATGTCGACTCACTGAAACCTCCACCTCCTGGGTTCAAGCGAGTCTGGTGCCTCAGCCTCCCCAGTAGCTGGGATTACAGGCATGTGTCACCACACCTGGATAATTTTTGTATTTTTAGTAGAGATGGGGGTTTCACCATGTTGGCCAGGCTGGTCTCGAACTCCTGACCTCAGATGATCCACCTGCCTCGGCCTCCCGAAGTACTGGGATTATAGGTGTGAGCACCTGGCCTATCTGTGACATTTATGAGACATATGGAAAATTTAGACACTGGCTATTCGATGATATTAAGAAAAGATTATTAAACCAGTTGTGGTTGCTGTAATCCCACACTTTGCCTGTAATCCCAGCACTTTGGGAGGTCAAGGCAGGGGGATCACTTGGGCTCAGGAGTTCAAGACCAGCCTGGGCAACAAAGTGAGACCTCGACTCTACAAGAAATAAAAAAATCAGCAAGCCTGGTGGCATGCACCTGTGGTCCCAATTGCACAGGATGTGAGGTAGGAGGATTGCTTCAGACCAGGAGGCCGAGGCTGTAGTGAGCCATAAAGAAAAGAAAAGATTACTAACTAAAATGTTCTTAACGCACTAAATGAAATACCTTGGCCTCCTGCCTTGGGGCTCTCTCCGCAGCCTCCCCGACACTACTGTTGAGCTGACTGCTCACACCAATCAGACACCCCTGCTCAAAGATCAGGCAGGCCCAAGCTCCCCCGCTGAGGCAGGCTCTCCTTTCCCTGTACCAGCTCTTCCTTGCAACCCCCTGGCTGTCATGGGCTCCCACCTCCATGCCTTTGCTCATGCCTTGCTCCTGCTTGGAGCGCCTGCTGCTCTGCTTCAACCCTACCCATCCCTTGATGCTCTGAGCAAATTCCATCTCCACAAATTGGTTTTTCTGACCTCCCCACCCCTCCCATCCTTCTGAGCCTCCAGGACATTCCTTCTGTCCCACGTACATATCACTGACCACTCGCTTCCTCAGTCTAGAATTTTGGGGATCTACATCTTTTCATCACAAGAGGCTGTGAGGTCCTTGGTAGCAAAGCTGAATATTCTAGCGGATTAAAATCAGGAACTTCAGCCTGGCATGGTGGCTCAGCTATAATCCCATGGTGGCCTATAATCCCAGCACTTTGGGAGGCTAAGGCTCCGCCTGAGCTCAGGAGTTCGAGACCAGCCTGGGCAACATGGTGAAACCCCGTCTCTACTAAACTACAAAAAAAGTTAGCCAGTCGTGGCGGCATGTGCCTGTTATCCCAGCAACTTGGGAGGCTGAGGCAGGAGAATTGATTGAACCAAGGAGGTGGAGGTTGCAGTGATCCAAGATCGTGCCACTGCACTCCAGTCTGGTGACAGAGTGAGACTCCATCTCAAAATAAATAAATAAATAAATAAATAAATAAATCAGGAACTTCAAACTCTGACTCAGCCACTTATGTACTACTGTGCCACCTCAGGAAGATCACTCAACCTCTCTGTACCTCAATGTCCTCATCTATAAAATGGGAATGAACACAGTTCCTACCTCACAGGGAAGCTATGAATATTAGTTGAAATGAAATATACAAAGAGCCTAGCCCAGAGTAAACATCTAATAAATGCTGACTGCCACGACTGTGGTAATGGTTATTACAAGTTGCCTCTGTGTCCTCACAGGCCCTTGTGCACAGCAGGTGCATTGAGTTGAACTGAAATTCAACTGAGTTGAGTTGGATGTAAAGAGCAGGGCTGGCTCTCAGCTGCTGCCCATCCCTGGCCAGGCCTCACCTCTCGGTGAACATCTTCACCTCGCTGACCAGCCGCCGGAACCCCACCACCTGCCTCCATAGCAGGAGCAGGTGATTGTGCTTCTTGCTGAAGTAGGCATTGAAAGACTGGAGGGAAGACATGCCGAGGGAAGGGTTGGGGTGAGAGCGGGTTTACTCCCTCCCACTGCTTCCCTCATCTCCGACCATCCTGGGAGGCACCGTCGTTCAGGGATTGGGTCTTCCTGTGGGTCTGTGCACAGAGCTGTGTCGCAGCAGCCACGCTCAGCCTCCCAAGCCTCATGGCTCCCTCCTGCACAGGGACCTGGGTTTCAAGTCCCCTTTTGGCTGCAAGAGGCAGCAAGGAAGGGCAAAAATGCAAGTGACCTAGCTTTGCATCCCAGCTGCCAGTTGCATGACTGTGGGCAGGTTACTTAATCTCTCTTTATTTATTTATTTTGAGACAGAGTCTTGCTCTGTTGCCCAGGATGGAGTGCAGTGGCATGATCTCTCAGCCTCCCAAATAGCTAGGATGACAGGCGTGCACCATCACGCCCAGCTAATTTTTGTATTTTTAGTAGAGACGGGGTTTCACCATGTTGGCCAGACTGGTCTCGAACTCCTGACCTCAAGTGATCCGCCTGCCTCAGCCTCCCAAAGTGCTGGGATTACAGGCGTGAGCCACTGCGACCGGCCTTAACCTGTCTTTAAAATCAGGAGGATGATAGCACCTACCACATGCAGTTATCACCAGGAATAAAGGTCAACGCACACCGTGCACGTGGTACATGCTACGCATTGATAAAGACCAGCTATTGTGATGATGGCTATTTACTTCTGCTAACAGGCTCCCTTGGACAGTGCTCCCTCTCCCTCTCCAGGCTTCTGAGTCCTCCCTCCTCTGCAGTGCCCCTCCCCTTGGGTCAGGCTGGCCTCCCTGCACCCCCATGCCCACCTCCTCCTCGCGCCTCCATGCCGCCTCCCGCTGCTCCAGCTCCTTGCGGCTGCGTGTCCAGTCATTGGTCACCTTTTGTATGTCCTCACTCAGAGCCTGGTTGGCCGAGCCTGCCTGGTCCAGATGTTCTCGGAGCATGGCTTTCACCTGGGCCAGGCTGGCACTCCTGAATAGGGCAAAGGGGATCAGTAGGCGCTTGCCCAGGGGGCCATGCTGCCAGCCCTGGCCCTCCCTGTTGTGCCCCCACCTCTGCGGCTCCTCCTCCAGCCGGATGAGGGCACTCTGCAGGTCTTGGCTGTGCTCTGTGTCCTGGGTGGGAGAGAGGTTAAAGCATCAGGCAGGGCAGGTGGAGGGCAGGGGCAGGCCTGCCCCTGCCCCACCCTGGCACCCACCCTTAGCCGCTGCTGCTCCAGCTCTCCGGATCTCTCCAGCAGCTGCTGCTCCAGCTCCGAGTACCTCTTCTTGTACTGGAGAATGTGGGGATGGGGAGCTGATGGTGACCCCCATGGGTGGGGGCAGGGCAAAATGAACATGTGGGAGGGCAGGAGCAGGAGTGGGTGGCCCTGACCTTGCCCTGCAGCCGCTGCACACAAGCTGGGCCTGCCGCTGCTGGCCCTCCAGGTAGGCCTGCAGCTTGCGCTGGTAGGAGGCCTGCTCCTCCTGTAGCTGCCTCTGCAACTCCAGGCTCTGGGGTGGGGGCTGAGGAGGGAGGGGATGGAAAAGGACAGGAGAGGAGGGAAGCAGAGGTGGGGAGCCAAAGGAAGAGGAAGGATGAAGAGAGGGGAGGAGAAGGGAGAGAAAGGGAGGGAGGAGAGAGAAGAGGGAATGGGGGGAGGAAAGGAGGGGAGGCAGCTGGAGGTCAGGACCTCACACACTCTTCACCCTCCGCAGGTTGTTGGGTCCTAGAGCCCTCCAAGCCCAGGGGGTGGGGTCAGTAGCCACGTAGTGCGAAAGGCCAGAGTCCTAAGTATTTGGGATCATCTTTGCTGGCCCAGAACGGGGGTCACAAGGTTAGCTAAGAATGAGAGGATTTACGTTTTCCCACAACAGGTGTAGGGCAAAGAATGCAGGCTGTGAGATCAGCCAGGCCAGGCTTGGCACTTAGTTGGGCAAGAGCGGTCCAGCCTGGACTGATGAGCATTTATGCAACACCTGCAGCATTCCTAGGTCTGACCTAGACAGAGTGGTAGAGCCTCGAACTACAAATGCCCTAGCCTTGCCCTTCAGGCACTTATTGGGAAGCTTCTGGCCCCTTCACACCCACCCCAGCCCCTACTAGCTGGGTGCACCAGGGACAGTGACTCTGCCTCTCTCTGAGACTCAGTGTCCTCTTACGTAAGATGTGAATAATATTGGTACTCACCTCACAGAGCTGTCCGGGGATGAAACAGAATATCGTGTGTGCATAACCAGCACATGACACGGTGCCGGGGGGACACACGGTCAACACTCAAGAAATACTCATTTCCTTCATTTGAAAATGCAAAAGGCACAGTCCTGCCAGGCATGGGCACTCACACCTGTAATCTCAGCATTTTGGGAGGCCAAGGCAGGCGGATCACCTGAGGTCAGGAGTTCGAGACCAGCCTGATCAATATGGCGAAACCCCATCTCCACCAAAAATACAAAAATTAGCCGGGTGTGGTGGCACATGCCTGTAATCCCAGCTACTTGGGAGGCTGAGGCAGGAGAATCAATTGAACCTGGGAGGCGGAGGTTGCAGTGAGCTGAGATCATGCCATTGCACTCCAGCCTGGGCAACAAGAGCGAAACTTTGTCTCAAAAAAAAAAAAAAAAAAAAGGCACAGTCCCTATATCCCAGGGCCCTGAGACCCAGAGGTCACCCACAACCTCCCATTGTTCTTTCCCTGGGGCAAGGAGGCTATGTGCTCTAGTGCTTAGGCGCACAGCTCTGGAGTCAGTATCAGGTCTGAGGTTGCATCTGAGACCCAGCTCTGTCACTTGCAACTATGGTCTTAAGACAGTTCATGACCTTGAACAGGTTACCTCCCTGAGCCTCAGTTTTCTCATCTCTAAAAGGAGACTAGACCAGGCCAGGCGCAGTGGCTCAAGCCTGTAATTCCAGCACTTTGGGAGGCTGAGGCGGGCAGATCACTTGAGGTCAGGAGTTCGAGACCAGCCTGGCCAACATAGTGAAACTCCATCTCTACTAAAAATACAAAAATTAGTCTGTAATCCCAGCACTTTGGGAGGCCAAAGTGGGCAGATCACGAGGTCAAGAGATTGAGACCATCCTGGCCAACATGGTGAAACCCCGTCTCTACTAAAAATACAAAAATTAGCTGGGCATGTTGGTGCATGCCTGTAGTCCCAGCTACTTGTGAGGCTGAGTCAGGAGAATCGCTTGAACCTTGAAGCTGACTGTGGCATTAAAGACATCAGTTAGCTTGTCTGTTGTTCCCAGAATACCAGCCCAGTAGTGGGAGGGCCTACCTTGTTCACCTCCCTATCACTCGCATTTTGAGTGTCACCAACCCATGCCCACAGTTCCCTGGAAGATCGCTATGGTTACCGAGCAGAGGCACGGAGGAAGCCCCAAGAGGCCACACTGCAATGAGCGGAGATCACACCACTGCACTCCAGCCTGGCAACAGAGTAAGACTCTGTCTCAAAAAATAAATAAATAAATAAATAAATAAATAAATAAATAAATAAATTAGCTGGGGCGTGGTGGCATGTGCATATAATCCCAGCTACTCAGGAGGCTGAGGCAGGGGAATCACTTGAACCCAGGAGGAGGAGGTTGCAGTGAGCCAAGATTGTGCCACAGTACTCCAGCCTGGGTTACAGAGCAAGACTCTGTCTCAAAAAAATAAAATAAAATAAAATAAAATGATACTAGACTGGGTGTGGTGGTTCAGGTCTGTAACCCCAGCACTTTGGGAGGCCAAAATGGGAGAATCGCTTGAGCCCAGGAGTTTGAGACCAGCCTGGGCAACATAGCGAGACTCTGTCCTACCAAAAACAACAAAAAAATGCGACTGATAGTACCTACCACACCTGGCAGGTGGTGAGCTATTAGCCAATGGTGGCTGCTGTTCCTATTGTCATTAGCATCACGTGTCTGGCCTCCTGCCCTTAGAGTTGTAAGCCCTGAAAAAGGACAGGAATTGCTCACTCGAGGAGCTCGGCTTTTAAGACACAAGTCTCCTGAAGTTCCCGGCCGAATAAAGCTCCTTCCTTCTTTAACCTGGTGACTGAGGAGTTTTGCCTGCGGCTCGTCCTGCTACACTGCTATGCCTCAGCCCTTGACCTCTGGGTGCCCGCTGCTCCATGCTGTGCCCCAAAGGGGGCATATTCACATTATCTCATTAAATCCTTACTTCAACCCATTTCCAGATGAGAAAACTGAGGCTCAGAGAGATTGGGCTCTCACCTATTCAAGGCGACATGCTTCAGGGAAGTGGTGAGCCCAAAGCTCATTCCACTTAGACCAGCAGCCTCCCAATGAGTGACTGAAGGGCAAGGCCGAGGCATTTGTGCTTTGAGGCTCTACTTCTGTATCCAGGTCAGACCCAGAATGCCACGGTGCTGTATAAATGCTCATCAGTCCAGGCTGGACCGCTCACGCCCAACTAAGGAACCTGCCCTGCAAATGGAAAACCAAGAAACAGGGCCAAAAAGATAAATGTTGCCAAGTTGCAATGGCAAGCAAGCCAGATTTGGGCAAAACCAAACCAGCCACTGGCCAGGTGCGGTGGCTCATGCCTGTAATCCCAACACTGGGAGGCCAAGGCAGGTGGATCGCTTGAGGTCAGGAATTCTAGACCAGCCTGGCCAATGTGGTGAAACCCCGTCTCTACTAAAAATACAGAAATTAGCTGGGCATGGTGGTGGGTGCCTGTAGTCCCAACTACTCGGGAAGCTGAGGCACAAGAACCACTTGAAACTGGGAGGTAGAGGTTTTGGTGAGCTGAGATCGCACCACTGCACTCCAGCCTGGGTGACAGAGAGAGACTCTGTCTCAAAAAAAAAAAAAAAAAAGAAAACTAATCCAGCCAGCAGCATAGAGCTGCCACTACAAACCCCAGGGACGCCCACTCTTCTACCTCTAGGCAGCCTCCAAAAATCCCCTCTACAGGTTGCACACCTGCCCACCAGAGCAGGGGGGAAGCCACAAATACCCCTGGACCAGCATGTCCAGCCCTGCATGCCTAGCTCAGCAGAGGGGGCCCCAGATGTCCTTGAGGGACTGAACTCAATTATTCTGTGCCTTCTCCTGACCACAGTCCTAAGGGTTGGGGGAAGGAGACAGGATGTCAGCCCCTGGCACCAGGTGACACCCACCCTTGGCTCCATCCCCAAAGTTCTCCCCCAGAGTCCTGCTGGGTTCTGTGGGTCCCAGGAAGTCATATCTGAACCCCGTGTATATGTCCACTGCTTCCACCCAATTCTCCAAAAAAAAAAAAAAAAAAAAATGACTGAATTCCTCTTAGAAATCTGGATGCTAACAGCTTCAGCATCTGGCCACCTGGACTCCAATCTTGGCTCACCAGCCCCTCACCAGCTGTGTGACCCTGCACCAGTGTCTTCACTTCTCTGAGCTTCAGTTTCCTCATCTGCAAAATGGGATAATAATGGTGCCTGTTTCTAGCATGAGCATTAAATAAAATACTCCGTGCTAAGCTATATGCCTGGATATGGTGTGGCAGAAACTGCAATGTGCTCACCACAAAGCATTTCCGATTCCTCTTAGGAATATGGCTAAAAGCCATTTCCCAGACTCCCTTGCAGTCAGATACGGCCATGTGGTCAAGTTCTGGTCCATAGAATTAAGACAGAAAGACAGCGTGCCACTTTAGGCTTGGTCCATAAAATTATTTCTCTCCTTCCTGGTCCATCAGCTAGAAGGAAATAACTCCAAGGTCCTAGGGGATGCCGCAACCACAAGACAGAAGGGATCTCGGTCCCTGGGTCGCCACATAGAAAGCCACCTGCCAAACACCCAACAGGGCTTTTCATGAATGAGAAATAAACTTCTATTGCGCTAAGCCTCTGAGAATTCAGGGTTTCACTATCACATTAGCTAGTGTTACCTTAATTACTACCTGCAGTTCAACAGCGGGTAAGTGTTGGCTATTACTACTGTTATCATTACTATCATGAGTATTATTGGCTCTTTCTAGTCCCCAAGCTAGAACCCTGTGCCTTGTTCTAGATGCTGAGACATTATTTGGTGACCAAATACAGAGGAGACACCCTTTGTACCCTTCCCTCCCCACTACCACCCTCCAAACTTGCCTTTTGCCAGGGCTAGCGGCAGGAACTAGCCAAAAAGCCCCTCAAAGATTACTCGTTTCAAACATAGCAGCTGCTCTTATCCGCTTACCCCTTCATTATCCTCCTGCTGCTGACTAGAAATTATGACAAAAATATTGAACCAACCACGAGCCAGGCCCTGTGCCCAAAACGTTACATCTGTCCCTTACCTGCTTTAACACTCCTGGCACCACCCTACTCACTTTACAGATGACAGCGTGAAGTCTCAGCGAAGTTAAATAATTGGCTCCAATGCACCCAGCCACAAAGAGCTCAAGTCACAGCCGCGACCTAGGTGTGCCTGATTCCAAAGGGTTTTTGTTTTTTGTTTGTTTGTTTTGTTTTGTTTTGTTTTTGAGATGGAGTCTCACTCTGTCACCCAGTCTGGAGTGCAATGGCACAATCTCGGCTCACTGCAACCTCCGCCTCCTGGGCTCAAGCAATTCTCCTACCTCAGCCTCCTGAGTAGCTGGGATTACAGGTATGCGCCACCGCGCCCAGCTAATTTTTGTATTTTTAGTAGAGACAGGGTTTCACCATGTTGGCCAGGCTGGTCTCAAACTCCTGACCTCAAGTGATCTACCCGCCTCGGCCTCTCAAAGTGCTGGGATTATAGGCATGAGCCACTGCGCCCAGCCCAGAGTTTTAAATAATAACAGCAAGCCGGGTGCAGTGACTCACACCTGTGGTCCCAACACTTTGGGAGGCTGAGGTAGGAGGATTGCTTGAGCCCAGGAGTTTGAGACCAGCCCTGGCAACATAGTGAGAATCCATCTCTACCAAAAAAAAAATACAAAAAATTGGCCTGGCATGGTGGCATGCACCTCCTGTAGTCCCAGTTCCTTGAGAGGCTGAGGCAGGAGGATTGCTTGAGCCTGGAAGGTTGAGGCTGCAATGAGCCATGGTTGTGTCACTGCACTCTAGCCTGGGTGATAGAGCAAGACCCTGTCTCAAATAAACAAAACCAGTAACGGCAATGACTTCCATCCTGCAGCGCCTGCTGTGTACCTGGCACCACCCCAGGACGCCGATGTGTATTATATAAGCCACTGCCTGGACTGCTGAGATGGCTCCCCGAGGGTCTCTATGCTTCCTGCTCATCCCCTCACCCACTCAAGTTTCACACAGTAAAGGTCATATCCCTCCCCTACCCAAGGCCCTCTACTAGCCCTTACCGCACCTAAAATGAAGTTCAAAGTCCTTCCATGGCCCACAGGGCCCACCAGATCTGGTCCCACTCCACTTCTCCCACCTCATCTCCTTTTTTTTTTTCTTTTTTTTTTTTTTTTGAGGCAGAGTCTTGTTCTGTTGCCCACGCTGGAGCTAGAGTGCAGTAATGCACGATCTCTGCTCACTGCAACCTCTGCCTCCTGGGTTCAAGCAATTCTCCTACCTCAGCCTCCCGAGTAGCTGGGATTATAGGCATGAACCACCATGCCCAGCTAATTTTTGCATTTTTAGTAGAGATGAGGTTTCACTGTATTGGCCAGGCTGGTCTTAAACTCCTGACCTCAAGTGATCCACCCACCTTGGCCTCCCAAAGTGCTGGGATTACAGGTGTGAGCCACCACACCCGGCTGCTCATGGCCTTCTTGATTCCTCAAACACCAGGCATGCACCCACCTCTGGGCCTTTGCACTGCCACTTTCTCTGCCTGGGACGCTCTTCCCTCTTCCTTTGCACAGCTGACTCCCCCGCTTGTCGGCCAGATTTTTGCTCAAAAGTATCACCTTCTGAGGGACCTACCCCTGACTCTCAGCTAAAGAGGTCCCTCCAGTGGCTGTTCCGTTTTCTCCAACATGTATGTTGTCTGTCTCCTCCTTTTTTTTTTCTTTGAGACAGGGTCTTGCTCTGTTGTCCAGGCTGGAGTGCAGTGGCAAAATCATGGCTCACTGCAGCCTTGACCTCCTGGGCTTAAGGGAGGCCCAGGAGGGGGGGCCTCTGGGAGGCCACCTCAGCCTCCTGAGTAGCTGGGACCACAGGTGCATGCCACCATGCCTGGCTAATTTTTTACTTGTTGTAGAGATGAGATGTTGCCCAGGCTAGTCTCCAACTCCTGGGCTCAAGCCGTCCTCCCACCTCAGCCTCCCAAAGTGCCAGGTTGGCTTAGTTCACTGCCACTTCCACAGTGCATGGGCTAAGGCCAAAGCTCCATGAAGAGCTGCTGAATGAATTAATGAATGCTAAGAGCCAAGGACACCAGCGAACACATATCCAGCATCTGCCGCATCCCAGAAGTTCAGGGTGAAAACCAGGGAGTGACCCCCACAGGGGCCACCTGGGTGGAAAGGGGGCCTCCCCTCCTAGGGCTGAAAGACTGGGGAGGGGAGGGTTAAGTCAGGGAAATGTGCGCGGGTGGGGAGCCTCCGAGATCCAGGGGTTGACTCCTGGAGTCGTGCCTGAACCTCGCTGTCCTCTGCTCCCGCCACAAGATCTGTTTATTAAGCACCTGCTGTGAGCCCAGCGAAAGAAAACAGAAATCTGTTTTCTGGCGTAAACAGACAGATGGCACCCTGAAGGCCCCCTCCCCAGGGTCCCCATTCCCCAGTCAATCGTCTTCCCAAGGGAGCTGTGACCTGGTCACCAGAGGGGCAGACATCCGCCCCAGCACGGTCGTCAGGCTTAAGTCTGTGTGAAAATCAGGAGGGAGCTCGTTCAAAATGCCCACTCCAGAGACGCTGCCGGGCACAGGGGCCTGAGGCCCCATGGTGAGAGGCGCAAGGGGTGCAGGGCCCCATCCCCGCACAGCATCCGGCGGCCCTGCCTCCGTGGCCAGCCCAACCGCGCGCTCTGGGCCTCAGTTTACCCATCCGCACAATGGAGATGCTTCCGACTCGGCAGGGTTGCAATGAAGACGAAACCGCGTCCCACACTAGGAGGGCAGTGCAGGGCGGGGCCCGCACGCAGGAGCTGCAGAGGGCATCTGCGAGGGGTAGCGGCCGTCGCGAGGGCCTCCCACGGCCGCCCGCGGAGCGAGGGGACCCCGACCGGCGGAGGGACGGCTGCGCCCTGCAGGCCGCTGCGCCCAGGCAGGCCTCTGCGCCCGGGCAGGCCTCGGCCTCCTGTCGCGCCCCCGGCCCGCGACAATCCCGGCAGGATGGGCGGCAGGACGCGGAGGGGCATCTGCGGAGCCCGTCGGGAACGCCCTCTTGGCTTCCGGTGCCGGGCAGCGGCGGGCGCGGCGCCCACAGCGCCCCTAGCCCCGGGACTTGGCTCCAGCCCGCCCCCAGGCGAACGGCCTCCTTCGCCCGGAGCGCGTCGGTCCAGCCCCCGCGCACGCGCGCACCCCCAGCCTCCTACCTTCGCTCGCCTTCTCCGCAGCCGCTGCCGCCGAGGCCGAGGGGCCGCACCGGGTGCGGCGGGGCGGGGCGTCCCTTCCACTAGGCGGGGAGAACCGGGGGCGGAGCCTGCGCCGCGCGAGAGAGGCTCAGGCCGGGGCGGAGGCGAGGCCGGGGCCGAGGCGGGGGCGGGGGCGGGGCCGGGCGCCAGGGGCCGCGGGTCTGCGGCGCTTACAGGGACCACCCTGGGCGGAAACGCCTGGTGAGCCCTCCCGCTTGCAGCCTCGCACCGCCGGGCAAGCTAGGCTCCTCCTGCACGCACGAAGGAGGATTCCACAGGAACGAACCACGACCCCCAAGGTTTCGCAGTTGTAAGACCGCAGCGCAGGATCGAAACCCCGACCCGGCTGCAGAGTCCCCCTGCGGTTTGGCCGGGCCTCAAAGGCCTGAAACTCCTGACCCATCGCCCAGCCAGAACGAGGGGACGTTTCATGCCAGCCCTGTCACAGCCCCCAACGACGATCCCGAAGCTTCGGTGATTTGACCGGTCAGAGAGAATGCCTTTGTTTTCCTGACTGACGTGCAATCCTGGGGAAGGCACTCTGGCCTCATTTTGTTCGGGAGACTCAACCCGGCGGCGCGCCTGTCTCGTGTCCTTTCTACTGTAACAATATGTTCGTTTCAACCCCCGACTGGGCTTCGACCTCCTTCTGTTATTGAAGGCATGGGATGAAATCATTCTTCTTTTTTTTTTTTTTTTTGAGGGAGTCTCACTCTATTGCCCAGGCAGTGGTGTAATCTCGGCTAAATGCAACCTCCGCCTCCCGGATTCAAGAGATTCTCCTGCCTCAGCCTCCTGAGTAGCTGGGACTACAGGCGCCCGCTGCCACGCCCGGCTGATTTTTTTTTTTTTTTTTTTTTTTGAGACGGAGTCACCCAGGCTGGACTGCAGTGGCGCGATCTCGGCTCACTGCAAGCTCCGACTTCCCGTTTCCCGCCATTCTCCTGCCTCAGCCTCTCTGAGTAGCTGGGACTACAGGTGCCCGCCACCACGCCGGGCTAATTTTTTGTATTTTTAGTAGAGACAGGGTTTCACCGTGGTCTCGATCTCCTGACCTCATGATCTGCCCGCCTCGGCCTCCCAAAGTGCTGGGATTACAAGCGTGAGCCACTGTGCCCGGCCAAATTTTTGTATTTTTAGTAGAGACGGGGTTTCACCATATTGGCCAAGCTTGTCTCGAACTCCTGACCTCGCGATCCACTCGTCTTGGCTTCCCAAAGTACTGGGATTACAGGCGTGAGCCACCGCACCCGGCCGAGATCATTCATTTTCAAAGGGAGAGGCAGCTCTGAATCTCTAGGGCTAAGAGAGGGATGTGTTTGGTTTGAAAAAGCATGTTTAATTTAATGATTTTGTGTTTTTTCCAAACACAGTACCCAGAGAGAACGGCCAGCAGGCCCGCGGCTGATGGTTGCTTCTGTGTTTCCTGCGTGGTAGGAGGGAAGCAGTGGAAGTTCCATCTTTGTCAAAGAGGAACCTGTCTGTGACATCTGAAACACTGCACTAAAGGCTGCCAGTGTGCCCTTCGGGCTCTGAAACCCGGCCCAGTGCAAGCAAGACTGTGGCCTGGACCAGGGCTGAGAGCTGTTTGTCAGGAGAGATTCGGGCCATTCCCTGGGGTTTGGGTTGGAAGGGTGATGTTACCAAGATTGGAAGGAAGGTCACAGTTTCCCTGAGGTGTCCCTGGCCCAACTGCAGGAGGGCTGACTGACATCTGCCAGTATGCACAGCCAGTCCCTGGATGCCCAGCATGGCCCAGGTCTGTGTGACCCTGTCTGGAGTCCCCAGACTTGCTATGTCCCTACCCAGGCCCTGGTGGGCTCATGACCTCCCCAGTCCAGTTCTGATGCTGCCTGTCCCTGTGAAGCCCACTCCAGTGTTCATATCACCAGGGCTGGGCTCAGGCCTGTGTCCTTGCCCCTCTCTCCAGGGCATCTTGGGTCTCCCTTGGTGACAGTACCTGCACCCTGCGGGCAGCCTGCGCTGGCTGTGAACCACACTGCCGCCTACTTCCTCTTCTATGTTCCCGCTCTGTCCACAGTCCCCTCTGAACACTCCCGTGAAGCAGGTTCTAGGATCATCTCCATTTTATAGAAGGGGAGATTGAGGATCAGAGACATGCAGTCATTTGCCCAAGGACACACGCAGGAAGTTCAATGGCTTCCAATCCCATGCTCTTTCCTCTACACCGTGCTGACTCACTTGAGGTTTTAACAGGGGGCGGCAAACACAGCTCCTCTCCCCTTGACCCTCTCACTCCCAAAGCCCATAGGACCCTGCTGCAGGGTGGCACATACTTAACCTCCTTGGGGGGGCCTCCAGCTCCCCTCTCTGTGTAGAGCCTACGTTCCCTGCTGTGCTGAGTCCTTGGCTCTGCTCAGCTCAGCCTGACCGGGCTGCGGTCATTTGAATCCCCAGTGCTGCCGCCCACCGGTCACCCTGTCCTGTCACCAGGTGGTGACTGGCCCAGTGACCCCCAAGACCACCCGCCAGAAAAGAATCATGCCAGGTGCTCACCTGCTCACTGCAGAGGGCTCTAAATCTGCAACTCAGGTAACAGGGAAACAACTGATTGGAGTTACCACCCTCAGGTTGCTAAGGCCAAGTGCCTGCCAAATCCAGCGGCTCGGCTGGGGTGGACTCTGCCCACCATCAGCAAAACGACATTCACCAGGAGGCTTAGAGGTAATTGCTCTGGTTAACTGGATTTGCTGGGCATCTGAAGGCTAACTTGCAGAGTCTTTCTATCATGCCAGACTTTAATAGCAAAAAGTTAGAAAGACCTAAACATTCAGCAGTAGGGGACTTGTATAATAAACCATGGGTTATTCATATAATGGCACACTATGATGTCATTCCAAATGTTATAGAAGAACGTTCAATGACTGGACAGATGGTTACGATATATTAAGTGAAAGGTTCAGAAAAGTAATACAGAATAAGCCCATATTGTAAAAAAAAAAAAAAAAGATTTCCTTTTTTTTTTTGAGACGGAGTTTCGCTCTTGTCACCCAGGCTGAAGTACACTGGCGCAATCTCGGCTCACTGCAACCTCTGCCTCCTGGGTTCAAGCAATTCTCCTGCCTCAGCCTCCCAAGTAACTGGGATTACAGGCGCCTGCCACCACACCCAGCTAATTTTTGTATTTTTAGTAGAGGTGGGGTTTCAGTGTGTTGGCCAGACTAGTCTTGAATTCCTAACTTCAAGTGATCCACCCACCTCGGCCTCCCGAAGTGCTGGGATTACAGACATCATCCACCAGCCCAACAATTCACTCCTGACCCAATGATTAAAAAAAAAAAACTTGTAGGCCGGTTGTGGTGGCTCACAATGTACTACATTTGTAGACATTTTGGTGCCTTAATGTGAGCAAGGGTTGCACAAGTTTTGATAGGCATGTATTCCAGAGATGTATAGAAATTCTAGTTACTGGCTGGGCACGGTGGCTCATGCCTGTAATCCCAGCACTTTGGGAGGCCAAGGCGGTGGATCACGAGGTCAGGAGTTCAGGACCAGCCGGGCCAAGATGGTGAAACCTTGTCTCTACTAAAAATACGAAAATTAGCCGGGTATGGTGGCGGGCACCTGTAATTCCAGCTACTTGGGAGGCTGAGGCAGAGAATTGCTTGAACCCAGGAGATGGAGGTAGCAGTGAGCCGAGATTGTGCCACTGCACGCCAGCCTGGGAAACAGAGCAAGACTCTGCCTCAAAAAAAAAAAAAAAAAAAGCAGACATTCTAGTTACTTATAAATTTTTGGGAAAGAAGCCTGGAACTAGATTCTTGCTTTAGATAGTAAGGAACTCTAATTGCCTCTAAATTCCTCAGATAAGGAGTTTTGCCTCTGGATGGTCTGCTTTATGGCCACCAGGTGATTTTTGCTAGCCTTGGTGACCTTTTACGTGTAGGATTTTTTTTTTTTTGGATACGGAGTCTCGCTCTGTTGCCCAGGCTGGAGTGCAGTGGCGCAACCTCGGCTCACTGCAATCTCCCCTACTAGGGTTCTAGCGATTCTCCTACCTCAGCCTCCCAAGTACCTGGGATTACAGGCACCCGCCACCATGCCTGGCTCATTTTTTTGTATTTTAATAGAGATGGGGTTTCGCCATATTGGCCAGGCTGGTCTTGAACTCCTGACCTCAGGTGATCAACCCGAGGTTGGCCTCCCCAAGTGCTAGGATTACAGGCATGAGCCACCCTGCCCAGCCCTAACGGTGGGCTTTTTTTTTTTGAGGCAGGGTTTCACTGTCTCCCAGGCTGGAGTGCATGGAGAGCAGTTGTTCCAGCACAGTGATTACATGGTTTTTATATCATTCCATTTTCTTTCCTTTGTTGGCTTATTAGGTATAACTCTTTCTTTCTTCTGGTCCACCACTCCCTGACTTCTTTCCCTCCTTTTGCTTTTTCAGTGAAGGCTTCAGGGTTTCCAGAATACATCTTTATCAGTGCCATCTAGTGACATTATACCTCCCCTTCTGGCCATTATGCTAGTGTTGTCATGTAATTTGATTTTAGACATGTTATAAAACCCAGAATCCATTATTATTGCCTTTGTTTAATCGGTCAAATTATTTTAAAAGATTTAAATAATAAGAACATGTATATTTAACTGTGTACATACCGATTTCCAGTAGTCTCCATTTCTTTGTGTAGATGCAGATTTCTGTCTGGTATCCTTGTAGTGTGGGTTGCTGAATTCTTTCATTTTTTTGTATGTCTTTAAATGTCCTTATTTCAGTCACATTCTTGAAAGATTTTTCACTTTGACATAGAATTCTAGGAAAACTTTATTTCTTTCAGTACTTTAGGATGTTGCCACTTTGTTTTTGTAAAACTGGCATAAAGTTGGCTTCCTGTACTTATATAATTTTTGGAATGTGTATTTAAGTTAAAAACATTAAAATGGGCTGGACCAGGTGGTGCATGCCTGTAGTCCCAGCACTTTGGGAGGAGGAGACAGGAGGATCGCTTGAGGACCAGAGTTGGAGACCAGTATGGGCAAGATTGCAAGACCCTGTCTCTCTGTCTCTCATACACACACACACACACACACACACACACACACACACATCATGAATGTCTTAGATTCATTGTAAGTTCCACCGACAGTGTGCTTAAAGTAAAATGTGCCCAACCTGAGGGTCAAACCTACCTGCTGACATGTAGTTTGTGCTTGTGAGACATTCTCAACAGCATTTCCTTTCCCTAGCATAGTGGTTTTCGTGTTTTCCTCACACCTGAATGTCTTAAGTGCAAAACCTGTCAGTCAGAAATCATTTCCTTTGCCAAAAGATTCTAAAATACTTTTTTTTTTTTTTTTAGGCCAGGTGTGGTGGCTCACGCCTGTAATTCCAGCACTTTGGGAGGCCAAGGTGGACGGATCATGAGGTCAGGAGATCGAGACCATCCTGGCTAACATGGTGAAACCCTGACTCTACTAAAAATACAAAAACAAAATTAGCTGGGTGTGGTGGTGGGCGCCTGTAGTCCCAGCTACTCCGGAGGCTGAGGTGGGAGAATGGCGTGAACCCAGGAGGCGGAGCCTGCAGTGAGCTGAGATGGTGCCACTGCACTGCAGCCTGGGCAACAGAGCGAGACCCCGTCTCAAAATAAATAAATAAATAAATAAATAAATAAATAAATAAATAAATAAATAAAATAAAGTAAAATAAATTTTTTTGACATCAGCTCACTGCAACTTCCACTTCCCATGTTCACAGGATTCTCCCGCCTCAGCCTCATGAGTAGCTGAGACTACAGGCCTGCACCAACACACCCAGCTAATTTTTGTATTTTTAGTAGAGACAGAGTTTCACCATGTTGGCCAGGCTGGTCTCGAACTCCTGACCTCAAGTAATCTGCCCACCTCTGCCTCCCAAGGTGTTGGGATTACAGGCGTGAGCCACTGCGCCTGGCCAAAAATACTCTTACTTCAAGGAAAAGTGCTTTAAAAATAAACTTCTCAGTTGCATCCCTGGAATCCATAGAAAGCCCAGGAGAGACAATCAAGTACTACAGGATCAAGCATTAAACAGGGGAAGACAAAGCCTGGCTTCCTAACTAGGAGTCAGGACAAAGTTATCTGCTTTGGTTTCCTATGGAGACCAGAACTCGGTTCACCTGCAAAGGGAGGATGCAGCCCAGAGGAGGCAGACTTTCTCTTCATGGTGCCTTCAGATAGGAAATCTCCTAGGATTTCTTTCTTTCACTTTGATCTACTCCCAATGCTCCCTTTCTGTTTCTTCAAGACCTTTCTTGGATCCCTAATGTGCAGGACCTAAGGGGCTGGTGCCCTTCCCTACCCTTCCTGCCTGGGTGTCTTCAGCACCGGAGCTCACACAGAATGTTACTGCCTGCCAGAGACAGTGAGAGGACCAAGGAGGGCGATGGGTGCAGTGGGAACTACTGAGTCACCATGTACCTGTGCCTCATGGGCTCCTAGCAAATTGAATAAACACTCCCTGAAGCATGGCACCAGTTCCAAGTACAATTACTACTTGGCTCTATGAGCTGAGTGCACGTTCCCCCCAGCACGGAAATCCTAGAAACTCCCATGGATGCTATAGTGAAAAGCAGGGGCTGGCCAGGTATGATGGATCACACCTGTAATCCCAGTGCTTTAGAAGGCTGAGGTAGGGCGGATCATTTGAGTCCAGGAGTTGGAGACCAACCTGGGCAACATGGAGAAACTTCAACTCTTAAAAAACAAAACAACCACCACAACAACAAAAACAACAGAAATCAGCTGGCTGTGGTGACTCGTGCCTCTGCTACTCCAGAGGCTGTGGTAGGAGGATCACTTGAACCAAGATGCCACCAGATACAGTGAGACTCTGTCTCAGGGAAAAAGTCAAACAAACAAAAAAAGAGGCTGTGTAAGAGGTGATTCTGGGGACAGCGGAAAAACACTAAGGTTTTCAAGTGGTGTTAAAAGCCAGTAGGCCTTGGGGACCATTAAGCAATCTACAAAGCAGGGAAGCCTAGATCCCTGAGCTCTGCCTGCCAAGTACCACCACAGCTAACATGGGAGACCTCCCCCACAGAGACTGAAATTTGCCTCCCAAGGAAACAAGTGACTACAGACATCTGTCCCAGGACAGTAAACAAGAAAACAAGGTGTCACAAAAACAAAAACAGCTGACCACAGCATACAATCACTGAGACTGAGCCTGCGACTATAGGCAAAAAAAAAAAAAAAAAAAAAAATGCCGTCTATTATTCATACCATGAAAGACCAGGGGAAAGTGTGAACGCAGTCCCCTACTACTGTTGTGGGAATCAGGAGAACAGAGAGACCGATAGGTGGAACAGGAGGATTTATTGACTGCACTCAGGCACAGTGGATTAAAATCCAAAAGCTGAGCCGTGAACAAAGACAGGGCTTGACTTTATAGACACTTCTGAAAGGGGGTTGGCTAGTTTGAATGGCGCGGCGGGAATTTGATGGCACGAAACTCGTGGGGCAGGCAAGAGGGCTTACAGAAGCAGAAGAAAGGCAGCTAATCAAACTGTCACAGGTCTTGCAATGCAAGTATGGCTGGTGACCTTGCAGCTGCACTGAAGGGAAATCAGGAACTTAACAAAACTTGAATAATTAGAAATGGAAAGGGGGAAAGAGAAGGTAGTAAAGGCATTTGTTGTTTTTTCCTCTTATCTTTGCTAGGGGCTGTGTTGAGAGAGTCTCCGGAACACATTCCTCGGGGCTCTGACTTTTCAGATCGTGTTACCGAGGATCTGCTAGGGCTCTATCTATGGCAGGTCTTGGAGTCAGCCAAGTACAGGGAAACCTGTCTTTTCCTTTTAACTTCTGCCTTATTACTACAAGTTGTACAGCACACCATGCCTGGTTTTCATCAGCAATGTTTCCTGAGGTTACAGAAAGATTTCTAATCCTGGGAGGAAACACTCCCTTGAAGCAAAAGTGTTCTCCCCCAAAAAATGCAAGGAGCTATCTTCTTGATAGCCAGGCAGATAATTCTCAGGTTTTGCCCCACAGAATCTCGATCTAAAATAGAGCAGTGGTCATGCCTAGTGAAAAGTTTGAGGGAACTCACCCAACGTTGGGTTTCTTCAGAGCCATATGTATAGATATAACCAAATATCCTAAAAGACACTGCCCTTCATCATTCCATGCTGTTAGACATTTATAGGACCATGGATGGTGATCTCCTCCAGACAAAAATAAATGCTGGTGCAGAACAGGTAAGTGTATTATAATTTGAGTACATCAGCTTTTGGGCATTTTAAACCATGGGTCAGACATGTTAAAGAAAGAGCCAGGTTGATAGTAAAAGGGAGTGTTTTTCTATTAATTTTCCAATAGCAAAGTGATGTTTGCCACTGTCATTTCAGAGTGAGGGGACAATTTGTTGTTGTTTGGTTTTGTGGGTTTTTGTTTGTTTGTTTGTTTGTTTGCTTTTGAGACAAGGTCTCACTGTCACCCAGGCTGGAGTGCAGTGGCATGATCAGGGTTTACTTCTGCCTTGACCTCATGAATTCAAGCAAACCTCCTTACTAATCCTCCCAAGTAGCTGGGACTACAGGCACGTGGCCCCACACCCTGGGGTGTGAACTGGGATTTGATGTTTTCAGTTGGCTCTCTAATGGAATAGGTTCCCTTACTCTTGTAGAATCAGATTGTCTTCATGATTATCATTCTTGTGTGCATTATATTTCTACTACCCTGCTGTTTTTTTTTCTATTTTTCTTTTTATTTTTTTCTTTGTGAGACAGAGTCTCGCTCTGTCTCCCAGGCTGTATTGCAGTGGCAGGATCTCAGCTCACTGCAACCTCCACCTCCTGGGTTCAAGCAATTCTTTTGCTTCAGCCTCCTGAGTAGCCACCTGGCTAATTTTTGTATTTTTAGTGGAGACAGGGTTTCACCATGTTGGCAGGCTGGTCTCGAACTCCTGACCTCAAGTGATTCACCCGCCTCAGCCTCCCAAAGTGCTGGGATTACAGGCATGAACTACCACACCTGGCTCTCAAACCATTTTAGTTAAGCAAAGACAGATTTGTCTGGCTTTTTAGTACAATGCTGAATTATCCTCCAATCTATATTTTTAGGAAGGACCTGGGGAATGGCAACTTGGAGATATTTGGTGAAAATGTGAACCTTTCATGTTCTGCTTCAGTCTCTTTTTGAAAATCCTTCCAATTTACCTTTTGCAACCAGTTAGTGGCCTTCCCTTCTTCACCAGCATGTGAATTAATTGATAAAGATCAGAATATTTGGGCTCAAAGGTTTCAACAGTTAAGTCAAATTTTCTGCCAAAGCCTACAGGATCTTGGAGCCTGCTTTAGAAACAGAAGAGTGAAATGTATTTAAGTTTAGATCAGGGAAGTCCTTTATAATATTCTTAATTCACGTTTTGGTGAAGTGGTATACACAACGGTAGGCTCCCCTCTTCCTGTGGGTTTGGGTTTTACCTTGAAAGGGGCTGTCAGAACAGAAGTTTCAGGGAGGGGTCCAGACCCCTGGGGACTTTCCTTAGGTGATGGTGATGGAAGAAGAGGCAAGGCAGGACAGGAAGGCTCAGGTAAGAAAGACTATGCAGGTGCAGGGGCAGGAGGAGAAGGAGCAGCTGGAAGTGAAAGAGACAAAGCCTCCTCAATATTTCTCAATTCAGAAAACATGACAGTTTACCTCCTTCAGCTTACTTCCTGGATGGAGGCAATTTTCTCAGTTCTTTTAGAAATTTTAGAAATTTAGACATTTCTAGGTCTCATTAGAAGTAAGTCTCCCATTTAATTTGTCTGATTCTAAAACCAAATTTCTCTCTCTCTCTTTTTTTTTTTTTTTGAGACAGGGTCACCTAGACTGGAGTGCAGTGGTGTGATCTCCGCTTACTGCACTCACCGCTTGCTGCATGACAGCCAAGATGTCGAGGGTTGAGGTGTAGGGGCAGGGAAGGTGACTTTATTCCAGAGACCCACCAAACTGAACAGATGGTGAAGTAACATCCTGAAGAACCATCTTAAATTAATACGATTTTCCGGCTCCTTGTACGTTAGGGAAGGGAGGAAGAAGGAGGCGCTTGAGGTGAAGAGGTCTGACAATGACAGACATGGGCTGCAGTGGGAGCCCAAGGGGATGGTGAAAATTGTTCGTCCTTTGTCAGGTCACACTGCTCTTATAAATCTTCAGCATAACACTGTTACTTGTGTATACAACCTCTCTATCTTCTCAGGAGTTAGTTTGGGGAAGGGATTATTATCATCTGTGCTTTAAAGTTAAACTGTAAGCTAAATCCCTCCCATAGATAGCTTGGCCTATGTGCAGAAATAAGAAAAAGCAGTTAGCCTGGAAGATGTCACCACAGGGTAGGAAGGGTTAGGAGCAAAATGCAGTCAGTCATGCTAGGCCTCATTTTCATTGCCATATATTTAATGTATTTGAACACATAATTTTAATTTTTTATATTTATTTTTATTAATTTATTAGTTTTTTGAGACAGAGTCTCACTCTGTTGCCCCCCCAGGCTGGAGTGCAATGGCGTGATCTTGGCTCACTGCGACCTCTGCCTCCTGAGTTCAAGCAATTCTCCTGCCTCAGCCTTCTGAGTAGCTGGGATTACAGGAGCCCCCCACCATGCCCGGCTAATGTTTGTATTTTTAGTAGAGACAGGGTTTCACCATGTTGGCCAGGCTGGTCTCAAACTCCTGACCTCGGGCTCCCAAAGTGCTTGGACTACAGGCATGAGCCACCATGCCCAGCCTAACCAAGATTATTAAACCATTCTAATTTGTCAAAAGAGTCACACTGATTTTTAAAAAATAATGTAATGGGCCAGGTGCAGTGGCTCATGCCTGTAACCCCAGCACTTTGGGAAGCCATAGCAGGAGGATCATGAGGTCAGGAGTTCAAGACAGCCTGACCAACGTGGTGAAACCCCGTGTCTACTAAAAATACAAAAATTAGCCAGGTGTGGTGGTGTGTGCCTGTAATCCCAGCTACTCAGGAGGCTGAGACAGGAGAATTGCTTGAACCCGGGAAGCAGAGGTTGCAGTGAGCCGAGATTGCACCACTGCAC